>NC_000011.10:123233030-123536060 GCF_000001405.40 Homo sapiens | reverse complement strand
GAGCAGCAGAACCATGTGCATCTGTCCCCAGAGGCCCGCCACATAGCTGAAGGGAGGGTATTCTGTGTTCTGGGCAGCCATTTATCCCCACACTGCAACAACGAGGCACCTGCTGAGAAGCATAGCCTGCCACCTCCAAGTGGGAGACTCTGAAACCCAGACTCAGGAACCTACTCAGTGCTCATTTCCCAAGATTTCCATTCTCTGGGGCTTGTCCTCCCAGCCTTTGCATATTGCCATAGATTTTTAAAAGAGAAAAAAAAAGGCCTCACACGTATAGGCAATGTTCTAATGCTTAACTGAACGGTGAACAGACAATGTTCATCTTTACACTGTATGGATACATTATATACATTTTTGTGTATGCATGATATATTTCACAATTTTTTTGTAATCACTCCTAACCCAGCCCTGAAGTGACAGCCACCAGATCAGCTGTGACATCCACCATGGCTCACTATGAGGGAAGGTAGACTGGGGAAACTATCTTCTACTGCATCACCTACTGATAAAGAGCACACCACCATCCAAAAAGGATGATTCACCCCCTCAGCAAACCTTCTCTCAATTGTGAAATATAAAGCTACCGATTCCTACCAGCTCAACATTTCACTCATCAAGGAGTGTGGAGGTCGAGAGCACAGGCTTTAGAGCATCACCTCTTCAGTTTTATCCCAGTTCTGCCATTTATTATATGGTCTTGGGCTAGTTATTTAAGACCTGTTTGAGACTCTGTTTCCTAACATATAAAATGGGGGAAAAAAAAAAAACATCTTTCCTGTAGGGTTGTATTAAGGTTGTATGAGATTTTTTTTTTTTTAAATGGAAAGCTCACAGAAGCATCATGATTGTAATTTCTAAAGCTCTTCCCACACTAAGAACGTGTGTACTCCAGTTCTCAGCCCCAAGCGTCCTGCCCACTGAATTGGAAAGTGCATCTCCATGCTCTTTGGTTGTCCTGAGCCTGAGGGCTTTTCCCACTGAGTCTAGCCAGCCCAGGCCTCTGCCTCACTTTTGAGGTTGTCTGTAGGTGAGCCCTGTTTTGCCACTTAAACGTCTACCCTTGCATGGCCACATATCCCTGTCCTGACCAGGCTGCTCAGCTCCCTCCCTTCCCAAGGCCCTCAGTCTGATTTCTGTGGCCCAGTCTTGCTTCTCCTTTGCCTGAGACCCCCTCATTATTTTTTTTTTTCTTTGAGATGGAGTTTCGCTCTTGCTGCCTAAGCTGGAGTGCAATGGCACAATTTTGGCTCACTGCAACCTCCACCTCTGGGTTCAAGCAATTCTCCTGCCTCAGCCTCCAGAGTAGCTGGGATTACAGGCGCCTGCCACCATGCCCAGCTAATTTTTTTTTATTTTTAGTAGAGACAGAGTTTCACCATGTTGGCCAGCCTGGTCTCAAACTCCTGACCTCATGTGATCCACCCGCCTCGGCCTCCCAAAGTGCTGGGATTACAAGCATGAGCCACTGCGCCAGGCCTGCTCGTCTCTCTTGAAATCTCAGTGGACTCCATTCTCCAAGGATCAACCCACATCCCATCTCCTTCATTCAGCCCTTCTCAATTTCTTTTGCCCATTACTACCTCTCCATCTCTGTTCTTGCACATCTTTGGCAATTGTACAAGTGACCCCTGAACAACATGGATTTGAACTGTGCAAGTCCAAATACGTGCAAATCTTCTTTCACCTCTGTCGCCTCTGAGACAGCAAGACCAACCCCTCCTCTTTCTCCTTCTCAGCCTACTCAATGTGAACACAATAAGGATGAAGGCCTTTATGACAATCTGCTTCCACTTAATGAGTAGTAAATATATTCTCTTATGACTTTCTTAACATTTTCTTTTCTCTACTTACTTTATTGCAAGAATACAGTATATAATGCATAATACCAAAAATGTGTTAATTGACTGTGTTATCAGTAAGGCTTCTGGTCAACAGTAGGCAATTAGTAGTTAAGATGTTGTGAAGTCAAAAGCTACACACAGATTTGACTGCATGGGCGTTGGTGCCCCTAAGCACCAAGTTGGTCAAGGGTCATCTGTAATTCAAACCATTAAATGCTGTCTTCATAAATTACTATTCCTCAAACTTTTCGTATTAGTCTCATGTCTTCTCATAGACAAAGACCTGTCTTCCAGTTGCTTTGTAATTGTGGTAGTTAAGAGCATGGACTCTAAAGTCAGACTACCAGCTCAAACACTTTTGAGCTGTGTGACCTTGCTTGGAGTACTTGGCTCCTCTGTGCTTTAGTTTATTCACTTGTAAAATCTGAATAATCTGTACCTAGATTTAAAAAAATTGCTATGAGTTTATAAGATTTAAAACATAGGCTGAGGCCAGGCACAGTGGCTCACGCCAGTAAACCCAGCACTCCAGGAGGCTCAGGCGGGTGGATTATTTGAGGTCAGGAGTTCAAGACCAGCCTGGTCAACATGGTGAAATCTTGTCTCTATTAAAAATACAAAAATTAACCTGGCATGGTAGCTGGCGCCTGTAATCCCAGCTACTCAGGAGGCTGAGATGGGAGAATCACTTGAACCCAGGAGGCAGAGGTTACAGTGAGCTGAGATTGCCCCATTGCACTCTAGCCTAGGTGACAGAGCCAGACTCTGTCTTAAAAAAATAAAATAAAATAAAAATAAATAAATAAATAAAATATAGAGTGAATTAAATGTTAGACATATTATTAGTATCCTTATCATCACATTACCATTACAGTACCTAGAACAGGACTGCTAGCTAAGTTTCTGCAAACACAAACCAAAGAATAGCACTAAGAATTAATAAACAGGCCAGGCGCGGTGGCTCACGCCTGTAATCCCAGCACTTTGGGAGGCTGAGGCGGGCAGATCACCTGAGTTCGGGAGTTTGAGACCAGACTGACCAACACACAGAAACCCTGTCTCTACTAAAAAAATACAAATTTAGCCAGGCCTGGTGGTGCATGCCTGTAATCCCAGCTACTCGGGAGGCTGAGGCAGGAGAATCGCTTGAACCAGGGAGGCGGAAGTTGTGATAAGCCGAGATCGCACCATTGCACTTCAGCCTGGGCAACAAGAACAAAACTTGTTTTTATCCAGTAAAAACATATTTTGTTGCACTTGAGAAGTATCTCTATTTGCTTAAACTAGAGGCAGCAAACTTTGAGTAAAGGGCTCGATAATAAATGTTTTAGATCAGCCAGTCATAGACCTGTTGCAACTACTCAATTCTGCTGTTGTAGCATGAACGTGATCATTGGTAACATATAAACAAATTGGTATGCCTGTGTTCTAATAAAACGTATGGAATTTCATATAATTTTTGCATGTCATATTATCCTTCTCTTAATTTCTTCAACCATTTAAAAAGGTAAAGAAACATTCTTAGTTTGGAAGAACTGTATAAAATCTGGCATCAAACCGAATTTGGCCTGTTGGCTATGGTGTGTCAAACCACAATGTAAGGTCACATGAGGTCTTCCATGACATCTTGGATAATGGCCTTCATTCTACAGGCACTAAGGAAGTGCTGCTGTGTCTTAGGAAGAGGCATCAGCCCGTGCCCACACTACCAATAAGAGCAGCTGTGCAGTAGTGGTATGTATGATGAGTGCTCACTCATATTTCCAGTTCTCCCCTCTTCCTGCACTCAGAAGCCACATCTTCCAGCTTTCCTGCAGTCAGGCAGGGCCACGTGACTAGCTCTGGCCAATGTGGGGCAAGTGCAGGGACAGTATACTCACTTTCAGGGAGGAGCATTAAGAGCCACGCCTTCCTCCCCACCCCACCCTGACCACTGCGGTAGAAGGGCCATGACATTCTACTGCCTGGATCACTGAGCTGCCTGCCACATGCAGGATAGCCTTCCTGGAGAGTTTTCCAGAGCCTGAGGGGACTTGGAGTGATCAAGAACTAAATTTAGCATGAGTTAAGCTGGTTGGGGTGAAAGGGGGAGGGAATGGTATTATCATGGCATAACCCAGTTTAGTTCAACATCTTTCTGCAAACACAAACCAAAGAATAGCATTAAGAATTAATAAACAGGACGGGCGTGGTGGCTCACGCCTGTAATCCCAGCACTTTGGGAGGCTGAGGTGGGCAGATTACCTGAGGTTGGGAGTTTGAGACCAGACTGACCAACATAGAGAAACCCTGTCTCTACTAAAAAAATACAAAATTAGCCAGGCGTGGTGGTGCATGCCTGTAATCCCAGCTACTTGGGAGGCTGAGGCAGGAGAATCACTTGAACCCGGGAGGCGGAGGTTGAGGTGAGCCGAGATCGCACCATTGCACTTCAGTCTGGGCAATAAGAGCAAAACTCCATCTCAAAAAAAAAAAAAAAAAAAAAACCATCTAGCAATATGTAGTCCGTCACATCCTTTCACCTTAATAACTCATTTAGGGGACAAATGTCCAGTCTTCCGAAGAATTCAGCAAGAGATGAGAAGTGTCTTCAAGTTCTCTCATTAGAAACCCTAAACCGTCTCTTCCAGCAATAATAAACTTGATGACAACAAGCCTCAGGAAGGCCGGGAGGGAAGGGCTTCGAGCCAGCAGCAGCAATGAACCTTAGGTACTCATAATCTGATCTGCAACAATCTCTGCCAGCTACAAAGTTACATTCTTTCTTTCTTCTTAGAGTAGTAATGATGACGACAATAACACAACAAAGCAAATAATGTTTATTGCTGCTTACTTCAAGCCAGGTACAGTTTACCAAAGCAGAACTGTGAATGAGAGGTGAGAAACGCTTATCCTTTTAAGAAATCTGTAGAGTCAGAAGTTTCAGTCCTCGCCCTGAGCTGTCCTTCTCACTCAAGGGATTTAAATGCCTAGATGACCAGCGCTCAGTGTCCTGGACTTACCGAACCACGGGAAAACTCCAATTCCCATCCCACAGAATAATAAAGTAAATCTCACACTGTTCGCAGGAGGGTGTGCCTGCTGTGCGATGTTTGTAAATGAATATTTAATAGTTTCAAATGAATGTTTACTTTCAGTGTCCCCTGCTGGCTACAGAAGAACGCAAACAGTCCACATCACTAGCAACCTGCTCTATCAGGACTGTGGCCTTTTTCTAAACCATTACTAAAAAGGAAGCTGAGAGACCAACTAATCCACCCAACACTCATTTAATCCCACTTTCAAAACCACCACCACCCAAGGCAAACAGAAGTTACCTACCAGGGCCACACAGCAGGCCAAAAGGTGATTACAGGGTTCTGGTTCAGGAGTCAGCTCTCCAAAGTCTCAAGCCATGAAGTGACCCCAACCTTCACCGCAACTCACCTCCTGATAAACGTTTCCATAGCTGGGAAGCCTGGCTCTATAGGAGGTGTGCAGGGGCCATGTCTAGGGCTCCCTCCTCTGGAGCAGACCTCTTACAGAAAGAATCTTGAGGCTGGGCACGATGGCTCATGCCTGTAATCCCAGCACTTTGGGAGGCCAAGGCAGGTGGATCACCTGAGGTCAGGAGTTTGAGACCAGCCTGGCCAACATGGTGAAACCCCGTCTCTACTAAAAACACAAAAATTAGCTGGGTGTGGTGGCGGGCGCCTGTAATCCCAGCTACTCAGGATGCTGAGGCAGGAGAATCACTTGAATCCGGGGGGACGGGGAAGTTGCAGTGAGCCAAGATCTCGCCACTTCACTCCAGCCTGGGTGACAAGAGTGAAACTCTGTCTCAAAAAAACAGAAAAGACAAAAGAAATCTAGAGGAATAGATAATTTGGTCCAGGCAACAGCTAAAGAATGAACAGCACCCCACTTGCCAACAGATTGAAAAGAATGGGTACAGTAGGCAACTGACATTTACTATCAAATAAAATATTGTTGACCATTAATGGTCATGAAATATGGAGAAGTAGAAAAAAAAAAAAATGGACCCTCCCAGCTACCTGTGAAGAATGTGAGTAGGTTCTGTCACACAGTGCTTATCCTCCTAAACAGTGTGAAAGTAGCAAGACTGCTCACTCACCCACTCGAACATGGAGAAACTCGAAACTCCCCTCATCTGAGGACTAAGCCCTTTTCCACAGAAATGCTTCACCTGCTCTCTGTCAAGAACTATACTTTCTCTCAACCTTTTTTTTTTCCAGAATCAAATTCTTCCAGCACACTGACTTTCCTGAAGGTCTGTCACAGCCCCCAGGCTCTTTGGAGACGGCATTACCAAGCCCAGCAGATGTGAGGGCCAGGAACACGAGGACAGGGAATTCAGACAGATGTCACTACAGTCTGCCTAGTCCTATGGGGGCCAGAACCATCTGGAGGTGGAGCAGCCCCACAAAATTGGAGACCTTCTTAGTGTTTGAGGTTCCAAGGCTCTACAGGAATTAGGACTATCTTTGCGTCACCAAAAGAAAAAAAATAACCATGTAGAAGCTGCGGAAGATTGGTGAGTTACTCTTTAAAAAACCAATTTCTTGGCTTCCAAATCACTACATGCCCCACAGAGTCTTGGGCCGCAGTCCCATCTGTTTGTCAATGCCACCTCCTCTCTCAGTCTCCTCCACCACTGCCCTTACCTTGCTCACCAAGTTACCAGTAGAAGAAATCATAGAATCCTCTTTGGAGACAGCCTAAAGCTCTTACCCTATTGAGAGAGAGGGGTTGCACTGGGGGAGATTTCTATCTCAAAGTCCAACCACTTGTCAGTCATAGACATATGTCACGGTCATCTTCATCCAAAAGCATCCTCAGTGATACTCTCATAACTCCATGAGGTACAGCTGTGTGAAGTACAGCCTTTACTTACCTAATTGTCCAGCCTCTGAACCTCCCTCACATTTCAATTACTCCAATAAGACTCCTCTGTCATGCCAGCTGAAATGTATTTCTAGAGTGTCTGCTGTTCACCGCACTTATCTGTCCCTTAACACTTACTGACTTGCGTGTACACATGTGTCGGAGGTGTGAGAGAGCCTCCTTCCATCTGTGAGGCTACCAGCCCCTAAAAGGCCAAAGCATTGCCCTTTAAATTTTTTTAACTTCACAATGCCTAGACAACGGGGCTGCAAAAATAATACTTGATCAACATTTGTAGAATGAAGAAATGGATGAGAAAATGAATGGACAGACCCTGAGCCTGCTCTCTGGGAAAGAAGGCCTGACTGACACACCATGCTGTTGCGTGGTAGTTAGTCCCCACTCTGAAATCAGTTCAGCCGTAAGAGTGTATCCTGGCTTCCCCACCAACTAGTTGCATTAATTTAATCAAATCTCACTTTACCACTCTGTGCCTCCATTTCCCTACCTCTGAAATGGAGACACCAGCTGCTTCATGAGGTTATAGTAAGAATCAAATGAGATAACATATTTATACACACTTTTAAAAGTCTAACTAACTGACCTAATGAATATAAGAGACAACAGAACATAAAAAAAAAAGCCGGTGTCTAGCACGGCATTACACAGAGCGGAAATTATACTAGAGAAGAGGAGTAACCAGGGACAGGTGAATCACTGGGGAAACTTACCCTGCTGTAAGCCCAAAGCCTGGTTCCTATCTGCATGCCTTCAAGCAGGCCACTTAAACTCTGTGTCTGCTTCCCCATCCATAAAATGGGGATAAAATGGGGATTCTTATCATAACACTGTGAGCTCCATGTGAGTTTACTGTGGTGCTTGATACATAGTTTCAGCAAATGTTAGTCACCATTGTTCTTATCAGTATTTACCATCATTTTATATATCACCAACCCATAGTAGGCATTCCAGAGTTGTTTCTAGAAATAATTCAAACATTATAATTTTAATTAAATTCATTCTCTTCCATATGTAGACAGTGCTACCAAGGTAGTCAATAGATTTGGTCATCTTGCTTCTATCAAGTCTCCTTGTTGGAAGAGTAGGGAGTACCCTGAGTACCAGTACCAGAGTATCAGCATTAGTACCCTATCAGTACCTGAGTACCAGAGAGTAGGGAGTACCAGTTGGGATACTGCCAAAGGGAGCCGCATTTCATCCACAACTACAAGGTTTGGCCCCTGGACCAAAATGGACCTGTACTTAATGAGACAGTGGGTCACAGGATCTAACAGTATCAAGGCAGAGATAAATGACAACATTTTCCCATCCTTGTAAAATTTCTGAAGAAGACAAAATTATCCCAATTACAGTTCCCAGATTAACACTGCTCTCCTTGTTGAAATGCATCAAGAGATGCTCAAGGCAGATTTTTAAAGGCAAACATCTCTGCACATCCCTGAGGACCAACCCAGGCTGAGCTGAGAGCATTCTGTTAAAGTGATGTCTCATCCTGAATGACAGCCAAGCTACCCCTCAGCCCCAAGTTGGGTGTGCTGACAGCAGGGGCGCGGAAGGATGCGGAGAGATTTCTGATGAAGAGCCCAGTGTTCCTGCAGCACCTGGGCTTTTCTTGGAGGCCTCATCCCAGCTACAGACTGAGCATGGCTCTACTGAGGAATAAGGAAGAGCTTTAGCTGCTGGTCTGGACCTGGAACTCCCAGTGACAATAAACACTGCTAATAGCCTCCCACCCAGAAAGAATGGGGTACCAGACCCCAAGAAAGCAAGGACTAAATGTAAGAGAGAGGGATAGCAAAGCTTGAGGAAAAGAAACTCCCGGCTGGGGGATAACTGATGTTCATCACCTCCTGGGAACTCGCAGTTCTTGAGAGTTACACTTGCAGAAACTAAGCACCTCCCTTTGCCTTCTGCAAAGTGCCTTTTCAAGACCCACTAAAGGGCCCTGTTCCCTACAGGAGGAGGGCTGGACTAGACATTCTCTCAGGGTTTAATCTAGGGTAGGGGTGCCTGGAAGGCCAAATGTGGCCCAGAGCCAGGTTAGGACCCCATGCCTCAAATCGCTCAACACCCATCCCTGACTCTGAAAATCAACCTTTCACTCAGAGATGTGACCTGCCGCCACCCCACCCCACGCGTGGACAGCCAGCCGCAATGAAGGCAGGACTCATCCTTGCTGGGAGCTCTCCCAAGCTCATCCTCCTCCTCCCACCCTCCACCCTCTTCAGGGAGAAAGCTCCCTCCTCAGTCCAAGGAGCCTTTCTCCTCTGAAGGAGGCCTCAGGCAGCTGCACATGCCACCCTGCAGGGGTACCGGATCACTGGTATGGCAAAGTTTTCCAAGCAAAATCTGCAGTTTCTCCACCAGATGAAAAGCCAATTCACCTGCCCGTGCAATCTCCTTATTGGGTCAAAAAACAGAGAGAGGTAAAGGTTTTATTTTTTAAATGGAAGGTAAAAATATTCTGACTACTTCTGTAGCTAGAATACAGCTACTCCCACACCCCAAGCGAGAGATGCCTTTAATGTCCCAAGATTAAGCCCAGGAACAGGCACTTGCAAAGGCCCAAGGTGAGTGCTTGTGTTGGGGTAGGCAGCGGTCCACTCGCCTCTGGACACCAGGCATCCTAGAAGATGGAGCCTGGCCCCTCAGAGGGATGCCCCTAGGGACTGCCCGCCCTAAGCAGCTGACGTGAGAAAGGCCCCCCGCACACCCTCCCTCAAAATCACGTGTTGGTCAGGGCTAAGGAAGAGTACAACTGCACCCCCAGCCTGATGCAGACGCACAACACCTCGCCAAAGGGAAGGGATGTTTCTTTATTATAAAGTTCCCTCTGTGCGCACCACTCCTCACGTACTCGAAGTTGGAGAACGTTTTAGCTGCAATTTGATTCTCTCCACTGCCCCTCAACTTCCACAAAACCCCCGACCTCGAAGAAGGTAAGGAAAATAGTGCAGCAGTGCAGCAGCTGGGGGAGCCAGGGAGAGTACCCCAACTTTTAAAGTGCCTAGTCCCCACATCTTAACCCCTCGATGCCTGGTGAGATGGCATCAATGAAGGAGACCTCTTGAGGGTGCTGGGGCGAGCACAGGGCTGAAGAAAGGCAGAAGAGGAAGGTGCCCTATCCCTCCTCTACTTACCAGGAGAGCTTGAATCCTTTCATTAGTACAGTCACGATAATCCACTGACCGTGTCCTTAGCATCCCCGTTACAGCTCCGGAGGTCCCAGGACATATTGGAAAAGATGACGAAGTCCCAAAAGAACAGAATCCCATGTAATGTGACTTGAACACAGAAAGAGAAAGAGAGAAAGGGAGAAAGAGCCAGAAGAACTGCTGCCACTGCCCCTTCTTCCCCCTCTCCCAGCTGAAAGCTGGGCTTGGAGGCAAAGGACAGATTCTGCAAATCCAGCCTGGGGCTGGAGCCGCCTGCCCGAGCTGTGGCTGCCGCTGCCAGTTTCTGATGAGGATGGGTAATGCTGGCAAGGCTGCGCGAAACAAGCCCTGGAGTTGCCGTCAACAGCCAGGCTGGCCGGCTGCCCCCCACCCTCACCTCATACCAGCTCTGAGCTGCTTTGGGGAAGGAAGCCAAGGAGACCCTGGGAGGAGAGCACAAACCTAGCAGAAGCTGCACCTCTCTTCCCCCAGGCGGCAGCTCCCGCAGCTCCATATAATCTCCTAATCAATGCAGTACCCAAGCAAAGCACTGCCAGCCACTTCCGCCCATTTAAAGACACAGCACATGTTTAGTCCCAGGATGGGACAGAATATCAGGGAGAGGGTGCGTGAGGAATGTGGTGCCAGGAAGGAAGAGGAGGGGGCAGAAATATCTGAAGTTGAGCACTTCTGTCAGCATCCACTCAGGGGTTAAAATGCCCCACCCCTGCGGGGGAGGGGAACCTGGACCCTAGGTCCTCTGCACACCTCTGGAATCCAAGCAGAACTCAGAGGCCCCGTGGTGAGTGCCTGGGACATCTAGGCGCACAAGACCACCTTAAACAGAACCCTCACCCCGCAAGGCGGGGCAAGCAGGGCTGCGTGCTCCCAGGCAGTGTGCTGCACACAGAATGCACAGCTCTCTCCTCCTGCTGGGGAAATTGCCATGACTTCTGGGACGCAGGGTGAGGCAGCAACTTCTGGTGGCAGGGCAGCACATTGTCACCTGGGGCAAGGGATCCTTTTAAGGTGACCACAAAGGCCTGGTTTAGGATTTAGGCAACATGATCACCAATCCTGGGCTCCAAGAAGATGCAGACCAGCCACAGCACCCAGTAAGGCAGGACCAGGATTTTCAACTCTAGCTGGAAAGTAACAATTCACTGAGAATGGGGAAGAGGCTCCTCCTAAATCAGATCCTCCAGGCTGGGGCCTGGGAGTTCCAACACCAACAACTTCCCTGGCTATATGATCCCTTTCTATCTTTCCCTACATTACTATCTGGGTCAGTAATGCGGATGGGTGACAACGAACAAAGAGATTAATTATGAAATAGCAACCTTCAACTGAACCATGATAATAAAGCTTTACCCAGAAACTTGCTCCAAAACAGTTGAACCATAATAAGCCTTTACCCTAAAATTTGCCCATAAAACAATCTGCAGACATCCTCGTGTCGTATGAACATCATCTATACTTGACCCTCTAAAGTGAGAAAAACCAATCATTTCTCCTTTGGTCACGCACAGTGGCTCATGCCTGTAATCCCAGCACTTTGGGAGCCCAAGGAGGCGGATCCCTTGAGGTCAGGAGTTTGAGACCAGCCTGGCCAACATGGCGAAACCTCGTCTCTACTAAAAATACAAAATTTAGCTGGGTGTGGTGGCATGTGCTTGTAATCCCAGTTACTCGGGGGGCTGAGGCAGGACAATTGCTTGAACCAGAGAGATAGAGGCTGCAGTGAGCCCAGATCCCACCACTGCAATCTAGCCTGGGAGACAGAGTGAGACTCTGTCTCAAACAAAAAATAAAATAAAATAAAATAAAATAAAATAAAAATAAAAACTGGAGTGCAGACCCTCGTTGGTAACAGTCATCATACTTGTAATGACTTATTATCTGCTTTGTTCTTTTTAGAGGATAAGCACCATGGAGACAAGGACTGTGTGTCATTCAGCAATCTCTATATCCCCACTGAGGAGGAGGGCTTGGGGATTGTAGGGTACTATAAGCAAGCGTTTAAGTGACCTTACTCAAACCGAACTAAAACACCATGTTATCTCTCCAATGTCCACGTGGTCCAGAAGAAACACTCTTTAAGATATACTAACCTTTTGTGACCTGATTCCACAAGTAAAAAACGAAAGAAAGAAAAAAATAAGGTATACTGAGTTTTCAGAAAGGTGTTCCCAAAGCAGCCCTTGGCTGTGGAATTGATCTATCCATAGCCCCATGCCAGACAAACCCAAATGCTGCCAGGACTTCTGAACACATCCAAAATTATGTTTTCAAAGCTCCTGGAGCCTGTACCCAGGCCATACTTTCAGCACAGATATTGAAGGGATGCAACAGATTCCAGAAGTACAAAGAGTTGTCCTTTATGACCTAGATAATTCACTCAATGGAAATACCAGGTCATGTGATCCAGCCCCGAGGCAAATGTCACTGAGAGTACTCCAGGTACACGTGAATACTGTATTCTCATCCTGGCCCATCAACTGCTCTGATCACAAGTAACACAGAAAACCTGGATCAAAGATTTCCAAGTATTATATTAGAAACATTATTGTAACTGTAAATTTTTTTGGCTTTTGCTCTAGCTGTTTTTTTTTTAACTACAAAAACAAAAATCCAAAAAGTCAACTCCTTCTCAGCTATTAATAGGAGTATATTGAGGGTTAGTTATGTCAGGCATCAAGCTAAGCATTTTGCCTGTATTCTCTGACTTAATCTTCACATCCATGTTATAAGGCAGTACCTCATGATTTTCAGATAATGACACTGAAGACTAACTGTAGTGTCTTTTTAATTTATTTATTTATTTTGAGATGGAGTCTCACTCTGTTGCCCAGGCTGGAGTGCCGTGGTGCAATCTCAGCTCATTGCAACCTCTGCCGGCAGGGTTCAAGCAATTCTCCTGCCTCAGTCTCCCGAGTAGCTGGGATTACAGGCACGCACCACGATGCCCGGTTAATTTTTGTATTTTTAGTAGAGATGGGGTTTCACCATGTTGACCAGGCTGGTCTTGAACTCCTGACCTCAGGTGATTCGCCCACCTCGGCCTCCCAAAGTATTGGGATTACAGGCATGAGCCACCGCGCCCAGCCTAACTGTAGTGCCTTAATTTGCCTAATGTCAAACAGCTAGCAAGCTGCAAGCCTGGAATTTGAATGCAGGCGTGCCCAGCTCAAAAACCTATTCTCTTATTCACTATGTATGTTTATAAAAAATCTCCTTCTCTATCAGACAAACTGGTTTACAAAAGCTTACATGTTCCCAAGAGAAAAAGAATCCAGGTAACAGTTAAAAAAGAGACTAAATCAAGACTAAATCTCTTCTATTACTGATGAGTTGGCTGGCTTGAGTGTCTGTGTGTGATGTGAGGAACCCAAAAGGGAAGGAAGAACAGGAGAGCCCAGTGGGTTGAGCGATCATCATCTGCCTCGAATTCCCCTTGGCTCTTTCTTGTTTCTGAAACAGAGCTTCTCACAGGGCCCTGGGGACAGGTTCCATTTTTGTGGTCCGTAAAGAAAATCTCGGCTGGGCATGGTGGCTCACACCTGTAATCCTAGCACTTTGGGAGGCCGAGATGGGTGGATCACCTGAGGTTAGGAGTTCGAAACCAGCCTTGCCAACATGGTGAAAGCCTGTCTCTATTAAAAATACAAAAATTAGCCACGCGTGGTAGGGCACGCCTATAATCCCAAAGACTTGGGAGACTGAGGCAGGAGAATCACTGGAACCTGGGAGGTGGAAGTTGCAGTGAGTCGAGATCACGCCACTGCACTCCAGCCTGGGCAACAGAGCAAGACCATCCAAAAGAGAAAAAAGAAAAAGAAAATCTCAAAAGGTGATCCAAACATAGCTTTGAAGAGACATTGAAGTGCTTTCTGAGGTAAAGACTGAGACCAAGTGAGACGGAAAAATGTTCCTCATCTAACTTCCCTCTTTATCTTCTCACGGAAAGCAGTCTCCATGGTTTGAAAAGTTCCTGGCCAATAAATCGCAAGCACTAACACAACCTCTAGGAATGAATACACAGATTCTCCTGCTTCTGCCTGACTCCCTGCAATCTGGCTGCTTCCTGACATTTGCATTTCAGGAAGGATAAGAATTGTTTAGAGGAAACTAGATTGCAAAGACTTCCATATCTGGCAATATGGCATACACACAGATAAAATAGGAAAAAAAAAGAAATTATTTTAAAGTGCTTGATGAGCTATCAAAAAAGTAAGAAATATTTAAACGTCAAAAATTTAGTGATGGCAGAAAATAGTGAAACTGGGCTTCAGTTTTCATGGCCTCCCAGAGCACACTAGAGATAATTCCCAAAGCCCACAAGTGGTGAGAGAATCAAGAGGCAACTACCTCATAAAGTGGATCCCAGTGGACTACACTCTCACTGTAAGGATAAACTTGAAAGAAATGTACAAATGCTGCCCAGGAACTAAAAGGAAAATTCCCTGTCCTAAACCTTGATGTTGAACAAAGGAGGAAGAATAATCTCCTCTGATAAATCATAATCACAAACTGACTCTTACACTGATTGTACCCTGAGAGTTTCCTAAACAACTGACCCAAAAACAATGCCCATAAAGGAAAAAAATGATAGACTCAGCCACAGTAAAGTTAAAAACTTCTGATCATCCAAAGAGATCATAGAGAGAAAAGACAAAGCTGTTCTAAGAGAAAATATGTGCAACATATATTGGTTGAGAAAGGAATTGTTCACAGAATTTATTAAAAATCCCTACAAACCAATGAGAAAAAGAAAGATAATTCTAAAAATAGACAAACGATTTAAGTTAGCATTTTCAGAAAAGAAAGCAATAAACTATATAAAAAGGAGCTCAATCCATTAGTACTCAGGAAAATATAAATTGGAACTCTGGTGAGATGTCATCACATACTCATCCCATTGACAAAAATTAAAAAGTCAAATAATATCAAGTGTTGGAAAGGAGCTAGTGGGAGTGTATACTGGTTCAACTCCCTAAGAAAATTATATGGTATTATGTAATAAAGTTGGATGATTGCATACTCTAATACGTAACAGTTCTACTCCAATAATAGAAGCAACTCACATTCAGAGGCATGCACGAAAGACTTTAAATAGCACTCCATGTAACAGCAAAAGCAAAACAAAAACTCTGAAAACAAATGTCTATCAACAGAAAGGATACATGCCTCGTGTTATTTTCTTAAGGTGGAACAGTACACAGCATTGAAAATGCATAAATCAGTCACATGCAATGGAGCAGAACAGGTGAGAGGTACTCCTGCAATTGTCATTTGTTCTTTATACTTTACACATATTTTTATATATTTTATAAATATTATTTATTTTCCTTTTTCTTTCTTTCTTTTTTTTTTTTTTTTTGACAGGGTCTCACTCTGTTGCCCAGGCTGGAGTGCAGTAGCATGATCACGGCTCACTGCAGCCTCCACCTCCTGGGCTCCAGTGATTCACCCACCTCAGCTTCCTGAATAGCTGGGATTGCAGACACGCACCACCATGCCCAGCTAATTTATTTTTATTTTTATTTTTTGTAGAGATGGGGTTTCGCTGTGTTGCCCAGGCTGTTCTTGAACTCCTGGGCTCAAGCAATCCACCCGCCTTGGTCTCTCAAAGTGCTGGGATTGCAGGTGTGAGCCATCGCGCCCCCCTATATATTATTTTGTATTAGCTAACTATTCAATGCAAACAATTTTAAAATACACAGAGTATTTAGAAAACAACTGAATACCAACCCCTTTTGGGTTTTTATAAACAGGCTTGATAAAGAGGGGGTAGGGCACAGGGGTCTAGACAAGATTTTGTGTTACCTGCATTTTCACAGCTATACTTTCACAGAAACTGGCCTTTCTGAGTCCACTAATTTAATGAACATGAAGTTGGTTTGATTTGTATTACTCCAAGTCTCTTGTTACCACGGTTTCTTCTGAACTTTACTGGGTTTAGAATGGAGGCCGGAAAGAGTTCAGCTTTTTCCTTTTGATTGCAGCTGCTTTGACTTTCTGTTGGTCTCCTATGAGTCTTAAAGTCTCGCCTACCCTGGCACTGTTCCTTTCCTAATCCAACAAAAACATGATTGGTGTTTCTTGTCTCATCCATAAATGGGGACTAGAATGGTAAGAGGTCACCAGAGCATGCTGCTGTTGACCTTGCCTGCAGACACCCAGGGCCATCCGGCCAAGGGAAACCTGGAAGCTGTGAACTCAAATGCCACAATATCGGCTCCTATCTCAGGCTTCCGCCACTGAGTGGCAGAAGCCAAGGGAGAATTCGGCCCTCCTGCCTCCCACCTCCTCATCTGGAGCTCTTTCCACCACCAGAATCCCACGACCTTGGGTAAGCCACTCCAAGCCTCTGGCTCCCTATCTGGAGCAGAAAATAAACGACAGGATCCCTGAAGCTCTCCTTCTAGCTCAAGTTCTTGGATTCTGTGCTGCTCTCCCTATGTGCCCCTCTTTGCTCCAGGAGCAGGAGTGCAGCAGCGCTGCAGTACCGGGGCATAGCTGCATGCCTCTAGTTGCTGGGAAATCTGGGGCAGAGCAGTGCTGCAGTCACACGTTGGGGAATCAAAGCTCTAAGCTCAGGCAGGGGAGTCATCAGGCGTTGAGAGTGTTATATTTAAGGAGCATTTTGGAGGTCAGGAAGCAAGTGAGAGAGGAGCAGCGGGGGAGGAACAGCCTCCTAAACACTCCATTTCCACAACAAGCCTCTTTCTAGTCCTCCAGCCAAAATCCGCTTCCAAACTGCACTCAATAGAGAGCCTGTGTGAGCTGACCAGCAGATGGCCAGGGCTGCACCCCGATCAGGTGCTCCCCACCACTTCCCTGTCCTCTCCCTCCCTTGGCACTCTCCTCTCCCCACCCTCTGCCACTATTAGTCACTGGCTCTGGGGTGACAGTGTGGGCTGCAGGCATTGGCCTCGCCTTCTAGCCTATTCATCTATGTCAGCTCCCAGCTTGGAGCCTCCAAAGCCAGCCCCTCCCTTCCTGTCCTTGGTACCCTTATGCACACCCCTGCCCTCCAGGCCCACCATCTGGGTGAAACAGCGCTGTGCAGGGCAGGCACCCGGCCAGAGGGCTAGCAAAGGGTGGCAGGCTTGGGGGCAGAGCAAAGCGGGGCTGTTTGCTTCAAGAATGCTTCATTCTGCTCCTATGGCCTCCTGGATTTACTGAAGCCACTGGAGTTAAAAAATAAAATGAATAGAATCACCTC
Source organism: Homo sapiens (assembly GCF_000001405.40). Classification (NCBI taxonomy): domain Eukaryota; kingdom Metazoa; phylum Chordata; class Mammalia; order Primates; family Hominidae; genus Homo; species Homo sapiens. The sequence continues at coordinate 123,518,928 of NC_000011.10, read as the reverse complement.
CCGCCAGGCTTCTTTGCCCCTCTTTCACAATCTGCTAATCCAGAATATTCCTTCAGGCAATAAACAGGATGAGCAATATCAAAGCCAAATTCCACTCAGCTTCGTTCTGCCCCTAGGAAGGGGAGGAAGCAAGACTGAGGCAGCCAGGGCTTCCGTGGATGGCTCTGATCCTCTGATCACTCTAGAATCTAAAGTGGTTGCGCAGACCTCATGCCCAGTGATTCTTACAGCAGCCCAGTGAAGTGCTAAACCACACTTAACACAAGACACGCAGGCTTAGTGAGGTCTAGTTATCTTCCTACTAGTACTGCCATTGCTAGCCGCTCTATAAGGTTGTAATTGGTAAAAAGAGGAAAAAGTAAAAGGTAAAAACACCGTATCTGAGAATCACAAGCCCCCTCATGCAACTCGGGGTAAGGAAACTCCTTAGCCAGGCCATACATTGGGATCACCTCCCTCACTGAATTCAGTGCAACACCCAACTAAGCTCTCTCTCTTCCCCCTGTTTAAGCAGCCATCGATATCCCTTCTCCAAGGAGACTTTGTCTTGATGAGGAGACAAGAGCTCTGTCTGGCAATAGAAATCCCCATAGAGGATTCCCCGCTCTATCCCACTTTCCCCTTCACCTCCAAAATCTTCCTCCCGCTTCCTGAATGCTTGACTGCCTGACTAGTGTTGGTTTCTCTGCATGCTTGCTCATCCCCGTGTCCCGGATCACGAGACCCCTTCTGCTGCTGCACTTAACGGTGGCCCCAAGGAGGTAAGAGCCCTGCTGTCAGAAAGATGCACACACCTCAGAGAAACCCCACAACCAGGAGAGGGGCCGTTGCCTGAAGTCACTCATCATCCTAATTACACACGTAACAAAAGAAAACATCTCTCCTGCCAGATGGAAGAAAGAAGGCAGATTTCTAATCACCCCCGTGGCTCCTCCTGGTTTATCCTCAGGAGAAATTCAGGGTGACTGATGGTGTTAGGGACCCAGGAGGGTGCTTATAAACTCAGGTTCTCTCCGGGAGGGGGCACCCATACACCCACAGCCAGCTGCTTCCTGTTGTCCTCCCACCAAATGGGGATTTCTGCTTCTTCCACTAAATTACATATCAGTATTACCATTTTTAAAAATACAGATGAATTGAGCGTTAACTCATTTTAAAAGTGAAAGTCGTCTGCCCAAGGACACAATAAGAATCTATTTATTGTTGGCAGAGAAATTGTTCGATGATAGGACAAGTGCAGAAAAACCGCATTCTTCATTGAACAGGGACTGACACCACCCCCGGTGGTGTGTATTGTGGTTTAGCACCGCGATTCTAGAATTAGCCTTGAGTTCAAATCTATACTTAACAGCTATGTGACCTTGAGCAACTTACTCCATTTCTCTAAGCCTCAACTCCTTCATCCATTAAAAAGGTGAGGATGACAAGCACCCATCAGGTTGCTATGCGGAGCGGATGACACTAAGAGCAAGTAAGTGCTCAATACATTTTCACCACTGCTGTGATTATTCCCAACCCATGTCCACAGAACCACCACTATATACTACAGGAACCACAGGCTCCATTTCCTGCTCCTAATCTACTTTTTCTCCTTTATGTCAACAAATTTTCCAATTTTCCCTATTTTGTTGGGAATATTTTTGCATTGTTTTGTGCTCTTTCTGTTAGGTCAATCAGCTGTTTATTTTTTCAACAAGAACTGTACATATGGCTGGGAGCAGTGGCTCATGCCTGTAATCCCAGCACTTTGGGAGGCTGAGACAGGTGGATCATTTGAGGTCAGGAGTTTGAAACCAGCCTGGCCAACATGGTGAAACCCCGTCTCCACTAAAAACACAAAAATTAGCTGGACGTGGTGGTGTGCACCTGTAATCCCAGCTACTCGGGAGGCTGAGGCAGGAGAATTGCTTGAGCCCAGAAGGTGGAGGGTGCAGTGAGCCAAGATCGTGCCATTGCTCTCCAGCCTGGGTGACAGAGCAAGACCCCGTCTCAAAAACAGAACCATACTTATGGAGCGTCTAATATGTTCATGACCCAAGCAAATCACAATGATATTTCAAAGTTAGATCCAGAGTTCTCCTTGATCTCAAGTCAATAATCCAACAAGGAAGATAAAAGATGGGCATTAAACTATATGAAATAACACTAACTTAAAATATAAGGCAACAAGTCTCTAAGAGACGCTTATCTAATCAGAAGGATATATCTCTGTTTTCCAAAACGAGCATAGGTTTGTAATCATTATACCAACTTTTTTTTTAATCAACAGACGAGTAATGGTGAATAGTCTCAGCTGACTTACATTAAGTCTGTCTGTGATATTTCTTGATTAGTCTGGTCTTAACACAAAAGAGCCAGAAAAAGGATCCAATATTTGTCATCATCCTTTATGGAGACAAGAGCTTTCTATTTGCATGAGAGGTGTCCAGAAATAGTGCCTTCGGAACATATTGCTACTATCACTGCCAATAAATACAGGTTTACTTGGATGGAGCATCTAATGAGTTCGACTTTAAACAGTTTCATTTCCAGTCATCGGGACATTTTCTCAACAGCGCCCTAAGGTTAGGGCAGGGGAAGCTTTAAGTTGTTTCAGGCACAGATACCCACTACCTTCTCTCAGCATCACAACAGACATGAGACTGGCATATCATGAGTAAACCAAAGGGTTCAGCTTCCATCCATTTTGTGACCAGCGCTATTCAGTAAATGCTTTTCCATGCACTAAGCCACTAGCTACCTTTGATGATCCAGTGGCACTTGTGTGCTGGCGTGTACCATGATGGGGTTTTTACATGGATTGGTAATGAATTGAGAAAAATTAGGACAATGTGGTAAACACCAAAAGGTTAAATATGTTGGCTGGGTGCGGGGGCTCACACCTGTAATCTTGGCACTTTGGGAGGCCGAGGTGGGCAGATCACTTGAGCTCTAGTGTTTGAGACTAGACTGGGCAACATGGTGAAACCCTCGTCTCTACTAAAAATACAAAAATTAGCCCGGCGTGGTGTTGCCCACCTGTGGTCCCAGCTACATGGGAGGCTGAGGCAGGAGGATTGCTGGAGCCCCGGAGGCGGAAGTTGCAATGAGCTGAGATCATGCCACTGCACTCCAGCCTGGGAGACAGAGCAAGACTCTGCCTCAAAAAAAAAAAAGGTTTGAATATATTGACAGCATGACCTTTTAAATTTTGTGTTTAAATATTCTTTAAATATACATATACATAGTGGTGGTAGTTCTATGTTTCAGTTTAGTTGCTAGCTTTCATAGGTAAAATAAATAACTGGTAATTCTGTGCTGGTCCACCAATTTTTTTCAATCTCTCCACAAAATCCAGAAGTTCAGACTCCCCTATGAAGAAGGCTCTCCGTTCTAAGACCTCATCCTATAAGGAGAGCCTCTGCCTCTCAACTGCTGTGACGGGGCATCTGATTTTTTTGGATTTTGGAATATTTGCAGGATACATAGTCAAATCTGAAGTCTGAAATGCTCTAATGAGTATTGCCTTTGAACGGCATGTTGGCACTCAATACGTTTCAGGTTTGGGAGCATTTCTAATTTCAGATTTTCAGATCTGGGATGCTCAACCAGTACCACTCCCTAACCTCAGACACAAATTTCTCATTGTTTCTGAACAACTTCACCTAGATATCTCACGGGCAGTTCAGAGCCAGTATGAATAAAGGGAACTCCTCACTGTCCCACTGTCTCCTCCCAACTCTGACGTCTTGTATCAATCTCAAATCACACCACCAGCTACCAAGTGACCCAGTCAGAAACCAACGATTCACCCTAGACTCCTCCATCTCCCATTTAATTAGGAACTACGTCGTGTCAGTTCTAGCACCTGAAATATGACTAGAGTGTGCTTCTTGCTGTCAACGTTCACCTGCCTTTCAATTCTTACCTTTAGGTTTGCAGTTGCAGTTACCCTCTCCTATTTGTTCATTCACCAAATATTTATTGAGCATCTATCACCTGCCAAGTAAAATGCTAAGTGCCAGGGTTTCTGTGAATTAAGAAACAAAACACACAATCCCTGCCCTCAAGGAGCTCACAGTCTAGTGGGGAGAGATAGATGTAAAAATAATAGTAATAATAAAGTTATCAGAGATGGAGCAAAATGAGGCAATTATCTTACTTGTCTACCTTGGAGCCAGAGTACTTTCTCAAAAGCAAACCTGATGGTACCTCGAAGTCCTTCAGCTGTTCGCAGTGTCTATGCAGTCTCAGCACTGCACGGGCTTTCACAGCGCTTCAGCTCCCTGCTTCTGTTTCTGGTTTTCACATTTGCCTCTTGTCTTCCACATGCATCCTAAGCACCAGTCCTGCCAAGCTACTTGTCGTGCCCTGGGCCCTGCCATGTCCATCCTGGGCCCACTATTCTCTAACAGATCTCTGCACCCACAGCCACCATTCAGTGACTATCTGCAGTGTGCCAGGCATTAATCCTAAGACATTGCATTTAATCCTCATGACAATCCCAGCGTATTGATGGTGAACTCATGGACAAACGAGGAAACTGAGACCAGGGAAGGCCAAGATAACCCACTCAAGTTCACAGAGCCAGAAAGCAACAGGGTCAGCATTTGAACCTAGATATGTCCAACTCTAAATCACAGCCACATCATCTTTCCTCTCTTGTCCACCTGATAAATTCCCACCCACACTTCAGGTCTCAGATCAAATGTAACCTTCTTTACAAAGCCCTTTATGAACTGCCCAGTCAAGTAATTCTTCTTGCGTCCCTGATTTTGAACCTATTACCTTGTGTTGCCATAATTTGTTTACTTGTCTGTCTCCCCCGAGGACCCATGAACAACTCTTCACGGCGATTGTGAACTACCCATCTCTAAACTCTCCATACTGAACTCTCTCCACTGGCATACAGTCAGCATTTAATAACCCTCTGGTGAATGAATGGGTTAATTAATGCTCCCTAACCTCTTTTCTCAAAGTTAAGACAAAAACTCTTGCCAGCACAGTGGCTCAAGCCTATAATCCCAGCACTGTGGGAGGCCAAGGTGGCAGAATTGCTTGAGCCCAGGAGTTCGAGACCAGCCTGGGCAACATAGTGAGACTCCATTTCTACAAAAAATAAAAAATTAGCCAAGTGTGGTGGCATGCACCTGTAGTCCCACCTGCTCAGGAGGCTGAGGCAGGAGGATCACTTGAGCCCAAAAAGTTGAGGTTGCAGTGAGCCATGATCGCACCACTGCACTCCAGTCTAGGCAATAGAGACCCTGTGAAAGAAGAAAAGAAAGAAAGAAAGAAAGGTAAGAAAAAGAAAGAAAGAAAGAAAGAAAGAAAGGAAGGAAGGAAGGAAGGAAGGAAGGAAGGAAGGAAGGAAAGGAAGGAAGGAAGGAAGGAAGGAAAGAAAGGAAAGGAAGGAAGGAAGGAAGGAAGGAAGGAAAGAAAGAAAGAGAGAGGGAGAAAGAAAGGAAGGAAACTAACTCTCAGTAACAATTCATCATCTACATATTTTAACACAGTCAGGTCAGGCTATCAGATGGCCCTAGTCTGAGGTGCAACCTTAAAAAAAAAAAGGGTAGTACTATGACAATGCAGTGGACTAATAGAACCTCAAAATCCAGACTCCAGAAGGTGAAGTCACACCTGTAAAAGCTCTACTCCAGGAACTGAAAAGAGTCTAATAGGGAATGTTGTCATAAGACTGACCACACCTCCACCAAAAGCTATTTCATTCCAGGGTAAATTAACCCAGTACATTGCGGCTAGGGGAAATTCTGGGAATAGTATCTCAGAAATAAAAAGGGAAGCCTGAGATAAGGGGGATGCATTTTTCAAGTATTTAGACATTTAAAAAGTGATATTGAAACTGTATGTAAGTTACTTACAAGCTGCTTTTATGCATTATCAGAGATTCCAGGACATTGGCCATAATATGTAAGTTCCTCTTGTACCTGGGCTTTGTACCTAGACTATACAAATAGGCTCTTTATGGAAGCATCTTGATCAGTTAAAAGTTCTTAAACTTTTTTGAGTAATAAGCCTCCTGGGGAGCTGATGAAAGCCAAGGATACTCTCCCCAGAAAAATGTACAGAGATACAAAATTCTGCCTACCAATGAAGGGGGCTCGTGGACCCTCTCCTGAAGTCCATTCAGAGCCCTGAATGGTTCACAGGCACAGACTGAAAATACCTGAAGTAAATTTCCAAAGGGTCTGGATTAGAGAAGGTTAAAAAAAAAAAAAAAAAAAAAAAGATTCACAATGCTGCTTTGAAATGACATCGGTTTCTGTTAGCCAATCAGATTCTCTCTTGGTCAAGGTCCTGAAAGTAAATGCCTCAGCCTCCTGAGTAGCTGGGACTACAGGTGCATGCCACCACCCCTGGCTAATTTTTCATTTTTTGTAGAAAATAAAAAAGGAATGATTCGTCTCTAACATCTGATGCTATACCTGCTTAGATCATGTGCAATCTGGACTAAGGGACAGCAAGGGCCTAAGTAAAATCAGGCTGTTTCTGCCTCCATATGCAAATAGAAACTAAACAGACCTTTCCAAACCAGCCACAGAATAAATCCCCAAAATCCCCAAATCATACCTTTTCCAGAGCACTTGCCACCACCATCCCCTGAGAACCAGCTGGTTGATAACAAACCACCTACAACCTCAAGAGCTAGTTCACTAGAGGCTTTGCAAGGCCCTGGTGAAGACAGACAGCAGCGTTCCCACCAGAGAGCAAACTGCTTGCAGCAGTTTGGGATCCAAACACAGTTGCAGATGCCTGCTTTCATGGTCGCCACTGCCCACTGTCAAGGTAGTACAAGCACTTTGCACCACCTCATATTCAAAGGGGCTATTCAGATGTTTGTGGAAGGAAGGAAAAGAGAGAGGAAGCGGAGACAGAGGAGAGAATGGGTCCAGGGAGACCTGTTCTCTATAGTTTGCTCTCTCTGGCTCCTTTCTAAGAAAACTGAGAATTTGACAGATCTAAACTGATTAAAACAACAGATGTGTGTAATTTTCACCTTTGTGCAGACCAGGAGATGGAAGTCCAGAGAAGTTAAGTGACTCGGATCTGATCACACAGCCTGTAGGGCTGGGAGGAGCAGAAAACCAAGTTCTATGATTCCCAGAGACATGTTCTAACCACTGTAACACATTCCTGCCGGTTCAGGCTGGCAGCAGACTTGCCGCTTGGGCCTCCTCTCTCATTCTCTCCTCCATACACAACACAGGATACCCAACCTGCTCCAGAAGTCTGAGCCTTGTCCAGTCTTCCATCTCTGAGAGAAAGGAGACCCTGCCATCTGGCCAAAAAGCAAGGCTCCCAAATGAAGGGCTGAGATATTCTCGAAGGATTACATCTCTCCCTGCACACTGGAGCTGGGGTTGGGGCTGCACAGACTCAGCCTCCTTAGATGCCCCCATCTACTCCCAATGGCTCTAACTCCTTGTCTGGAAAAATACACAGGAAAGCAAATTTCAAATTGCAAGCAGGAGCCAGGAGAGATTTGAAAGCTATCTCAGGAGCGCCCTCTAGCGTGCCCACAGAGTTTGAGCAGCGCAGCACCCAGGCCCCATTCCCTGGAGGTGCCCGGGCCCGCACTGCCATTGGGGCATCCGGCGAGCAGTGGGCGGGGCCAGCGGCAGCATCTGCCACTCACATAAAAACTCCTCTCCAATCCCAAGGCCAACGTCTGCTGCAGGATGAGAGGCAGTCTCTGCTTTTAAGACTGTCCAGCCCGCACCAACCCCACCCATTCCTTATACAACAGGGAGAAGCAAAAGAGAAGCAAACAGAAGGTGAAAAGAAAGTGTGGAGGTTGCACAAATGGAATGCAGTGCAGAGAAGAAGCAGAGGAAGAAGACAGAGAGAGAGAGAGAGAGTGAAAAAGAGGCATAACTGAAAAAGGGACAGGATAAAGAGAAACAAAAAATAGGGCAAGGCTAAAGAAAACAACGGACATATAAGTGAGTGCAGATGAAAGCTACAGATACCTCCACCCCCCACCCTGCACCCCTCATCCACCCACTCCGACTTCCAAGCACACCAAGGTGGGGCATGTGCTTTGTAGGACCTGGCACCTCCTCGCCTCTCCTGAGGTCTTGGTGCTCACAACATTTCCCTCCACTCTGACACAGCCCCTGGATGCTCACGAGTGGCGGGCTGAGGGAGAGGAGGAGAGAGAAAAGTGAACCAAAGGCAGAACTCGCCAAGCGAAGCCACTTACGCACAGTGCGGCCGGCAGCATTTCCATCCTACCTTTGCTGTCGCCATGTCAGCCGGCTCCATGATCTCTGCTTGGCCTAAGGAGCAGCGGCACCATCCAGAGAGAAAAGGCAGAGTCACAAACGTCCACCCACGGAGAACAAACCACCCCTCTGGAAGGCTGGGGAAAATAAGACACCTATTTCCACTCTCTGGCCCCCTGGGACTTCCTCAGTTTCTGGGTAAGAGGTCAGAGTCTGGAGGTCCACAGCAAGCAGGGGGGCCCTGTCTCCTGTCTGTGTTCCACAGACTCCCAGGAGGCTGAGTCAGGGGGCACCTCCCCTGGCCTGGTACTTCTTCCCAGGAGCGAAGTGTGGGTCTTCCCAGGCTCCCCCTGTTGAGAGGGAGAGGGCACAAAGACGGAGGCCTGCCCTCCCATCACCCCGCCAACTGGTACCCACAGGTCAGGATGAGGGGGGCATGTGGGAAGAGGCCAGCTGGCAGGTAATGAGCAAGAGCCGGGGGGAGCAGGAAGGGAGAAGGTCAGCAGCTGGTGGCGGGCAGGCGGGTGTGAGAACCTCAAGAAGGTGCAGGCACTCAGCTGGAAGCAGAAAGGTGCTGTGCAAGGAAGTGCCGGAGCCACAAAGCCGGAGCCTGGCACGGCAAGGTGGAGAATGCAAAAGGAGAGAAATTCGCCCGGTGAAGCCACTCACCTTGCAATAACATTCAGACTGACTGAGGCCTACACAGGAGCCAGGAGCGGGCGGTTCACACCCCCCCACTCCACTCCCAGAGACTCACAGCCTCTGTCTAAAGGTACATGAGAGCAGCCGGCAGCCTGGCTGGATCTGCAGAGGCCCCTGGCTCTCTCCGAGCAGTCTGATTGGAGGAGCAGGATGACTTCATCCAGCCCCATTCATCACTCTAGGTTTCCTGCCCAGCAGGGACAGGCCGCTCGCTTGCAGTGACTACAGCTTCCTCTCTGGCCCACTTTACTCGGTCAACCTGGGATAAGCTGCATCCATCAGGGGAACCCTGAGGAAGGGGATCAGAGTATCCCAGCCCTGTTGGGAAGAGAGGAACAGGCTGCTCACATTCCCAAGACAGTGCAAGGATTCTACTTAAAACACAGTACATATATTCACTGTGTGTGTTTGCGGTGCCAGAGCTGGCATCCATACAACAGAGCAAGGCTTCTAGAAACTGGTGAGGAAACGGGGTGTACGCTCTGGTGAACCACTGACCTGCTTGACAAAAACATGAAAATAAGCCCATCCAAATATTTAAAGATATTTCTCCCAATCAGAAAGAATAATCTATGGAAAAACACCCATGTCCTTCCTGAGGCATCTCCAAGTACCTCCCTCCTATCATTTTCCCCCAACAGCTCCCCTATAGCAGCCCCTGAAACATGCTAACCTATCTTCTGTTAGGGACGTCGGTTCCTTCATGCTTGTGATCTCACATCTACAAAAGGCTACAAGTGAGTAGGACCTTACAGCTTCAGCTCCCATTTTGCAGATGAGGAAACTAAGGCCCAGATAAAAAGCCAAAGGGTCAAAACAAGGATGTCAGTCTCCCAGTGTTCATTTCCATGTAGACTTTACCCTCAGAAATGGTGAGATCCTCAGAGAAAACTGACCCCTCCTTATTTACTCCTTCCTTTCCTCCCCCACACCTACTCCCAATCCAGCCCCAAGACCACAGAAAAAAAACAACAAAGCAAGTGTTAGATAAAGTAAAACATAATTTAAAAAAGAAGGCACGGCCAGGCACGGTGGCTCACACCTGTAATCCCAGCACTTTGGGAGGCTGTGGTAGACAGATCACCTGATGTCTGGAGTTGGAGACCAGCCTGGCCAACATAATAAAACTCCGTCTCTACTAAAAATACAAAATTAGCCAGTCATGGTGGTACACGCCTGTAGTCCCAGCTACTTGGGAGGCTGAGGCAGGAGAATCACTTGAACCAAGTAGGCAGAGGTTGCTATGAGCCAAGACCATGCCATTGCACTCCAGCCTGGGCAACAAGAGCAAAACTCTGCCAAAAAAAAAAAGAAGGCAATGATTGTGTGATCATTTATTACCTTGCTTCTGTTCAAGTCTGACTTTATAACCAAGCAACTCAATCAGGTAGATCAATACAGACTAGGAAAGAGTTTCCCAAAAAACTGATGACACTGACAACACAGTGCTCACGGGTCTGGCTTAACTACAGGAACAATAATTGTGACAACTCTCATTTGTACAGTGCTCCATAATTTACAATGCATTTCTATTATAGTTTGAGTGTCCAAACTCATGTTGAAATTTAATGGTCACTGTAACAGTATAGTATTAAGAGGTGGAACCTTTAACAGGTAATTAGGTCATGAGAGTGGCCCTCATGGATGGTTTGATACACTTATCCTGAAAATAAGTTAGTTATCATAAGAGTGGGCTCCCAATAAAAGGATGAGATCAACCGATTTTCTTCCTGTCTAAGGCACTCTCTTGCCCTTCTGCCACAGGGTAACTCAGCACAAGGCCTTCTCCAGATGCTGGTGTTATGCTTTTGGACTCCGCAGCCTCCAAAACCATGAGCTAAATAAACTTCAGTTCTTTATCAATTACTCAGCCTGTGGTGTTCTGTTATAGCCGCAGAAAATATACTAAGATCGTTTCCAAATCCATTACCCTCCATGGATACTGAGAGCCCTGTGAGATCAACACTGTTTCCCCCATGTTAAAGATAACTAAACTGAGATTCAGAGACTTTAAGCAACTCATCCAAGGTCACACAGTCAGTAGAGCAGAACTGAGACTCAACCCCATATTCACTAAGTGCAAATTCCTTTCCACTAAACATCATAATACCAAATTTCCAACCTCTTAACATTTTCCTCCTCAATCTGCACCCAAGTCCTGCTCCCTATTACTATAGTTTGGTAGAGAATATAAAACCTCAATTGGACACTTCCCTTTGAGGCCTTTTTTTAAACTGAAGATGGCAAATTATAAAAAATGCATTATTAAACATTAAGGAAAAAATCTTGGGACTATTCAGAGATTGGTATATACATTTAAACCAATCTCCTATGTCCTATGTACAGTGAAAATTGCTTTTAGATAAAAAGTATTTAAATGAATTTACTCATGTTCACCTTATTTTAATTTAACTACTCTGATTCAAATTGAGGTAAGGGGGAAGGATGTATATCCTGATACAGGCACACATCCTGTTAGAGGAACGTGTTTTTTTTCCAGCCACAATAAACAATTCAACACTTCTCCCATTCCTATTCCATCCCACACTAATAAAAAAGGTTGAGGATGAGAGTAGTGGAATTTAGGCTAATAGATGGTTTTCTTTAGCCTATTGCCTGGTTTCTATAAGCCCTAGACTATGGTCTTGAATACAATAAACTTGAAAAGCCATGAGGCTTTGCTAGCACTGCAGTAGAGTAATCAATCATACCCCCACCACAAACCAAAGGTGTGGGGGCCAAGCCAATCTACACGTCATCTTCTCTGCTCAGAGGCCTGTAATGTTTCTTCTGGCTCTTGCTGTGGCCTGCCATCCTCTTTATTCCTGGGCTGATAGTCAAATGTACAAACACATGGAGAGCAGAAGGCTAGTATCCATGGAGAAGGATGTTCTATTACATCAAAGTCACACAGAAATCAGATCCATGTTAATGGGGGTCCACCCAGTCTCCTGAATGACCAAAAACATCTACCGACTCAGTTTTTAAAGAACTGTGACACAGCCCTGGTGAACATGTGCAGAAGGCTTCAGAAGCACCATATGTGTATTACACAGAGATTCATATGTCTGAACTCAAAGCAGGAGGGAGAGTGCTGTTAACTGCAGAGTAGACAACCTAGAAGTTGGGGCTGGGCAGGAGGCAGGGAACAGTGGGGCTGGGCAGGAGGCTTTAATGAGAGTGGGGAGAAGTCCCAGAGTCAAAGAAAACTCCAGAAAAGAGAATGAAAGAGAAAACAGGGTGGGAGAGAGGGGGAGGGGTACTAATTCAGGTTGTCTAAATAAAACCCATTGAATCCCTACCTCTGCTGCTACTAACCAGAAAGGACTTGATCTAAATAATTCTTCATAAGATAAATAGTTTCTCTATTGTATGTATTTGCTTTTTGCTTTTTGAACTAGAGACCAGAGAAGCTCCCTCTTCTGCAACTTAGGCTCATTTCATTTTGCCTAATATTTAAGGAAATACAGAAAGAAATGCCTCTTTATAATATCATTCTCTCTCTAGGGCAATTATCTCTACTAATTGCTTTACCCTGGGTATTACTTTCTAACTCCTTAATCACTGTACTTATACACTAAGTTAAAGAGAGACAGAAAAAAAAAAACAAAAAACATGCTTTTGAAAAGAGGCTGGAGTGAGTTCTGGCAGGGGCGTGGGTGAAGGGGTTGCAGGAAGCACAAGCACCAAGTTCCCTAAGGACAGCTCCGAGGCTGGACACTGCACTTGCTTCTTTAGGAAGAGCCTCCATGGCAGCTGCCTCTTGGGAGGTGGGGCTGCAAGGAAACTGAGTGAGGCTGTTTCAAACCCTGGTCACATCAACCTCCCCCGCTGCACTCTGGGACATGTAGTACTGAGTGAGGGGCAGTGCTGCGCCCATGTTTGCATTGCTTACAGAGTGTGTGGCTTGATCTCTCTGCCTGTCCTAAGCCTATAAATACAGATCAGATGCTTTTGCCAAAGAGGTGAAATCCCTTCTCTCCAGAGTCTGGGTGCTGATTGTAAACTGAAAAGATGGTGATGAAACAGAAAGAGATTCACAGAACTACAAGGGACTTGAAATAAGGAAGACCTTGAGAGGTCACTAGATGTAGACGCTCCCTGTATATGTAGATGACAGGTTCTCTAAAGAGGAGAAGAGAGGGAGAGAAAGAAAGAAGAAGGAAGAAAGAGAGAGAGAGTGAAAGAGAAAGAGGGCAGTGTGTCTGTGTTCCCATAAGGATGTGTATCTGCTTCAGTGCCTTTTCTTTTGCTTGTTAACCATCAACTTCTAGAGGCAGCTGAGCGTGAGGAAGAGTTTCAGCTTGAATTCTGACTCGACCACTCAGCCACCATCTGTGAATCTTGAGCAAGTTACTTAGCCCTGTGTGCCCCATTTCCTCATCTATAAGACAGGGATAATAATATTATTCAAGTCATAGGCTGTTACAAAGATTAACTGAGATAACATATGTAAAGGGATTAGAGTTGTGTCTGGCACATAATAAATATTACCTAAGAGTTAGGTGTTTGTTTTTCATTCAGTGGTTTACCACCTGTCTTCCCCTAATCCATGTGACCTCTTACCCCAGAGCAGGAAATTTTATGTCCCCCACAGAATTGATGATTGTAGAGGTAGAGTGGACAGCAGTCAAACCCACCTGCTGTTTTAGGTGAACAAAGACATCAAAACAAGCTGAGCATGATGGCTCGCGTCTATAATCCCAGCACTTGGGGAGGCTAAGGGGGAAGAGTCACTTGAGGCCAGGAGTTCAGGACCAGCCCGGAAAACAGAGTGAGAGACTCCCATCTCTTAAAAAAAAATTAATATATTTTTTAAAGACATTGAAAGAGAGAGGTGAGACAGTCACTAAAATAAGGAAAATATAGAAAAAGAGGAATAAGGAAATACAACAGGAGATACTTGCCGAACAGGGTGTCCGACATTAAGAGGGGCTTTGGGGAGAGTGGTAGAAAAATGTCATCAAAAACAGTAAGAGTCTACATGGAAATAAAGAAAAGTCATAAAGAAAATTAGAGAACTGGTTGGGCATGGTGGCTCAAGCCTGTAATTCTAGCACTTTGGGAGGCCAAGGCTGGAGGATCACTTGAGATCAGGAGTTTGAGACCAGCCTGGCCAACATGGTGAAACCCCATCTCTACTAAAAATACAAAAATTAGCTGGGCCTGGTGGTGCACGCCTGTGATTCCAGCTACTTGGGAGGCTGAGGTATGAGAATCGCTTGAACCTGGTAGGCGGAGGTTGCAGTGAGCCGGGATTGCACCATGGCACTCCAGGTTGAGCAACAGAGCCAGATCTTGTCTCAAAAAAGAAAAAAAGAAAATCAGAGAAACTGATCTGGTTGGAAGTGGGAGGAGAGAGGTGAAACAGAGAGGAGCTGTGGATGGAGAGAAGCTGCCTGGCACAAGAAAAACTAGCACAGCGGGAGTCACTGCTGCAAAGGTCAAGTCTGAATTGGTCTTGCCAATCTGCACTGCTCTCTGGGGAAGTCAGGTTGTTGTATAAAGGCTTGAAGCGGAAGTTTCTGAAGCAGTCAAGATAAGGAGGGAGGAACACAGGTGGTGAGAATTGAAGATCAGCTTCTAGGAGAAAAGGAAATAGCTAAGCCTTCGGGGTCAGTCATCTCTAGTACTGCACACTCAGCTATGAGGGAGATATCAGGAGAAGAGAGAAAGGACTCTCTGAATACAAGTCCTTGCGGGCTGGACAAAGTGGAAGCTGTCAGCCTCCCATGGCGTCTTGCTTAGGGGAGCTCGTACCTTGTGCAAGACTGAGGGCCTTGGCGGGGACCAGTGCTGTTCTATGCCTGAATTCCTCAGGGAAAAACATGATAGGCCAAGGGAAATCCACCTCCCTTAGCTGCTAGCAATTCCTGAGACCGCCCCCGCAACAAGCAACAGAAACATGAGTGACATTACCTCGACCTCAGCCTCTAGAACTGGACAGGATAGTGCAGCACAGTGATTGAAGTCTACAGTCAAATTTCCCAGTTCAAACTCTAGCACATTATTTAATAGCTTCATGACATTATATAAGTTATGAAACTTCTCTAAGCTTCAGTTTTCTTGTCTATAAAATGGAGGTCATAATAATACTATTTCATAGAAAAATGGTAAGATTTAAGTGAAAACGCAGTAACTAAAAAATGGTAAAATTTGGCTGGGGGTGGTGGCTAACATCTATAATCCCAGCACTTTGGGAGGCCAAGGAGGGCAGATCACCTGAGGTCAGGAGTTTGAGACCAGTCTGACCAACATGGTGAAACCTTGTCTTTACTAAAAAATACAAAATTAGCCAGGTGTGGTGGCGCATGCCTGTCCTCCCAGCTACTTGGAAGGCTGAGGCAGGAGCATGCCTTGAACCCGGGAGGCAGAGGTTGCAGTGAGCCAAGATTGCACCATTGCACACCAGGCTGGGTGACAGAGTGAAACTCCATCACAAAAAAAAAAAAGGTGAAATTTAAATGAAAATGCAGTAACTGACACATAATAGGCACATTCAATCAACGTTAACTAAAATAATCTTGTCTTTATAATTACTATCTTAGGGGTATGGGTGGGGGGTTAAGAACAATGGGGACTCCATGAGTTCCCTCAGTCCTCCAAGCCGTCTGCACTTGGTGCCAATGCAAAGCTAGCTCTGGTCTGGTTATGCAGCTCCTTCCCTTACCTACCATCTCCAGGCACAATCGCACCACTTCCAGTCAGCAGCTGGTCCCTTGCACTGTGCTTTCAGATGACAAAGTTGTTCAAGTGCTTCAAAAATGGAAAAGATCATGACTGCATAAGGCTGCCACGCCCTGCCCTGGGAGCTCACTCCTATGCCTGTACCCTTGTTCACAAATGTCCTATTGCCAGGCTGCAGAGGACTTCACAGCCTATCACACCAAGGTTCGGAATGACAGTACAAACAATCCCTGACTTCTGATGGGCCATCCTTCGCATTTTGAATTTTGATCTCTTCTCAGGTTAGCGATATGCTTTATAATACTTTCTCACCATGATGGGAAGTGGCAGAAAGTCACAGCTCCCAGTCAGCCACGGGATCACATGAGCAAACAACCAATACTCTACAGTCAACTGTACTGCCAGATGATTTTGCCCAACTATAGGCTAATGTAAGCATTCTGAGTATGTTTAAGATAGGCCAGGCTAAACTATGATATTAAGTAGGTGAGGTATATTAAGTGCATTTTCTTTTTCTTTCTTTCTTTTTTTTTTTTTTTTTTTGAGATGGAGTCTCGCTCTGCCACCCAGGCTGGAGTGCAATGGCACTATCTCAGCTCACTGCAACCTCCGCCTCCCGGGTTCAAGCAATTCTCGTGCCTCAGCCTCCCGATTAGCTGGGATTACAGGCACGCACTTCCACATCTGGCTAATTTTTGTATTTTTAGTAGAGACGGAGTTTCACCAAGTTGCCCAGGCTGGTCTTGAACTCCTGACCTCAGGTGATCCACCTGCCCCAGCTTCCCAAAGTGCTGGGATTACAGGCATGTGCCACAGTATTTTCAATTTATGATGGGTTTACCAGGAAGTAACCGTAGTTCAGGAGCATCTGTATAAGAGAAGCCACCGGATTAATGGGCAAGGGGTCAGCAGGGAAGGGAGAGGGGGCTAGGTCCAGTAATATTGCCTGGCCTTTTTATGGTACACTGTAAATGGGACATGCACGTTTGCATCATTCTACTAAAACACTCTTTTAGACTGGGGAGGCCAGTGATGAAAGAAGAGTTAGGATGGGAGAAGGAAGGATTGTCCGAATGCCTGGACATCACTGCATGCAGGCCACTGGGAGACCCTCTAGTGACTCATGCTGAAGCCAAGAGAAAAACAGGATGAGGTGCAAACAGACTATGCTCACAGATCCCTAGCAGCCTATGCTTATGGATCCCTGGCAGTCCAGTAAGCAGCAGCAGCCTCAGGGACTCCTGTTGAAGGAGAATGGTTTACTGGGGATGCTGGTGAGCCCAGGAGAGAAAGGGAAGAAAGGTAAAGGACTTCTGTAGCTCATGCAAATACCTATGGGGCTTCACTTAGTACCTGCAGAAAGGTAAGACAACAGCTCTGTTTCACTGCTTGGGCATGAGAGTGAAACTAAAGAAAGCATCAGAAAGATGTTGTCAAACAAAAAGATGTACTGGAACTTTCCCACATATAACTTGCCAATTAAAATTTTAAGGCACTTCTCAAAATCAGTAAGACACAAGAAACATGCTCAAAAATGATAGTTAAGAAAAAATCCTATTTGGCCGAAAGGCATCTTTAACTAGATCATTCAGAAGCATTGGGGTCTCTATTCTCTCTTGGTCAATTGTTTTTCTTGTTCTGTCTGGTTTTGAAGCTTGCCAAGGGATGGCCATTAATAGACTTGCTCACACACCTCCACCTCTGGAGCTCCAATTCCAGCAAGTTAGAAAAAAAGATCCATGAGATTCAAGAAAAAGCAGGTTCTGCACAGGGTCCCCAGTGCCTTGATAATCATGTTTCTTTGCTGGAGGAGAAGTAAGAGTATTGCAAGTAAGAACTTGGGCTCCAGGCTGGCGCAGTGGCTCACACCTGTAATCCCAGCTCTTTGGGAGGCCTAGGCAGGGGGATCACTTGAGGCCAGGAATTCAAGACCAGCCTGGCCAACATGATGAGACCGCATCTCTAGTAAAAATTAAAAAATTAGCGTGGCATGGTGGCACGTGCCTGTGGTCCCAGCCACTCAGGTGGCTGAGGCATGAGAATCACTTGAACCCAGGAGGTAAAGGTTGCAGTGAGCCGAGATCGTGCCACTGTACTCCAGACTGGGTGATAAAGCGAGACTCTGTCTCAAAAAATAAAAATAAAATAAAAATAAACAAACAAAAAAGAACTTGAGCTCTGGAGTTAAATCCTACCTATGCTACCAACAAGCTTGACAGTGGACAATCTAAGCCTCATCTAGAAGATGAGTATAATAGTAATTTCCCTTTTAGAGTTGTATAATAAGATAGCACAGGAAAAGCACAGTGTTAAGCACGCAATATGCCCTCAAAATGGCATCTATTGCCAGGCATGGTGGCTCACGACTGTAATCCCAGCACTTTGGGAGGCCAAGGTGGGTGGATCACTTGAGGCCAGGAGTTTGAGATCAGCCTGGCCAACATGGTGAAACCTTGTCTCTACAAAAAATACAAAAATTAGCCAGGAGTGGTGGTGTGTGCCTGTAATCCCAGCTACTTGGGAGGCTGAGGCGGGAGAATCACTTGAACCCTGGGAGACAGAGGTTGCAGTAAGCCGCGATCGCGCCACTGCACTCCAGCCTGGGTGACAAAAGAGACTCTGTCAAAAAAAAAATAAAAAGGTTTCAAGGTAGCTATTATTATTTTAATAATAATACCATTATTATTACCTTAGAACATAAACATTGCTCCTCCACAAAGTACACAGACACTCTGCATTTTCTTGGATTTACTGGTCACATTTGTAGACTGGTGAAAGCTTCCTATAGTTATCAATTTCTTCATTTAAAAAGACTCCAATTAATTTTAGCAAATTTCCCATTGTGGAAGTGAATAACATACAAGCATATAACCATTTGCTATAGGTACTGAAGAAGAAATGTATGGATTAGGAGAGTGTAGCGCACTGGACCTCTTGAGTCTCTGCTTAAGGGTCACATCTGTTGGTATTTATTTAGTTAATTATTTATTTTGAGAGAGATGGAGTCTTGCTCTGTCACCTAAGGCTGGACTGCAGTGGTATGATCCTGGCTTACTGCAGCCTCTGCCTCCTGGGTTCAAGCGATTCTCCTGCCTCAGCCTCCCAAGTAGCTGGGACTACAGGCATGCACAACCACGCCCAGCTAATTTTTGTATTTTTAGTAGAGACGGGGTTTCACCACGTTGGCCAGGCTAGTCTCGAACCTCAAGTGATCTGCCTGCCTCGGCCTCCCAAAGTGCTGGGATTACAGGCGTGAGCCACTGCGTCCGGCCAAAATACCCTTATTTACAAGGATAACTCTCAGCCAGTTGAACCTATCCATCATTTAAGATGCCCAGAAGAAGGAAACACAGACAATAGATCTGTTTCATTTCTACAGGGAAAAAAGATGAGTGGGAGAAATTGCTCCCCTTGTGGATCCCACAGCAAGCGTGTAGTGGAGTTTCAAAAGTCAACCAAACAAAGAGTTTCAAAATTCCAACTCTAAATTCAATTGACTAATTCGTCCATCATGCTGACATAAAAGACACAAGAGAGCTTTTGTGTGGGGAAGTAGGGGGTGCACGCAAACAACCTCTACTCCCACAGCCCATCTCCCCACCCCACCACCATTTGAATCAGGGTCAAAATGGGTTTCTCCACATCTCAGTGGAAGAGCTTCACCTTCAGACTAAGGAGAAATGGCAAAGAAAAAGAAAGGGAGCCAGCATTTAATTGCTTACATGCCTGAGGATAAGAAAAGAGGCACTGAGTAACCTGGAAAGTTGGTGACAGATAAGATGGAATAAGTAACTTAATTACGTACCCCTCCACCCACCTTTCTCCTTGCCACCGAATGGTGATTCTTGGACTATGCAGAAGACAGGTAAGGGACACAGAAGTTGTGTCCCTGGGTATTTTAGTCCTTTTTTCTGTTGCGATAACAGAATACCACAGACTGGTTAATTTATAAAGAAAAGAAATTTATTTCGTATAGTTCTGGAGGTTGGGAAGTTCTCAAGACAAAGGAGCCACATCTGGTGAGGGACTTCTTCCTGTGTTATAACATGCAGAAGGTATCACATGGCAAGAGGGCAAGGCCATGTCTCTCTCCCTCTTCTTTTAAAGCCACCAGTTCCATCATGGGGGCTCCACCCTGATGACCTAATCTAATCCTAATTACCTCCCAGAGGCCTTGCCTTTTAATACTGTTACAATGGGGATTGAGTTTCCAACACATAAATTTTGGGGTCACAACCAAACCATACCACCAAGCTACGTATCAAAAGGCCCTTCCATGTCCCAGCCCTATTAAATTGTGTGCCGGATATTAGCTAGAGTAGGATCACAGGAGGCATCAGGGCTCAGGGCATGTTTCTCTTTATTTTGCACTTTTATTTACATTTTCTTTATCAGCACTGCTTTTCGAGAAAGAGCATATTTCTCAAAGCATGGTCCAAGACCACCTGCATCAGAATCACTTGGGATATATGTTAACTGCAAATTCCTAGGCCTTTCCCAGTCCATAGCACTCAGAATCTAAGAATAGGGCCTACGAATCTGCATATTAAATAAGCTTTGCTTGTGACTCTGAACCACGTTAAAAGGCTGAAAACCACTGCTTCAGAACCATGTCTAACCAGCGGGACACTCATAATCAAGGAGACATGAACACTTACCCATGGCCATGGAGGAATAAAATATTAGATAGGACACAGCAAGATGGCTGAATAGAAGCCTACACCATTCATTGCCCCTATAAGAACAACAAATTTTAAACTACCTACACACAAAAAGGGCCATTGCAAGAAACAATGTTGGGTGAGCAATTACCGTAACTGGTTTTAATTTCATATAACTGAAAGAGACATTGAAGAGGGCAGGAAAGAAAGTCTTGAATCACCAGCGCCTCCCCTCCGTTATTCTCCAGCAGTGGATGTGCAGCATGAAGAATCTGTACACTTGGGAGAGGGAGAGCGCAGCAATTGTGAGGCTTTGCATTGAACCCAGCTGTGGTGGCTACAGTAAAAGGCTCCTTCAGTTTGAGAAAAGCAGGGGGAAAAGTAAAGGGCACTCTGTCTTGAACCTTAAGTACAAGCTTGACCACAGTGAGGAAGAGCGCCAAGCAGGCTCTTGGGGTCCCCAGGTCCAGTTCAAGGCTCGTGGTCAGCATTTCTGGACCTGCTCTGGACCAGAGGGGAGCTCACTGCCCTGAAGGGTGGGTCCCAGGCCTGGCAGCATTCATCACAAGCGGAATGAAAAGTCTTTGGACTTTAAGTGAACATCAGCAGTGGCCTGGCAAAACCCCCTGTTGGCCGGTGGTGGTGGCCACAGGGAGAGGCTCCTCTGGCCGGGAAGGGGGAGGGAAGAGTGGGAAGAACTTTTTCTTGTGGTTTATATGCCAGCTTAGCTTACCATTTTTTTTTTTTTTTTTTTTTGAGACAGATTCTAGCTTTACCGCCCAGGCTGGGGAGTGGTGGCGAAATCTTGGCTCACTGCAACCTCTGCCTCCCGGGTTCAAGCGATTCTCCTGCCTCAGCCTCCTGAGTAGCTGGGATTACAGGCACCCACCACCATGCCCTGCTAATTTTTGTATTTTTAGTAGAGACGGGGTTTCACTGTGTTGGCCAGGCTGGTCTCAAATTCCTGACCTCATGATCCGCCTGCCTCAGCCTCCCAAAGTGCTGGGATTACAGGCGTGAGCCACAGCACCTGGCTGCCAGCTTAGCTGCAGTAGAATAGAACACCAGGTAAATTTCTAAGGTTTTTTACTTCAATCCCTGGCTCTAAGACAGCATCTCTGGACTCATCTGGGGCCTAGGGGAACTTGCTGCCCTGAAGGGAGGGCCATAAACCTGGCTGGCTTTGTCACCAGCTGATTGTAGAGCCCTAGGATCTTGAGTGAACTTACATGGTAGCCAGGTCATGGTTACAGCAGGCTTTGAGTGAGACTCAATAGTGTGCTGGCCTCAGGTCTGAACCAGTGCAGTCCCCATGGTGGTGGCGACAGGGGTGCTTCTGTTTCCCTACTCTCAGTTCCAGGAGGCTAACCACAGTGAGAAACTGCATTTGTTTGGGAGAAAGTAAGGGAAGAGAACAAGAGTCTCTGCATGGCAATCAAGAGAATTCTTCTTGATGTTCTCCAAGACCACCAAAGTGGCACCTCCATGAGTAGACAAGAACCACAACATTATTTGGTTTGGGGGCCAAATGCCTTCAAATACCTGAAAAGCCTTCACAAAAAGAATAAGCACAAACAAGCCAAGACTGTGAAGACTACAATAAATGCCTAACTCTTCAATGCACAGACACCAAAGAACATCTACAAGCATCAACACCACATCTAGGAAAACATGACCTCGTCAAACAAACTAAATAAGGCACCAAGGACCAGTCCTGGAGAAACAGAGATATGTGACTTTTCAGACGGAGAATTCAAAATAGCTGTTTTGAAGAAATTCAGAAATTTAACATAGCACAGAGAAGGAATTCAGAATTCTATGAGATAAATTTAACAAAGAGATTGAAATTATTAAAATGAATTAAGCAGAAATTCTAGAGGTGGAAAATGCAACTAGCATGCTGAAGAATGCATCAGACTCTCTTAATAGCAGAACTGGTCAAGCAGAAGGAAGAATTGGTGAACTAGAAGACAGACTATATGAAATATGAAAATACAGTTAGAGGCGACAAAAGAATAAAAAACAATGAAGCATGCCTACGAGATCTAGAAAACAGCCTCAAAAGGGTAAATCTAAGAGTTATTGGCCTTACAGAAAGAGATAGGGGTAGAAAGCTTATTCAAAGGGATGATATCAGAACTTCTCAAACCTAGAGAAAGATATCAATATTGAAGTACAAGAAGGTTATAGAGCACCAAGCAGAGTTAACCCAAAGAAGACTAGCTTAGGCATTTAGTAGTCAAATTCCCAAAGGCCAAGGATTTTAAAAAAGGATCCTAAAAGCAGCGAGAGAAAAGAAACAACATACAATTGAACTCCAATACATCTGGCAGCAAACTTCTCAGTGCAAACCTGACAAGCTAGGAAAAAGTGGCATGACATATTTAAAGTGCCGAAGGAAAAAAAAAACCTTTTACCCTAGAATAGTACATCTGGTGAAAGTAACCTTTAAGCACAAGGGAGAAATAAAGACCTTCCCAGACAAACAAAAGCTGAGGGATTTCATCAACTCCAGACCTGTCCTATAAGAAATGCTGAAGGGAGTTCTTTAATCTGAAAGAAAAGGATGTTAATGAGCAAAAAGAAATCATCTAAAGGTAGAAAACTCACATGTAATAGTACACAGAAAAACACAGAATATTATATCACTGTAATTGTGTTGTATAATGTACTCTTATCTTCCATAGAAAGACTAAATGATGAACCAATCAAAAATAATATCTATGGCAACTTTTCAAGACGCAGAAAGTACAATAAGACATAAAGAACAACAGAAAGCTAAAAAGCAAAATTAAAGTGTAGAGTTTTTATTTGTTTTTGTTTGTTAGTTTGTTTATGCAATCAGTGTTAAGCTGTCATCAGTTTAAAATAATGGGTTATAAGATAGTATTTGCAAGCCTCATAGTGACCTCAAATCAAAAAAACACACAACCGATGCACAAAAAATAAAAAACAAGAAAAGACAAAAAAAAAAAAAAGAAGAAGAAAGACAAACTTCGCATGGTTTCACTTATTTGGGGGAACTAAAAAGCAAAACAATTGAACTCATGGAGAAAGAGAGTAGAAGAATGGTTACCAGAGGCTGAGAAGGGTAGTGGAAAAGTGGGGGGAAGTGGGGCTGATCAATGGGTACAGAAAAAATAGAAAAAATGCGACCTAGTATTTGATAGCACAACAGGGTGATTATAGTCAATAATCATTGTACATTTTAAAATAACTAAAAGAGTATAACTGAATTGTTTGTAACACAAAGAATACATGCTTGAGGGGATGGACACCCTATCTTCCATGCTGTGACTATTACATCCCTGTATTAAAGTGTCTCATGTAACCCATAAACATATACACCTACTATGTATCCATGGAATTTTTTTAATTTTTTAAAAAGCATATTAGGGCTTGTATTTATATTTATGTTTATTCCATCTTATTAAAATTTGTTTCATTATATTACAGTATACATAAAATATTTAGTACAGAAGTACACACATAATTTATGTGTGTGTGTATGTGTGTCTGTGTGTGTGTGTGTGTGTGTGTGTATGTATATATACATATGGTATGTGCTCAAACAATTTTAGTGATAGGTGTTTGAATCCAAGCCGGAGCATCAACTTCTGGTACAATGACTTCCTCAATACCTAGAAGAGCAAGTTAGGAGTAGTAAAGAGCTCTCCCGAGCTTACATGATTAATCAGTGAGTGATTGAAAAGAGAACCCAGCAGTTTATCCCCTGACTTCATCTCAACCCTGGAGTACAAGGGAGGCAAAGAATGCAGCAGAGAGCAGGACAAGCCTAAGATCGGACTCTCTGTTTTGAGCCCCCGAGTTGCCACCCACTCACATTCCTTCTTCGCTGAGGCTGGTAGGAGGATGGAATTTCTCCCAGCAGGAAGTAGGGAAGCTGGGGAATAAAAATTACCATCCATCCTGCCAGTTGTCCAAATCTAAATCCCAACTATGGCATCAGCAAAGATAAGAGGAGTTTGCTGAGCTATAATTAACAACCCCCCTTTCTCAGGCACAAAGAAGAAGGGCTAGAGTAGGAGAAACAGAGCAGGTGATGGTTACACCTGCAGACAGTTCTGCTGACAGCCACAGAAGCAGCCAGGACTGCTAAAGAGGAGCTCTAAGCTGGGAACTTGGGGAAGCAGGAGCAAGACAGGAGCACTCACTTGCTTCTTTGCCCTGCCCTCAAAAGTCAGAGCTTAGCTCAGACCTAAAAAAAAAAAAAAAAGGCCTTAAGTGCTGTCTTCCACAAGACCATGTGACCCCCTAAGCATATGTGCAGGTGGATCAGAGAAAGGGGAACATGTGAGAGGTGGTCACAGATCAAAACATTTCCATGAGCATGAAAAGTTTAAAAAGGTTAATAGATGTGTAAAGGTCAGTCTTTGCCCTCCATTTGGGCTACAGTCACGAAATTCCATGATCCTAGAATGTCAGCATTAACAAAAAGTCGTATATGGTTATTCATTGGTTCATTTACTCATTTAGTAAGTAGTTAAGTATGATTATGTGCCAGGCACTGTGCTAAGTGTTGCGGACACAATAAAACAAAGATGGTCCCTGCTCTCATGCAATTTAGGGACTAGTTGGGGAGACAGACAATGATCAAGTCAACAAATAAATACAATTATAATGTGATTAATGCTAAAATGGAAAATAAGCCATTTATTTTGATGCAAGTGAGGGAGAGAAACCCTACTGGGACAAAGGGGTAAGAGGCAGCCTCTCTGAGATGTGACAGCTCCCAGGTGAGGAATCTGAGCTGAGAGCAGTTCGAGTGATGAGTCACTAACAGGGAGGAAGAACTCAGGTCTTCCTCTCCACCAACAGCACCACTATTAACAACATTGTTCCTGGGATCTGAACAATAGGAACATCTGGGGCCTCTACTGAAGCTGTTTACAAAGGGACACTTCCACTGCAGAATTTAATCAAAGTGAGCCTCTTCTGAGATGGGACCCTCTTCCTAATCAGCTGGAACAAGCTGAACACCTTCTGGGCCCACGTTCCACATGGAGTTCGAGTGGGCTGCCTGCGGGTAGGTCTGGAAGCCCGTCCACACAACTGCCACTCTGGGCTTTTCACCCCACCCTCAAGGCAGCTGTCTCTCACCAGGACAGTGAGGACCAGAGTTTATATAACTGGCTTCCCCTGGCAACTGGGAAGTCAAACATTACTTCTCATGGATTCATGTGTGGCTTCCCTTAATAAGTTTGCAAACCTCCTGCTCAAAACTCACTCTCCACACCCCTTGCAGGCTAAGCCCAGGCCTACTATTTGCTGACAGTGACACAAGCTGCCACTTACTGTGTGCTACGTCCAGACACAGTGCTAAGTGCCTTTCTTATTTTATCTCAGTTCAATCCCCACAAGCTCCATAAAGTAAGTACAATTATCTTCATTTTTCAGAAAGGAAACATTCAGAGAGGATGAAATGTTTTTGCAAAAGCACCACAGCCAGGATGTGGCAGAGCTGGAATTTAAACTAAGGTATTTTGGTCTCCAAAACCTGAGTTCCCCGCAGCCATTACTGAATCTTGTCCTTGCACCACATCACAGGATCAGAGACTTCCTTATTCTACCATTATCTGTTGAGAACCTACTGTGTGCAAGGCACAGCGCTGAATATCGGTACCAGAGAAGTCATCTAATCAGAGAGGGACACAGTCTTTGCTCACCAGCCCCAAAACTTTAGCCATGAGAAACCCTTGTCAATAGACAGCTAAACAATCACAGGCATCTATGCCTATGCGTGTGTGTGTGTGTGTGTGTGTGTGTGTGTATGTGTGAAAGAGAGAGACAGAGAGAGAGAGAGGATTGAGGTTAAGCCACCTACTGCCTCTAGCCTCTCCCTACCTCTGAAATCCATTTGGCCCCTCTTTCTGCCTTTCTCCTTCCTTTTCTCTCCTCACTTCATTCATTCCATCTTTCTCAGTGATGTTTCTCTTTACGCCAAAACAAAAGCAAAAACACACAAACCTGCCCATAAGTTTACATGATCCTCTCTCTTGAATGCCTGTCAGCCTTCAAATTTAATTCTAACCTTAGGGGCTGGAACCTCTTCCTCCTCCAGGAAATCTCCTTCTTCTAGTTACAGAGGCCAAGAGGGCAGGGCAGATTCAGCCAGGAGCCACTGCAGCCCATCTGCCAGGTATGGGGGCTGTTTTAGGAAAAAGCACCCCACATCTGATGCATGCTCAAATAATTCTGGAGTCAGACCAAAGTGCCCGACGAGGTGATATAGAAATGAACACACAGCAATGGCCCCAAACACCTACTGCTTAGGTCTCTGTAAGTGGAAGAGAATGATCCACACCCCAGAGACGCCAGCGCCCCTGTCCAGGGGATGCTACACAGGCAGACTACACTGTTCCCTACCGCACCTTTCTCAGGATTTCCAAGTTCTTTATGGACTGGAGCAACTTATCATAAAGGAGAAAAGTAATGGTCCCTGGCCAGTTATGAAGAAGGACCCGGAGGCCAAGGCACCTCGTTGGGAGGCACACAGTGAGGCACAGACTCAGTCTCCCAGTCAACATCCCAGCCACCCATACCCCTTGGCCTTTCCCTTCAGCCTCTTGCAATGGATCACCGAGTGTCCCTCTTGGGCAGGGACCTACAATATCTCCAAACATGGGAGCCAACCCAGGCAATCCCAAACCTAATCTCCAGGGTCCCCACCACCTACTTGGCTCGCAGAAAGGCCAGCTTCTTCCTCAGGGAGGAGACGTGGTAGTGACAAGCCTGCTTTACAGCAGTGCTGCAAGAGACGGTCTCTGGCTGTAGATTCTGCACCATGCTGGGCTCAGGGGAGGGCTGGCCACATGGCAGCTGGGACCTCAAGGGCTGGGGGCTCACTCTGGAGCTGCGTGGACTTGCTGCCCTTGCAGCTACCCCAGCTGTCAACTGTGGGCTCCTGCACATAAGCTCTCCCCTCCGTGTGGTTCAATATAAAACACAGGCAGATGGAGGGCCCAGGGTGGGCAAGCCTGGGGTCCTGCGTTACCGAGATCCCCTCTGCCTCCTGCCCAAGCCACAGCTCCAAATGAAGCCCTCCTCCATCTTTCAACATCTGGCAGAGCTCTGGGCACTTGGTGAGTTTCCTCTCCTCCTTTGTCCTCAGACAAGGAGGATGAAGCTGTACCTGCATGTGATGTCAGCTGCTGGTGCTGGGGGAAGGGGAGGGGCAGGGAGCACTGCTCCCAGAGGGTTTGCAACTTGGCTCTCTCCCCATGGTAAGGGATCACGGGAATGTCCGTGAGTCCATGGGGAATTCACTGGCCAAGCAGGTAGACGGAGCCAGACTATTCTGGAAATATGCTACTGGGGACATATTTCTGGAACAGAATAAGCAAAATTGAAAAGACTTCCTCTTCTACTAGGAAGCTACCTATCCCAGTGGCTAGACCTGAGTTGGCAGTGATGATCTTACTCTAGCATGACGTGCACCACCACACCTGCTAATTTTTGTATTTTTAGTAGAGACAGGGTTTCATCATTTTGGCCACGCTGGTCTCAAACTCCCGACCTCAGGTGATCCACCCACCTCAGCCTCCCAAAGTGCTGGGATTACAGGCGTGAGCCACTGCACCCAGCCACAAATGTCTTTTAAGGTACTTGGAGAAAAGTTGACACAAAAAAAGTCCCAGAATTAATTATATCCAAACATCACACTATTCTCATTCCACCTTCACTGATCTTAGTTAGGAGACATCATTTTCTATCACACAGAGAAAACAGATCCTGCTGCCGCTAACCTCCTCGCCTTCCTACCATAGCACCTAGGAACTCACCTGCATCCACCTCAATTAGTCTCTCCTGTTCAAGGGTAATCTTCTCACCTGTGATCTGACCCAACCTTCTCTTGCCTCCTCTAAAACTCTGCTTCCTTACCTTTCAATAGATGGCACCCCCTAGCTGAGCAAGCTGGAATCCTAGGACTCAACTCTGAACACCTCCCTTCTCTCACACCCATATGTACCCAATTCATGATCAAGCCCTGGACATTTTATCTCCTAAATATATCTTGAATTTGTCTGCTTCTTTTTTTCACTATCACCATCCACATTCCAAGACATGAACATCCTTAGCTTGGATACAGTAATAGGCTCCTAAGGGCCTCAGCTGATCTCCTAGTGTCCATGAAACAGCCTCTGTGTTTTTGTAAGCAATTTTTTCATAAGCAAATCTGATCCTGTCATCTCCCGTCTCAAAGATCTTCAGTGGCTTCCTGGGCTCTTAAAATAAAGACCAAGACCCTTTTGACTATTCTTTCTTGCTTCTCTATTGCTATATCCTGGTCATCCTGGCCATCGAAGCGCCTGCCTCATCTCATTCATATCATCTCATCTGTCTCACATCACTGCTTCCAATTCACCCTTCTAATCTTTGCCCAAGCCTTACACCTTGGCCCCAACCCCTCTGGCCGGGTCCAGCTTCTTCGATACACTTTGCCTGGTACTATGTCCTCTTCCTTTAAGACACCCATCCAAATTCCAAGTTTGCATTTTCTCAATTGTGTTTAATATTGTCCCTTCAACAAGACTGGAAATCCCAGTACATAGTGCTCTTTCTTTACTTTTTTGAGACGGGGGCTTGCTCTACGCCCAGACTGGAGTGCAGTAGCTATTTTTTGCAGAGACGAGGTTTCGCCAGGTTACCCAGGCTAGTCTGAAACTCCTAGCTTCAAGTGATCCTCCCACCTCAGCCTCCCAAAGCACTGGAATTACAGGCGCCAGCCATCACACTTGGCCGATAGTGCGTAATTGATCAGTCTGTTGAATGAATGAATGAACAAATGAATTTATCCTCTCTGAAATTCTCAGCCTTGAGATACCAATTTCTACTTCAGAGATTATAAAAAAGTGCTTATGTCTCTCCATATTAAAACAAGAATTTTCCCCAATCATCCCTGCTTTCTCCTCTAGGTATCCTCCCTATTTCTCTTCTTCCCAGGCAGACTTCTAGAATGAAATCACTATGGTCGGTCTCTTCTCCCTCCCCTCAAATATACTCTTCTGAAACTGCTCTGTGGTAACCAATGACCTCCACAAATTGCCACTGCAGAGGATTCTTTTTAGTCCTTTTCTTACCTATTTCTACCCTTTTAACTATTCTTTCTTGCTTCTCCATTACTATCTCCTAGTCATCTTGTCTTCAGTGGACAATCTTTTAAAATTCTTCCTTCCTTTGTCTTCTGCTTAAACTTTGCTTATCCTGAGACTCGCCTCAACTATATTCTCATTGCTGTGCTCTTCCATAGTGGTCACTGCCAAATGAGCACTCTCAGTCTTGTCCCCTGAGCTTCAAACGGTGTAGCCAATGGCCTAGTGTTTCTATCCACTGGCACACTCCATGAGTAGTTCACTCTACATGACTAAATTAAACTCACTGCCACCTCTGCTCCTCAAATCCTTCGTCCTCGACCCACTGTTTTAATGATAATAATACTAATAGGCACATACACATTAACCACAGGCCAGGCATGATTTCAATTTTTTTTTTTAACTCTTCTAGGACCCTTTATCTGGGGACATAAATGGACAGGCTCCCTGGGTGGGTGCTGACAAGCCCTTCTCTCCCCTTAGTCCAGTGGCCCCTGAATCTGCCCCACTTCCATGCCCAGGTGGATACCATTCCTCTAGCACCTGCCGTTCCTGGGCCATCTAAGGGGTCAACCTTAAGGGGGTACGCAGAGAGGTAAGGACCGCCCCCCCCTAACTATTTTCCCTGAGCTCCAAATTTCCATCGGGTCCCACGCCCCTTCCTCTGTTGACCAGGGTGCACCATGGACATGGAGCCACATCTTTATGTTGCTCTCTCTTCCTGTCTCCCTTGAGCATCGCTCTTTCACTGCATCCCTGATGCTCTCATGAGATACACTTCTAGGGTAGGGCTCCCCATCACTGAGTGTGACAGTGGAGGAGGAGGGCCAAAGCTTTCAGTCAGGGCCATGGGGTGGCAACGGGGGAGGAGGAGGGCCAAAGCTTTCAGTCAGGGCCGTGGGGTGGCGAGGGGAGAAGATCCGGCTCCCCAGGTTCACACCTCCGTTCCGACACGTCATCACCCCCATGGCCTTGTTCTTGATGCCTGATGGCCATATTAAGTCACTGGGCTGAAAAATTACTCAAGAGCAGGGACCATGTCTTCATCTTGGAATCCCTTACGTGGTGCCTAGCAGACAGCAGGGCCAGGCAGCCAGTTAATGCCAGGCCACAGGTTTTCCATTATACCATGCCCAAATGCCCGGCCTGGAGAGCTCCGGGGGGAGGTATCCATCCTCCACAGCCCCGGAGGGGCTAGGACTCAACTCTGAACACCTCCCAGGTGTGATTTTTCTCACAAGAATATTTGGGAGCTACCTGGTGCTATAGACTCAGTGTTGGTGCCCCACCCCCAAATGTATATGTTGAAATCCTAACCTCCAGTGCAATGGTATTAAGAGGTGGGGCCGTAAATCATGAAAGTGGAGCCCTCATGAATGTAATTAGTGCCCCTATAAGGGGGCTGAAGAGATCAGAGTTCTCCTTTTTACCACGTAAGGACAAAGCAAGAAGACAGCTGTCTATGAAGAAAACAGGACCTCACCTGAATGCCCAAATCTTGATCTTGGACTTCCCGGGCTCCAAAATGGAAAGAAATAATTTTCTGTGATGTACAAGACACCCAGTCTATGGTATTCTGTTACAGCTGCCTGCACTAAGACACTCGGGTGCTCAGTTTCTCAACATAACTCAGTGGCAGCTGGGTGCCGTGGCTCACGTCTGTAATCCCAGAACTTGGGGAGGCCGAAGCAGGCAGATCCCCTGAAATCAGGAGGTTGAGACCAGCCTGGCCAACATGGTGAAACCCTGTCTCTACTAAAAATACAAAAATTAGCTGGGCATGATGGCGGGCGCCCAGCTAAACCCAGCTACTCAGGAGGCTGAGACAAGACACTTGCTTGAACCCAGGAGGCGGAGGTTGCAGTGAGCCGAGATTGCATCACTGTACTCCAGCCTGGGTGACAAAGCAAGACTGTCTCTAAAAAAACAAAATCAAACAAACAAAAAAACGTAACTTACTGGTTTCCAGTCATCCATAAAGAATACTCACTCCTTATCACAGCAGGACGTGGCATGACCAGGCACTTGCCTACCTGTCCAAAGGCCTTTCCTGGCCACTCACTAGCTACCCCTCTCCTAGGATATGGCGCTGCAGCAACACTGAAGTATTTGTGGTTCCCGAACATGCCTTGCTTTCTCCCGCCTCCATGCTTATGTACATCTTGTTCCCTGGCTTGCAAATGCTGTCCATGTGACAGACTCCTACTCCTCTTGCAGTTCTCAGCTGAAGCACAGCCCCCTCTGTAGAGTTTTCTGGAAACCCTCCCACCCCTGCCCTCACCCCAGAGTAGCTGTGTTTCTCTGGGGCAAGTTTAATTCCCCGAGCCTTGGTTTTCCTAAACTCTAATATGCAGATAATGGCATGTACCTGATAAGGCTGTTGAGAGGAATATATTTAAAAATGTATGCAAGGTTTATTACACAGGTTTAAGCACAGAGTAAGCACTTAGTGAACTTCTTTATTTATTTTCTTTTGAGACAGAGTCTCACTCTGTCATCCAGGGTGGAGTGCAGTGGTGCGATCTCAGCTCACTGCACTCTCTGCCTCCTGGACTCAAGTGATTCTCCAGCCTTAGCCTCCTGAGTAGCTGGGACTACAGGCGCACACCACCACACCCAGCTAATCTTTGTATTTTTAGTAGAGACAGGGTTTTGCCATGTTGGCGGCTGGTCTCAGACTCCGGGCCTCAAAGGGATCCACCCCCATCGGCTTCCCCGATTGCTGGGATTACAGGCATGAGCCACCACACCCAGCTTGTAAAATTCTTCAGTTTTATTACCTTACGCATAATTTCTTAAGTCATTTATTACATTATATTATACTTGTTTATTTGTAAGTATATCACACCATAAGAGAATCAGCTTCTTGAGGGGAAATACCACAACTTAATCTATTTATCTGGAGTCTAAATATGTGACATTTGCAGATGCTCAATATTCTACACTTTCTTTCTGCCTTTGCTTTTTCTTTTTGTTTTTTTTTTTTTTTCTTTTTTGAGACAGGGTCTCACTCTGTCACCCAGGCTGGACTGCAGTAGCACAGTCTAGGCTCATTACAACCTTCGCCTCCCATGCTCAAGGGATCTTGTACCTCAGCCTCCCAAGTAGCTGGGACCACAGGCGCATGCCACCATGCCCGGCTAATTTTTTGTAGTTTTGATAAAGACGGGCTTTTGCCATGTTTCTCAGGCTGGTCTCAAACTCCTGAGCTCAGGCAATCCACCCACGTCGGCCTCCCCAAGTGCTGGGATTGCAGGGGTGAGCCACGGTGCCCGGCTTTGTCTCTGCTTTGTCAAGAACAGAAGGGTGTAAGATCTGGTAGGAAACTGAGAGTAAAATGTTATGATAGCCAGAATCAGAGTGCAAGCAGCTACCATTTATTAAGCATCCACTTAATGGCTCTTTACGAATGTTTTCTCATGTATTCTTTACAAGAAAATCCAATGGACATCAAATTTTTACAAAGGAGGAAACTAAGGTTGAGGGTTGAGTAACACTAAGTAAATTGACTTTACAAATGCACAATCAGGCTGGGTGCAGTGGCTCACGCCTGTAATCCCAACACTTTGGGAGACAGAGGCAGGTGGATTGCTTGAGGTCAGGAGTTCTAGACCAGCCTGGCCAACATGGTGAAACCCCATCTCTACCAAAAAATACAAAAGTTAGCCAGGCATGGTGGCACACACCTGTAGTCCCAGCTACTCGAGAGGCTGAGGCAGAAGAATCTCTTGAACCTGGAAGGTGGAGGTTACCGTGAGCCAAGATCATGCCACTATTCCACCCTGGGTAACAGAGCAAGATTCTGTCTCAAAAAAAAAAAAAAAAAAAGAATGAATTAATGTCCTATATTCCATACACACACACTTCGGGGAAGTTACCTATTTTGCTTTCTACTGGACACCTGGAAGAATTATTCTTATCTCTGAGACAATCTCCATTTCCTAATAAACACATTTTCATAAAAATCAACCCTTCTTGCTGATGCCACACCCACTCAGCAAATGTATGTCACAGTCCTTCAACCTACGCTCTACTCCTGTCAAGGTTCCAAAGTCTTTCCTTCAGGACAGAGCGTCAATGTGAATAAGGAAAAAATCTTTCTCAGAAATCCTTAGGTTTGAACACCGTATTAAGGTATTCCACCCACTGCTGTGTAGAGTAAGGTAGCTACGTAGTCTCTGAATACTATAACCGTTCTGAACCTTACACAAAAGCAAGAAAAGAAAATGTTTTATTAAACCAGCTGAAAGTGCATCTGGTACTGAAAGATTTTAATTTGAATCTTTAAAATAGAAGAAATCAATGCTAATTTTTTTGCCTGCTCTATGAAACAATCTTTCATGTTACAATTGATGATATGGTTTGGAAAATTAGAAGAAGCCACAGAAAAAAAATCCATAATATCCACCTCATCCTTGACCGTTTTCAGTCAGTGACAATACTACCCAGCTCCATCTGCCACCCAGGGGCATTACGAAGAGTAAAGAAGATGACTGCAGGGAGGCCTCACCAGTGCAGGAAATGCCGCCATTCACAGCTTGGTGCACTGTCCCTCAGAGGGGGCCAGAACGAGGAGCACAGGCCAGATGCCCGCCACTGCCCACATCTCCCCAGGGTTCCAATCTCACCCCAGGTCAGAACATCACAGATCAACGTCCTAAACACCTGGAGACTCTTAACTGGGTAGGAAGAATTAGGTGCAGAGCGTAAGTTAGTTCTGAGCTGAGCCTGGGAGACTAATTTGAGCTCCGGAAACTTGTTCTCTCCAGGAGAAGGAACCCAGCAGCCAAGATGAGAAGAAAGACTTTCTTCGGAAGGGCTATGGTGAGTGAACACATACTAGAGCCAATTTCTGAGGTTTTGGGGGTTGGAGGGGGGGCCGGTCACAGGGACCACCAGAGGAAGCATACTTCTGACCACATTCTCTCTGTTCCTCATACTCTCCAAAGCGAGTTGATGCAAAACAACATCCCCATCCACCATAAAGAGCTTAGGGGACTGCGAGTGGGCCAGGATGGGAACAAAGGACCCGGGAAGAAATCGAGAGAGTTTTTCTGGGCAGAGGTTTAGATGGGAGAACCTTTGTAACATTTCCTGTGGTTGGAGGAGTGAGTGGTTAGAGAGGAGAAATTAGAATAGAATTTATATCAGTGTAAAGTCCCAAATACCAAACAAAAGGCAGAGTTCTCTCTAGTTAGCAAGCAGCTATGTCCTTGGGGAAAATGTATTAGGGTATATGCATCTCAGCACTACTCATCTCTTCCAGGAATGCCCCAAGCAGCAGAGATAATATAAAGTGAGTTGAGGAACTGTCAATCATAGAACTGGTAGAAGAAGAGCAGGCAAAGACATCACGCTCAGAAACGGACAGTATACTTCTGGAGATGTTTGGTGCACAGCACAGGGAAGGTGGCTGTGCTGGGCGACCTCTGTGGCCTCTTCTAATTTTGAGATTATGATTGCTGCAATCTAGAAAGCTTTGCACAGAGAGTGGAGGGTACTCCAGGGACTGAGAGAACTGCCATCAGATCAGATCGTACCTGATTAAGCATCTTGACAAGAATGATTAGTCTTTGCTCCTTGGAAGTGCCATGTCTCCATATACGTCGGTCTAAATTGATAAGCTGAACTGTTTTGATTAACAGGGGGCATAAAACTGAGAACCAGGGCAGAACTCACAAGACTTCATAATCTAAAGAAATAAGGACTAGAGAGGTTCCACTCTCTCAACCAGAACGAAATCCCTTTTGACACACCACCCAGCTTTTGCTTGAACACTCCTATGAAGGGGAGAGATTACAGCAGTCCCCCCTTATCTGCGGTTTGTTACCCACAGTCAAGTGTGGTCAGAAGATATTAAATGCAGTGGTGGCTAATGCCTGTAATCCCAACACTTTGCAGGGCTGAAGCAGGCGGGTCACTTGACCTCAGGAGTTGAGAGCAGCCAGGGAAATGTGGCAAGAACTTGTCTCTACAAAAATATACAAAAATTAGCCAGGTATGGTGGCAGGCGCCAATAGTCCTGGATATTCAGGAGGCTAAGGTGGGAAAATCACTTGAACCCTAGAGGCAGAGGTTGGAGTGAGTTGAGATCACGCCACTGCACTTCAGCCTGGGTGACAGAGACCCTATCTCAAAAAAAAAAAAAAAAAGAAAAAGAAAAGAAAATATTAAATGGAAATAAACAGTTCATCAGTTTCAAATTACGTGTCATCCTGAGAAGCACGATGAAATCGCTTGCTGTCCCACCTGGAACGTGAATCATCCCTTTGTTCAGCATATCCACGCTGTATACATGCCCCACCCGTTAGTCACTTCGTTCTCAGTTCTCAGATAGAAAATCCAAGCTAGTACAGCTCTATCATGGAAGAGTGCTTTCTTATCCTGAGCTGCAATCCTTCTCACTGACTTCTAACCCTCCAGTTCTATTTCTTCAGCTTTCAGATATCTAAAAATCTCTTTTCCAGGCTAAATCCCTTTCCTTCAACCAACTCTTTTTTTTTTTTTCCACCCAATCTGGAGTGCAGTGGCACAATCTTGACTCACTGCAACCTCCACCTCCTGGGTTCAAGTGATTCTGCCTCAGCCTCCGGAGTAGCTAGGACTACAGGCGTGCACCATCACACTCGACTAATTTTTGCATTTTTAGTAGAGACGGGGCTTCCCCATGTTGGCCAGGCTGGTCTCGAACTCCTGGCCTCAAGTGATCTGCCTACCTTGGCTTCCCAAAGTGCTGGGATTACAGATGTGAGCCACCTCAGAGGGCCGCAACCAACTCTTATTATAATGATATAGTTATGATATAATCATTCTTTTATGGACTCTAATGCATCCACATCCACTTTCAAAGAACTGGAATAATACACGAAATATGGTCATACTAGTACAGATTACAGTGACATCTTCTTCTTTTGTTTAATCCATGCACCATGCTCCCATGAATGAATTAAAAACTTTCAAAGATCATTTGGTAGTTGTGTCATATTATTGTTTCATATTTGGCTGGCAAATAAAAATATTCTTTCTTTTTCACATGAAATGCTATCAAATTAGGCTCCCTGCGGCAATTCTACACTTGCGAAATAAATCTTTTCTAACATAAATATACAAGATCACATTTCATAGACATTTCAAGACTTCACAGTGAGCCAGGCATGGTGGCTCACGCTTGTAATCCCAGCACTTTGAGGGCTGAAGCAGGTGAATCACTTGAGGCCAGGAGTTCAAGACCAGCCTGACCAACATGGGGAAGCCCCGTCTCTACTAAAAATATAAAAATTAGCGGGGCATGGTAGCACTTGCCTGTAATCCCAATTACTCCGGAGGCTGAGGTGGGAGAATCTCTTGAACCCAGGAGGTGGAGGTTGCAGTGAGCTGAGATTGCACCACTGCACTCCAGCCTATGTGACAGAGCGAGATTCTGTCTCAGAAAAAAAAAAAATTAAAAATTAAAAAATTAAAAAATCACATTTCCATTAAAAAGAAAATATCTCCTTGATTTCCACCCATTGTTCTACTCAAAATAATATTAAGTCTTGATTCTATCATCCTTGGTGTTCTCTACCCCCTCTCAGCAGAGGGTCCACCATAAGTTGATAAATGTGGTAAAAGTACCTTCTGCTTTTTCACCCAGCTTGTTGATAAAAACGATAAACAGAGCTAGACCAAAAGCAGAGCCCCTGCGGTAGGCCAGCTGAGACTTCCTTTTGGTTAACGTCAATACCATCAACTTTCTGTAGGCAAAGAAGTTTAACTTGCTACAGCAAATTTACCTCTGTCTACAATTCACAGGCACTGCATGAAGCAGGTGCTGGCTGGTCCTCACACTGAGTGCTTAGTTAGCTGTATCTCCAATCCTCAACCAACCATTGAAGAGCCTCCATATTTTCATTGCATCCTAGACATCCCACCTCATTTTTCATTAACGCTGCTGCCACCTGACACCATCCAACACCTGACATCCTGGGCTATGCAGCTTCCTCAGGCACAAAATGCCCTTCACCTCCTGACCCACATTGTACCCAACCTATAGGGCATGACTCAAGTCCTAACTCCACTGTAAAGTTTGTTGTTGTTGTTGTTGTTGTTTTTAGACGAAGTCTCCCTCTGTTGCCCAGGCTGGAGTGCAGTAGCGCGATCTTGGCTCACTGCAACCTCTGCCTCCCAGGTTCAAGCGATTCTCCTGCCTCAGCCTCGGAGTAGCTGGAATTAGAGGCACATGCCACCATGTCTGGCTAATTTTTGTAGTTTCAGTAGAGATGAGGCTTTACCGTGTTGACCAGGCTAGTCTCGAACTCCAGATCTCAAGTGATCCGCCCGCCTCGACCTCCCAAAGTAATGAGATTGCCGGTGTGAGCCACCAAGCCCTGCTCAGTATGAAGTCTTTTCAACCTATTTGGTTTGCCACACGTTGACTTCTTTTGCTGAACACAAAAAGCCTCTGGAACCAGCCCCTTTGTGTTGCTCCTTCTCCTTTATGGGGTGAAAGTTTTGTCTTTCTAATCAGTCAAGCACAGAGGTCTCAGGCGCTCCCATTCCTCTTCAGTTTTCCACATTTTTTTGCACAGAGCAGAGGCACAATCTTCCTCAAACATTCCACCCCACCCCCTCTATTCTTTGCCCCCATCTCGCCCTCGGAGTTGGACCTTACCTTTCTTCCCGCGCTCGAGGACTCAGGAACCTGCTAGAATCATCATCGTGGCTGCTCTGCTGACTGCTCTGTTGGCTGCTGAGGAAAGACATAGGATATCAACCGTTAACTTCAGCTTCTTTCTCAACCCTGGGGGAGGTCACTTAGACTTCAACTAGACAAAGACATGGGGTTACAAAATTTTAAAGATACAAGTTCCCCCAAGTAAGTCTAGCATAGAGAATGCACAGTTAGACCATATGAGAAATGACACAAGGCTGATAAAATCCCCAGCCATCACACCTGCAGACTGTCTGTTGCCAGCCAAAACAGAAGAGGCCCATCTCGCCCTGCTACCACACTCTTCCCTGGCTATATAAACCTCAAAGAGCAAATGCCTCCAGCATTCTCTCTACCCACTCCTCTTCCTCTCTCTGATGGGATTATAATCCCATTCTCCTCAGCCCACCGGAGACTCTCAAGCCACTGACATGGACTGGGTGGGGTGTTGTGGGGAGGGTGTGAGATGTGTGGGAGGAGGGAGATTCCGGTAAGACAGAAGACTAGATGGGGCCAGGGGTCACCTAGTCTGCTTCTCCAGTAAGGCAAAAGGCTGGATGGGGTCTGGGGTCACTTAGTCTGCTACTCTGCCTCCAGGGGAGGCTGAGGCGGATGAGAAATAGAAGAAGGAATAAAGGGTGGACTCTCCACACCTTAAGGCACTGTAAGTGAGATAATTACACAGCTTTAGTTCAGGCAGAGTTCTTTTGGGAGGTCATATCTTATAATAATACGGGAAAGAATGGCCTTTCCTCTTACTCCAGAGAAAGAAAAGCTTATCAGACACTTCATGACACTAACTGCTGGCATAGCTGATGAACAAATCATTTTTATTAATTATTATTAAATACTCCAGCCATCTGATCAGGAGTCCACAAACTAGAAACTCTAGGCTCAATCTAGAGCCACGTGTTTTTGCTCAGCCCCGTGAGCTAAGGGTGGTTTTTGTACTTTTTAGTGGTTGGAAGAAAAAAAATCCAAAAAAGAATATTTCATGACAGGTGAAAATGATGTGAAATTTAAATTTAGTGTCCACAAATGAAGTTTTACTGGAACACAGCTAAGCCTACATTTACATATTATCTTTGGCTATTTTCCTGCTACCATGTCAGAGCTGAGTGGTTAAGGCAGAGTTGAGTAACTAAGACAGAGTTGTGGGCACCATAGGCCCACAAAGCCCACAATGCTCACCATCTGGCCCTTTACAGAGAAAGTTGGCCAACCCCTGTTTTACATAGGTTCTATTAATAATAAATCCTTATTACCAGGAAGTTGGCCAACCCCTGCTTCACATAGGTTCTATTAATAATAAATCCCTATTACCATAAATGTCACTATAACCAAGGCTACCACATAACCAACATTTTCTCCTTGTTCTGGTGGATCGCCTGCTGCACTAAGATGCATTGGTCTCTATAGAGTATATTCCTTAGCCTAGATGCCCAGTAGAATGCACACTGGACAATCTTGCCGAGCAAGTGCTTGCTCCAGTGTCTGTACACTCTCAGCCAAAGCACATGAGTTCTGTGGTCACAGTTACCACATGCTCTTATGTTCCGTTCTTCCAGCAAGAAGTAAATGACCTGAAAGGCAATTAACATCCAATTTTCAAACACAGACACAAGAAACCATACACGTTACCACACACACCAGAAACCGGAACAGCGCCATACACAAAGCCTCCGGCTGCTCGGCAGAACTCACTGTGTACGGAATCCCTTTCTCCTTCCCTTCCATGCAGCACGTTTTTACAGCTCGTTCACTATGCAGTGGCTGCTCATCATTTTCACTTTGCCAGCTCGGATGGATTTGCCTATTACCAACTCCACATAACCAAATTTCACTATAATGTCGTTAACTCATGAGATGTCTTACTTGGAACTGGCCTGTTATATGAATCAAGCATCCCCTTATATACAACCTGGGACAAGTGTTACTCCACAGTAGGCAGCACACAGATGACTGTAACTCAAATTCCAAAGCCCACACAGCTCCAGAAGCAGGGTCTACACTGTGGGAGAACACACCATTTACAACAGTCAACAGGGCTCAACCAAGCCAACCACAATCAGCATTGCAGCCTCTTCAAAGCAGGGGTCAAACTTGACCCCGCTGAGCCAGGATGGGCTGGTTCTTCCTAGTCCCCCTATCCTCCCCCGGCAATCAAAATTTTAAACTAATAAAGGGGGCTCCCAGAACTCAAGGCCATCTACCAGGATTTCAGAAAAATAATTCTAAGCTGATATTTGCAAGTTTACCCACTAGATGGCACTGTAGACTTCCAAACCAGAACTACAAGGAAAACCAATAAGGAGCCTCAGGAACCGGAACCAGGAACTGCCTCCTTTCTGGCGCCCCTCTCTGGCCTGCCTTCCCATGGCTTAGAAAACAGTTCAGATGGCAGAGAAGGCAGCAATGGGTCATGTTCAAACTGTGTATTGGTTTCAAATAAATATCAAACTACATGCATCCAACAAGTATTCACATCACGCTATGTGTACACGAAGCATCATCAAGACAATGGTTAAGAGTCTACAGTATGGAACCAGGCGGGTTGGCTCATGCCTGTAATCCCAGCACTTTGGGAGGCTGAGACCGGAGGATCGCTCAAACCCAGGAGTTCCTGATCAGCCTGGGCAACCTGGTGAGACCCCATCTCTATAAAAAAAAAATTAGCCAGGCATGATGGTGTACACCTGGAGTCCCAGCTACTCGGAAGACTGTGGTGGGAGGAAGGAAGGACAAAGAAAGAAAAAGAGAAGAGGCTGGGTGTGGTGGTTCACGCCTGTAATCCCAGAACTTTGGGAGGCGAGGCGGGTGGATCACCTGAGATCAGGAGTTTGAGATGAGACTGGCCAACATGGTGAAACCTCATCTCTACTAAAAAAAATAAAAAATAACAAATAAAAAAAATTAGCCAGTCTTGGTGGCAAGCGCCTGTAATCCCAGCTACTTGGGAGACTGAGGTCAGGAGAATCACTTGAACCAGGGAGGCGGAGGTTGCAGTGAGCGAGATCGCGCCACTACACTCCAGCCTGGGCGACAGAGTGAGACTCCATCTGAAAAACAAAAAAAGAGAAGAAAAGGGAAGGAAAAGGGAAAGGGAAAAGGAAAGGGAAGGGAAGAGAAAGGGAAAGGAAAGGAAGGGAGAAGGAAGGGAAAGGAAGGGAGAAGGAGAAGGAAGGGAGAGAGAAGGGAAAGGGGAAGGGAGGGAAGGGAGGGGAGGGGAGAGAGAGGGAAAGGAAGGGAGACGGGAGGGAGGGGAAAGGGAGGCCACTAACAGATAAAACTGTCTTTTGGAAACCCTGAAAAAGAAACTCTAAACTA
Organism: Homo sapiens; assembly: GCF_000001405.40. Lineage (NCBI taxonomy): Eukaryota > Metazoa > Chordata > Mammalia > Primates > Hominidae > Homo > Homo sapiens. Next base: position 123,477,527 of record NC_000011.10, on the reverse strand, counting down.
GGATTTGGAATGACTTTGCCTTGGCACCGATGACTGAAAGATGCCTTAACACTGCAAAGAAGGGAATTGTATAAGCAACTGTTTGCCATTCGCTCAAGACAGCTAGTCCAGTGACAATTCCATTTACCACTTACCGTTTCCATTTTCATTTCCATTTTCCATTTACCACTCTCAAGTACCCAGCACTGTGCTAGGGGAGGGGAGGGGAGGAGAGGGGAGGGAAGGGAGAATGAAAGGGAGGGGAGGGAGAGGGGAGGGGGAAGGGAAGGAAGGGGGAGAAGGGGAGAGGATGGGAGGGGGAGAGGAGGGGGAGGGGGGAGGGGAGGCAAGGGAGAGGGAAAGAAAGAGAAAAAGAAAGAAAGAAGGAGGAAAGAAAGAAAGAGAAAGAAATGTGAAGTATGAAAAAGAGCATCTGCCACATTTTAACTGCTATGTAAATGCCAGGTGCCATTATCCTATATGCAAGGCATCATTTTATGGGTTATAGGAAAAGAAAGACGTGAATCAAACAAGGATCCTGCTCTCAAAGTGCTTAGAATCAGGAAAGTAAGATTCAATATAAATAACTATATTTAAAAGCAGAAAAATGATAACTCTCAATACTATGTATTAAGTGCTATGGGAACACAGAATGCAGAAATGTCATGTCCTTCTGGGACCAGTAAGACAATTCTGTCTTAACAACAAGATTTTTGTGCTGCCACTTAAAACTGGATAGACTCAAGACATGCAGAAATGAGAAGAAAAGGCATTCTAGTTCAATTCCGTTTACCACTCTCATGTACCCAGCACTGTGCTAGGAGACAGTACTGTAAAGATGATCAGGACAAGGTCTCTCCAGCAAAGAGCTCCCAGTCTAAGACATACAAATATTCACCGTGGACTGTGATGCAACAACAGCAGAAAAATGAACAAGGTGTAGCTGGTGGACACCTCTGTTGGAAAGCTCCAGGGAACACATCAGAGAGGTGAACATCGAGCTGGAGGGACTCTAGATAAATCCATGGTGGCAACAGGCATAGGGTATATACAGGATCTTTCCTCCTCCAGTACCCTCGGCAGAGGCCTGGCCCTATTTCCTCCCATTATTTGAGCTTGTTTTTCAACAGTCTTAAAGAAGTTAAATGGGCCGGGTGCGGTGGCTCACGCCTGTAATCCCAGCACTTTAGGAAGCCGAGGCGGGTAGATCACCTGAAGTAAGGAGTTCGAGACCAGCCTGGCCAACATGGTGAAACCCTGTCTCTACTAAAAATACAAAAATTAGCCAGGTGTGATGGTGCACGCCTATAATCCCAGCTACTCGGGAAGTTGAGGCAGGAGAATCACTTGAACCTGGGAGGTGGAGGTTGCAGTGAGCCAAGATCGTGCCACTGCCCTCCAGCCTAGATAACAGAGACTCCGTCTCAAAAAAAAAAAAAAGAAGTTAAATGGATGAATTGCTGCCAACCACTCCTCCACTCAATCCCATGAAATAATATTGTTGAGCAGAATTTCCAGAGATTCAGACACTGCCTCACCCTCTCACACACACCCTTTCAATTCTTCTCTTATATGAGCCTTTTTCAATGATATAGGCCACCTGGACCCCAGGCAACTCACGCTGCTCCCTAAATAAACCTACCAGTCTTCGGAGACCATGAAAAGAGCAACCTCCAGGCCAAGGTGTTTATAAAGGAGTGCAGCATGCTACAAGGTCAAAAAGCACACCTCCCTCCACTCCAGATTAGTCAAGGCCTTAGTGGGAGAAGACATCCAGTCTGCGTCCACTCTGGGATTCAGGAGGTTGAAAAGAACTTGGAGAAAGTCCAGCAGAGGGCACTAACAGATGAAACTGTCTGTTGGAAACCCTGAAAAAGAAACTCTAAACTAGGATTTGGAATGTCCTTGCCTGGGCACCGGATGACTGAAAGATGGCTTAACACTGCAAGGAAGGGAATTTGTATAAGCAACTGCTTGCCATTCGCTCAAGACAGCTAGATATGGAACTAGGATGACTTTAATCCCTCCTGCTGTACATTCAAGCTTCAGATAAAATTCACTGTATAAATTAAATTTTGGAACACTAGACCATGTTCCTAAATAAGATGGGAAGCTCTTGGTAAAATTCTGGGATATTCCTGAGGGAAACCAGCTGAAGCAGAATCCTGGTTTTGTTTAAGACCAGCGTGCTAGTGCAGGAGCTTATCCTGGAAGGTCACATTAATACCAGCAGCACTGGAAGGACTGGGAAAAATCCACAGGAATCTGAGCCAAAGCACGCTCCACAAGGGAGAAATTCACTAGGCTTTGACCAGGAAGCTCTGCAATGCGGGCTGGGCAAATTCTCATGATTCCAGTGATCTCCCTTCCTCCCTCCCTGTACCCAGGACACGTGCAGAAAGTACAGACTAAACCCACGAACCACCAGGAAGCCGTCCTTCTGCCCTCTGAAAGGCACGGCTTTACTGCTAGAAAGACGGAATATGGCAACCTCTACTGAGTAGGTGCTTCCTAGGGAGAAACAGCTCTTTCTCTTCCAGGCAACCCTACAGGAGTCATAGCTTCCTATGCCCAGAAGGGGTTCTGAGAGATTCAGGTGGTCCCAAGCCGTCATGGGGGCATGTAGGCTGTAATGCAGTATTTCCAGAGCCTGATGGAAACTACATTTACCCACACCCAGGCTGCAGAGACTAATGTACTGCATCTCTTTACTTCTGGCTGCAACTGAGGCAATCTCTCCTGTTAGTATCAATTATCTCATGCTAATTAGAAGCTGCAAAAGGCTCTGAGTGGCAGTTATAGATGTCTTTGTGTCTTTGTTAATAAAAATGGGGAAATATATTATTTTAAGCAGTGATACAGTAGAAATAGCACCAAGGCAGACAAACCTGGGTTTGCCCCCTGCCTTTATTTGTTTTTTGTTTTTCTGGATTGAGGTCCTTGGGACATAGGCTTTGTTTCTTATTAGCCTTCTAACCTTGGCCAAGTCACTTATCCTCCCTTAGCCTATTTCCTGAAAAATGGAGACTTATTGCGATTACTCACAACTTAGTCCTCTATTTATAGAACTGCACAGAGGATTAAGTTGTGAATAATCCAGTCACAGTATCTGAGTTCAGGATATGGCGTCAGAGAGACGCACATTCTAGTCCTGACTCTGCCACTTAGCAGAGGGGGAGATTGAGAAAATTATTTCACTTTTCTAACAGTCAGATGTGGGTAATAATGCATGCCTTAAAAGACTGCAGTTCTGTTGGATTCAAGATTGCCATTACTTTAAAAAAAATTAAAAGTTAAAAAAAAGAAAACATTGCAGTGGGGATTAGAAATGGTAGAAATCATCTGTAGAACATGTTTAGGGCAGTAGCAGGCCCTTGGTGAGTGTATCATAAATGGTGGATATCTATTACACTGAGTATTCAGTTAGTGTGTCAGAATATTTTGAAATAGCCAGTGCATGGGAGAAAGATAACAGAAAAGGCCCTTAGCCTGAAAAGTAGGGCCTCACCACCACTGACAGAAGAGAGAGCTGGGTTTTCATGCTAAATTATTTCTACATATAAAATGACTCTGGCATTTACTATTTCAGCTTAAGTAGGAAAGGTGTATGGGGGAAGAGAAGGCAGGTAGCAAAGATGGAGAGAATAAAGGAGGAGTTTCTGTGTGCCACCTGGCAAGCAGGTATGGACAAGTCTAATAATAGAAAATAAGTAAACAAATGTGACTGGGGTACTGCCACCTCCTTACAGAACATCCCTCAATATCCTCAAACACCACTTAGAAATAACATACTTGAGGTGAATATTGAGAATTTGTCTACCGAGTTAGAAGGTTCACTTCTGCTTAATAGCTCCCATGGGAACCTGCAGCAAGGTGGGTAGAATCCCTGGTCAAAGATTCAGGGATTCAAAATCCAGCTAAATATCTTCCTAGCTCCTTACAACTCATGAATACTTCTCTATTTAATGGTTCTTGGGACTGGGTGAGGTGGGTCACACCTGTAATCCCAGCATTTTGGGAGGTTGAGGAAGGAGGATCTCTGGAGCCCGGGAGTTTTGAGACCAGCCTGGGTAATACAGTGAGACTTCATCTCTACAAAAAATAAATGAAAACAAAAATTAGCACGGTGTGGTGGTGTGTGCCTGTAGTCCTAGCTACTGGTGATATGGGAGTTAAGAAGAAATTGTCAGGGCACGGTGGCTCACGCCTGTAATCCCAGCACTTTGGGAGGCCGAGGTGGGCAGATCACCTGAGGTCAGGAGTTCGAGACCAGCCTGGCTAACATGGTGAAACCCCGTCTCTACTACAAATACAAAACTTAGCCAGGCATGGTGGCAGACTCCTGTAATCCCAGCTACTCGGGAGGCTGAGGCAGGAGAATTGTTTGAACCCGGAGGCAGAGGTTGCAGTGAGCCAAGATTGCACCATTGCTCTCCAGCCTGGGGGACAAGAGCGAGACTTCGTCTCAAAAAATAAAAGAAGAAATTATTTAGGCAGATAGTGAGGGTAAGGAAGTCCTCCGTAAGATTTTCCTGTTAATGAAAAGCATCCCCCAAATCATTTTCTTTTCTAACAAAGAGCAGCCTGTAAAATTTAGCTGCAGACATAGACAAGCAAGCTGGAAGCTTCCATGGGTGAATGCCAGCAGTTGTGCCAATAGGAAAAGGCTACCTGGGACTAGGCATGTTCAAAATGGTGGCTCCATCTTCCCTTCTCTTTGCCAGCCACATGTATGGTAAGGAGCAGACAACATGGTGCCAGCCAAGTGGAAAGCCCATCTGGATAATAAGATTAGGGTGGAGTGGCCAGCCTTCCCCCTGGGCTATGTAAACGTCACACCTGGTCCAACCAGTCTGTGAGCCCTATATAAATCAGACACCACCTCCTCAAGCCTGTCTATAAAAATCTGGTGCACTCCACAGCACCTGGCGTAATTCCCATTTGGGTGCCCCTCTCTCTCACAAGAGTGAGTTGTTCTTTCTCTTTCTTTCGCCTATTAAACCTTCACTCCTAAACTCACTCCTCATGTGTGTCTGTGTCCTTAATTTTCTTGGCATGAGATGACGAACCTTGGGTATTACCCCAGACAACAACGCTGCTTCACCGGGGAGGCCGAGGTGGGAGGAACGCTTGAGCCAAAGAGATCAAGGTTACAGTGAACTATTATCACACCACTGCACTCCAGCCCAGGCAACAGGGTGAAACCATATCACTAAAAAAATAAAATAGTTCACCTCTGAACATGCCCATGTCTGTGTTTAACAAAAGAAAAGGCTCTCTCTCCACTTCTTTCTTTTTTCTTTTTCTCTTTTTTTTTTTTTGAGACAGAGTCTTGCTCCATTGCCCAGGCTGGAGTGCAGTGGCATGATCTTGGCTCACTGCAACCTCTGCCTCCTGAGTTCAAGTTCCCACCTTAGCCTCCTGAGTAGCTGGGATGACAGGCCCGCACCACCATGCCTGGCTATGTTGGCCAGGCTTGTCTTGAACTCCTGGCCTCAAATGATCCACCTGGATTGGCCTCCCAAAGTGCTGGGATTATAGGCATGAGCCACCACACCCAGCGTTAGTTTTCCTCTCTTGATGGCCATTTTATTGCAAGAACATACATACTACTTTGTAATTGCTGAACTTCCATTAAAACAATATTATAATAAATTCAGGAGCTTTACTATGCAGATTCCTTGGCCCCTCTCCAAATGTATGAAGTCGGAGTATGAACCTGTCCAGGTATACGTATTTTTAAAAAGCTTAAAAATGATTCTGGGGGGCAACCAGGATTTGAGGTTCACTGGATGTTATACTCAATGCCCCTACTTCTTCACCACTGCTTTATGAATTAATCTATTGCAATGTGCACCCCAAGCCTACCTCTCCTTGGTTTTATCAGCAGGGACCTCTGTTACACCAAGACCAACGACAATAGTTAAATCTTAATCTTTGACCAGCCAGGCAGGTCTGACATTGATGACTATTCTCCTTCTTGAAACGCATATTTCTTGCATTCTCTGGCATTACTCTCCCCTGTTTCTTGCGTTTTGTCCTACTTTCACTTCTTTTTCTGGGGAAGTTTCTTGGGCTCTTCTTCTATTTGGTCCTAAAATGTTTCCCGGGACTCATTCAGACACTCATTTAAAATTACCAAGCATCAACTATGTACTAAGCATTGTTCTAGAATCTAGATACTGGGTATAGAGCAGTAAACAACACAGATGAGGTCTCTGCTCTTAAGGAGTTTACATTCTATTGGGTTCCTGCTTCTTCCTGTTTTATATCAGGGAAACCTAAGTTTTGTGGACCTCTGAAATTGTTATCAATATAATGTGCAATAATACTATATGTTCCTGAGAGAAGTTTACAGCCTTCATCAGATTCTCAAATATGCCTGGGCCCATATGAGGTTAAAATCTACTGCAATTCATCTCTTTGTGAGATCTTATCACACTCAAGGCTTCAATTATTATGAATATGCTGATAACTCCCAAAGATAGCAGAGCACAGAACTGAACGATGTGGTCACTCGTCACATGCGGCTACATAAATTTAAATTAATTAAAAATGCAGTTCCTTAGTCACACCAGTATTTCAAGTACTCAACATCCATATGTGGCTCGTGGCTTCATTGTGGACAGTACAGATAGAGAGCATTTTCATCACTGCAGAAAACTTTATTGGACAGCACTGGTATGGATCAAACCCAGGATTTGAGTTCTAGCTTGGCCACTTGTTTTCTTAGCAACTCAGAGCAAATTTCTTAACCTCTCTCTACATTCCCATCCTTTTATCTGTCAAAATGTAAGCAACTTTACAGACCTGTTGTGAGGATTAAGCAAGTTAATTAATATCCAGCACTTAACGTGGTAGCCCTTCCTAGTTTACTTTTTGTGTTCCAAGCTCTTGTGTTCTCTTACTTGGGAGGCTGAGGCAGGAGAATTGCTTGAATCCGAAAGGTGGAGGTTGCAGTAAGCCGAGATCGTGCCACTGCACTCCAGCCTGGGTGACAGAGTGAGACCCCGCCTCAAAAAAAAAAAAAAAAAAAAAGAAAGAAAGAAAGAAAAATGTGAGTTGGCTGGGCATGGTTGCTCATGCCTGTAATCCTAGTATTTTGGGAGGCCAAGGTGGGGTTATCACTTGAGCCTTGGTGTTTAAGTCCAGCCTGGACATCATGGTGAAACTCTATTTTTAAAATAAATAAAAGAAAAAAAATATGAGCTGCTCTCGGCAGTTTTGTAAGTAGTAACTGTCTTCTAAATAAGAAATGGTTAGCTTTTGTATGGTTTTGTGTGATGAGTTGGAGATAATATGGAGATAATATTTTAAGTGTCTTCTGTGGTGTGGGTGTGCAAGCCCTTGAGGAATTGATTTCACTCTTGCATGTGGGCAGGAGTCCTGAATATGACTTGATCATGGAGAACCTCTGGTCTGTAGACTGGTCTTTGTGGAACCCAGTAAAGTCAGTGTGAACCATAGTAAGCTCATCTAGGGTGTCCTTATCTATGTCATTAGAGAGATGACTCTATTTCCCCATACTTTGTTATTTTCTCGCATTCCCTTTTTGTCCTCCTATGCCATACATATTTACATCAGAGTTGTAACATTTCAATATAAAGTCATTTAAACAACAACAACAAAAATGCAGCACTTAGCAGAAGGCTTGGCAAGTAAATAAATACATCCCCAACAACTGTTAATAATGTTTATTTTTTTCTTGTGCCATCAGGTGGAAGAAGAAAAAGAGAGGAAGGAAGGAAGGAAGGAAGGAAGGAAGGAAGGAAAGAAAGAGAAAGAAAGAAGGAAAGAAAGAAAGAAAGAGAAAGAAAGAAAAAAAGAAAGAAAGAAAGAAAAGAAAGAGAAAGGGAAAGGACAAGAAAAAAATTAAAAATAATACTTATTTTTAGTATCGTATAGTTGCAGAGGTACAGAGCTCTCTTAAATGTCCAACAGGAGTCTCAAACTGAGCATTCCCACCACTGAATTCACCATCTTTTTCTCCTCTCCTTATACTCCACAAGTAAAGATTCATATGAACTAGAAATGCAACCCCACATCAGTTTGACACCAAGTCCTACAGACCTTACTTCTTTAGTGACTCTCGAATCCATCCGCCTTCCATTCATCACTCCGACGGCCTCTGTCTGAAACCAAGCTCTCATCACTCCTCACCCAGATTACTTTAATAGGCTCTTCACTGCCCTCCCCATTGCCACTCTGGCCCCACTCCAGTCTATCCTGACACTGAAACAATGGTCTTACAGAAACACAGATTTAATCATGTCTCTTCCTGGCTTAAAATCCTTTAGCCTTCCCATGATTTCCGAGCAAGTTCCAACTCCTTATCTGAGCAGTAACAGCCTCATAACCTGGCTATTGCCTCTCTACCCAGCTCCCTCACGTCACCTCCGCTCTCCACTCCAGCCCTTCTACTTGCCTCTGCCTTTTAATTTGCCTTTCTACTGGCCTGGTAGAGCCTTTTCTCTCACCCTTCTTTGTCCCAGCTTTGGACTGCCTGAGTTCAAGTCGACTCTTCCACCTACGCTGCTGATGTCCAACCTCTATAAAATGGGGGTGACAATAGCATCTATGTTCTTGGGGTTTTGGGAGAATTAAATAAACACCCACACATACTTGGAGAGATGAGTAGACACACAATATTATAGCTACTATTATTCTTCAAAAGTAGTAAATCTTCCTTGGTGACCACCACCCACATTATGGTCCTATATCACCCTGCACTACTTTTTTTTTTTTTTTTTTTTGATACAGGGTCTCAATCTGTCACCCTGGCTGGATGCAGTGGCAGGATCTTGGCTCACTGCAACCTCTGCCTCCCGGGCTCAAGCAATCCTCCCACCTCGGCCTCCTGAGTAGCTGGGACTATACAGTTGTGCCACCATCACACCGGGCTGATTTTTGTATTTTTTGTAAAGATAAGGTCTCACCATCTTGCCCAGGCTGGTCTTGAACTCCTGGACTCAAGGAATCCACCTGCCTCAGCCTCCCGAAGTGCCAGGATTACAGGCGTGAGCTACCGCACCTGGCCTGCACTAACCTTTATCATAACAATTATCATACTCCTTGGGATGCAGCGATTAATGATTCATTTCCCTAAACCTTCTACCATACTATAAATTATTTGAGAGCGATGGTCCCATTGTGTCATTTTTTTCCACCCACAGTGCCTAGCACATATTAGGTGTATAATACATATCTGATGAATGTGCAAATATCTAGCCCTATCCTCCCTTGATGTATTTGTAAAAGTCTCCACTTCCACTGAGTACTCACTGGTCTGCCCAGAAAGACGCCTTGCTGAGTACTCTCAAATCAGCACAGATTGCACCTTCCTTCCTTGTGCATACTTTTTGAACATCTATGTTGAAAGTACCCTGAGGCTGGGTGCGGTGACTCACACCTGTAATCCCAGCACTTTGGGAGGCCAAGGCGGGTGGATCACGAGGTCAAGAGATTAAGACCATCCTGGCCAACGTGGTGAAACCCTGTCTCTACTAAAAATACAAAAAAATAGCTGAGTGTGGTGGGCATGCCTGTAATCCCAGCTACTCGGGAGGCTGAGGCAGGAGAATCGCCTGAACCCGGGAGGCAGAGGTTGCAGTGAACTCAGACTGCGCCACTTCACTCCAGCTTGGCGACAGAACGAGACTCCATCAAAAACAAAAAAGGAAAGAAAGAAAGGAAGGAAGGAAGGAAGGGAGGGAGGGAGGGAGGGAGGGAAAAGAAAAGAAAGAAAAAGAAGGAAGGAAGGAAGGACCCTGCTAGGCCGTGCTGGATGTGTAAGGCATGGCCCGTGACCTCAGGGAACCCACCACTCCTGATATGTCATTCATCCATCCATGTTTCCACCAACTATGTTTTAGGCATTGGTTCCAGACATCTGGCGATGCCGACTTGAATTAGACATATGTGGACCTTCCCCATAAAGAAGCCACTGTAACAAAACCCGCCAGAATCTTCCTAATGCCAGGGCTCCTCTTTCCTGCCCCCGTGTCAAAGTTGTGGTCCAATTCTCAGTTATCCAACATGAGGAAGCTGCATCTCAAGCCTGACAGCGCCTCCATGAGAAGGTGGGCAGGAAAGAATATGGCTCTCCATTTAGGCACAACCAGTGAAAGTCAGTAAAAAAAAAAAAAAAAAAAAAAGGTGTTGAAAACCAAGGCTACAACGTTTTTGTTTGTTTCTTTCTGAATTATCTATGAGTATTAATTTTTTAAAAAATTGAGACAGGGTCTCCCTATGTTGCCCAGGCTGATCTTAAACTCCTAGGTGCAAGCAATCCTCCCACCTCGGCCTCCCAAAGTGCTGGGATTACAGGCGAAAGCCACCACACCCAGCCTATCTATAAGCTTTAACTTTTCATGCCAATCCTTAGCTCTCGTGAATACAGATCATGAAGCTCTGGCTAGGAAAAATAAATAAATATTCTTTATCCTTTTTCACAAAGGGTAAATGATCCCTCACCTACAATAAAATTCTAGGCCTATCACCACACATAATTAAAATAATTATACTTACCCCATTATATTCCTCAAATGGGTTCTGAGAAAAGGGGCAAGGAGAAACTGTCAGCTTTAACTCTCTTCACTTGCTCTTAGGTAAAGGAGCACACCACCTTTTTCTAGTTTCCCACATCCTACTAGCTTCCTTGGCCTCAATCACTACTTAACTTCACAGTGAAATCTTCAGCTCTCTCAAGAGAATAAATACAAATTAACCAGATCCCTTACTAAACCTTTACTCAGAAGGTAATGTGGTCAACCAAGTTGCTTCCCAGAACTTGAAGTTTGTAAGAATTGGTCAAAACCCTGGACCAGCCTCAAGGCCAGCCTCCCTCCACTCTCCACACACGCACCATCCCCTCACTTTCCCCCACCCCTACTCCCTGGGTCCCCTTCCTGCCTGTGGAAAATCTCTTGCTTCCCAATGCAGAGTATCCATGTTGGAGAAAGAAGTCAGTGCTGAAAAGCTGCAGAAAGTTCTTAAGCCCAGGGCAAGCCAGAATCCATTTTATGCCCAAATCAGTCAGTCAATCTTTTTCTTTCTTTCTTTTTCTTTCTTTCTTTCTTTTCTTTCTTTCTTTCTTTCTCTTTCTTTCTTTCTTCCTTTCTTTCTTTTTCTCTTTCTTTCTTCCTTTCTTTCTTTTTCTTTCTTTCTCTCTCTCTTTCTTTTTCCTTCCTTCCTTCTTTCCTTCCTTCCTTCCTTCTTTCTTTCTTTCTTTCTCTTTCTCTCTCTCTCTTTCTTTCTTTTCCTTCCTTCCTTCCTTGACAGAGTCTCACTCTGTCACCCACGCTGGAGTGCAGTGCTGTAATCCTGGCTCACTGCAACCTCCACCTCCCAGGTTAAAGCCATTCTCCTGCCTCAGCCTCCCAAGTAGCTGATATAACAGGCGTCCACCACCACTCCCAGCTAATTTTTGTATTTTTAGCAGAAATGGGGTTTCACCATGTTGGCCAGGCTGGTCTTGAACTCCTGACCTCAAGTGATCCGCCCGCGTAGGCCCCACAAAGTGCTGGGATCACAGGCGTGAGCCACCATGCCCAGCCCAAATCTTTATTTTCAACAATCAGTATGATCTTGAGCCCTTTAACTAAACTGCTCCAGTTTAATGAGGAGTTCGAGTATTTTCTCCATCCATTTCCTCTCACAGAGTCAGGCCAGTACACACAGAGAGCTTTCACTTCTGTTTCCTACAATGTCCCAACTTCCTCTCCACCAAGAACCCTCAAACAATATTCCTAAGTGTGTTTCTTTTTTTTTTTTTTCTTTCGAGATGGAGTTTCACTCTTGTTGCCCAGGCTGGAGTACAGTGGTGTGATCTCAGCTTACTGCAACCTCCGCCTCCCGGGTTCAAGTGATTCTCCTGCCTCAGTCTCCCTAGTAGCTGGGATTACAGGTATGCACCACCACACCCGGCTAATTTTGTATTTTTTTTAGTAGAGATGGGGTTTCACCATGTTGGCCAGGCTGGTCTCAAACTCCTGACCTCAGGTGATCCGCCTGCCTCTGCCTCCCAAAGTGCTGGGATTACAGGCATGAGCCACCACACCACGCCCCAAGTGTGTTTCTAATGAAAGACACACAACTACCATTCAGAGCTTCAGGTCAGCCTCCAAGGACATGTCTTACCACACTGGATTGATAGAATTCAAGCCAAACAAAGGAATGTTTTAGGTTGTCTTGTTACAGAAAAATGTACGTGTGGTTTCTGTTAGGCTTCTGGAAATGCGAAAACACCTAAAGGAACTCCTCTCTCTAAGGAGCCATCGACTTGGGCTTTCAACATACATACCGCTCTTTGCTTGATCTCTACTTGGCTTCTCTTCCCCTACCAACCTCTGAAAAGTTGCCCCTAGAGTTCCATCCAGAGTCTCTTTCTCTTCTCACATGACACATTCTCCTCCAGCAATGCCATCCATATCCATGGCTCGGACAAAAAGCCACATGTTCACTCCCAAACCTGTATCTAAAACTCCTAGTGTTCCACCAAGCTCCGGTCCCCCATATCCAGCTGTTTACAGGATGTCACCAAAACCCTACCTCCCTAGGCTCATCGCACAGCCTGTCCAAAACTACCCCTTCCCGCCTCCCACACCCTCACTTCTCCCCAACAACTTCCATCTGCCTTCCTTAGCTCAGTCACCTGCATCACCATCCCTCCACTTAGCTGTACAAACAAGGAAACACAGAAATAGTTCCAGCAGTTCTCTCTCCTCCACTCCCTACCTTCGATCTATCACTGAGTTATATTAGCTCCCACCTTTGAAACATCTTTTATATCCATCCTCTCCTCTCTATTCCTATTATCCTTGCTCTAGTCCAAATATCAGTACCACCTTGGCTGCATAAGAATCACCTGGAAACTTTTTAAGAAAAGAAAAAGGTTCCCATTCCCTCATTGATCCTGGATTCTGATTCAGGGGGCCTGGGTTGGAGCCTGAAGGAGTTTTAACAGGCATCTCAGGTTTGAAAACTACTGACATCCCACTCTATTGAAACGGTCCTTTATCTGTGCTGACAAATGTTTAACAACTAGATTGGTGGAGGGGGCTGATTTATATTATTTGCCAATTTCTGCCATGTATACTCCCACCATGATTGATTTCTGCTATCGGTGAAATTGGCATTGGGAAATGATATGCACAATCGGCGTCTACAAGTGGATGCCAGCTGGCCCCAGCATGCTAATGTGCCTAGATGTTATTATTATTATTATCATTATTACTATTTTAGAGGCCAAGTCTTGCTAGCTCTGTCTCCCAGGCTGGGGTGCAGTGGCATGAACATGGCTCACTGCAGTCTTCAACTCCCAGGCTCAAGCAATCCTTCCACCCCAGCCTGCCGAGTAGCTGGGACCACAGGTGTGCACCACCACACCCAGCTAAATTTTTTTTTTTTTTTTAGAAATGGGGTCTCCCTTTGTTGCCCAGGCTGGTCTTGAGCTCCTCGGCTCAAGCGACCCTCCCACCTTGGCCTCCCAAAGTGCTGGGATTACAGGCATGGCCCACCCCTGTTATCTTCTAAAACAGCTCTAGTCAAGTCTCTTCCCAAGTTACAGTCTCTTGAAGTCTTCCTATAATGTCATAGAATACAGTCCAAAGTTTTCTGCCTGCCACACAAGGCCTTACTACATGAAACTGACTTCCCCAGCAGAAAGCTCTTCCTGAGGCCTTTACACAGTTTTCCTTTCTGGGGCTCGTGCTCCCCAAATCTCCCATGCACATTCATTCCTGCAACTTCGTGCATGTTGTGCTCTCCACTTTCTCTTCATTTCCCTTCTATATGATCCATATCTTCCACCCTGGCCTATTGGGCGCTGTGTCACACAGAGGCCTGTCCCTTCCCTTGGTGCATTCAAATATTAACTCATTGACTTTTTTCTCTGCTGACCCAGAGCTCTGTCTCCTTTGAGCCATAGGACTAATGACAAATCCAAGTTGGCACAGTTATTACCAGTGAGACGGTAGCTCTGCCCGTGTGGTGGAGAGAACCTGTTGGCTACATCAGAGAACACCTCCTTTAGTGCAAACTCTGGCTGCTTTTTTCAATTCATTCAAGATACTGCATACTAATATGTTGTATTTAATACTAGGAATAAACCTTCCCATTAAAACACTTCTTCCCCATCTACAAAGTGCTCCCATGTATATGCTTCCAACTTTTTACCCTCATCAGGTAAATAAGAAGTGTATACACTCTGATCCCCATTTTAAAGATGAAGAAAATAGGCTGGGCACGGTGGCTCATGCCTGTAATCCCAGCAATTTGGGAAGCCAAGGCGGGTGGATCACTTGGGGCCAGGAGTTGGAGACCAGCCTGGCCAACGTGGTGAAACCCCGACTCTACTGAAAATATAAAAAATTAGTCAGGCGTGGTGGTGGCCCATGCCTGTAGTTCCAGCTACTCGGGAGGCTGAGGCATGAGAATCACTTGAACCTAGGAGGCAGGGGTTGCGGTGAGCCGAGATCGCGCCATCGCACTCCAGCCTGGGTGACAAAGTGAGACTCCATCTTAAAATAAATAAATAAATATAAATAAATAATAAAGATGAAGAAAATAAGACTTCACAGGGATACATGGCACGTCTATGAGCAAACTGTGCTGGTAAGCTAAGAAACAGGGATTTCTTTTTTTTTTTTTTTTTTTTTAATTTATTTTTTTATTGATAATTCTTGGGTGTTTCTCACAGAGGGGGATTTGGCAGGGTCATGGGACAATAGTGGAGGGAAGGTCAGCAGATAAACAAGTGAACAAAGGTCTCTGGTTTTCCTAGGCAGAGGACCCTGCGGCCTTCCGCAGTGTTTGTGTCCCTGATTACTTGAGATTAGGGATTGGTGATGACTCTTAACGAGCATGCTGCCTTCAAGCATCTGAGAAACAGGGATTTCAGTTTAAGGTTTTTTGTCCCTGAATTCTTTATTCTTTCACCTTAAGCACACTCCAGTGCTGGAGCGTAGCATTCACTTGGAGAAGGGGTGGGTGGCAGGGATAACCTCACTGATGAGACTGAAGGGACTCTGAGCTTGGGCTGGGACTCAGGGGCTGAGCTGAGCTTGAATGTTCACTCTGCCACAAGTGTCAGCCGTCTCTGCTTTGCAGGTGGCAGCCCTCAGCTAGAAAGCAAGAGCATCTGGGAAGTCCAAGGCAAGTGAAAACCTTGAAACAAGAAGTAACGAGTCTGCTCTGCCCAGTTTGAGGCAGTTTGTCAGGGGATGGCACCTGCCACTGAGGTCACAAAGCCACAGGTGAAACCATAGAAATAAACAAATGACTGGCCCGGCACGGTGGCTCACACCTGTAATCCCAGCACTTTGGGAGGCCAAGGCGGGCAGATCACGAGGTCAGGAGATCGAGACCATCCTGGCTAACATGGTGAAACCTCATCTCTACTAAAAATACAGAAAAATTGGCCAGGCATGGTGGCGGGCGCCTGTGGTCCCAGCTACTCGGGAGGCTGAGGCAGGAGAATGGCGTGAACCCAGGAGGTGGACCTTGCAGTGAGCCAAGACCGTGCCACTGCACTCCAGCCTGGGCGACAGAGCAAGATCCCATTTCAAAAAAAAAAAAAAAAAGAAATAAACAAATGACCATACCAGAAAAAAAAAAAACCTGCACTTGAAAGTAGAGCTATCTTGGCCGGGCGCAGTGGCTCATGCCTGTAATCCCAGCACTTTGGGAGGCTGAGGCGGGGGTATCGCATGAGGTCAGGAGTTTGAGACCAGCCTGGCCAACATGGTGAAACCCCCGTCTCTACTAAAAATACAAAAATTAGCCGAGTGTGGTGGTGGACACCTGTAATCCCAGCTACTCGGGAGGCTAAGGCAGAAGAATCACTTGAACCCAGGAGGCAGAGGTTGCAGTGAGCCGAGATCACGCCATTGCACTGCAGCCTGGGCAACAAGAACGAAACTCTGTCTCAAAACAAAACAACAACAACAACAAAAAGTAGAGCTGTCTCAACAACCAGCTGGGGAAGAAACCATAGACAATCCAAAAAAGACAGAGCAGTGTGCCAAGGCATAGGCCAGGACTTCCCAGAGCTAGAGCCAGGGCTGGAGAGACTTCTAGGAGGCCAGTGACGTTTGGCCTGCAGCCCAAGGGGGAGTCTTTGGGAACCAGAGAGGCCAGCACCACCTCATTTAGCCACAAGGACAGGAATCACAAGGGCTCGGCCAGCTGCAGACAGAAATGCTGGTGCCCTGGGGGACTCTTAGGAAACAGTCCTGGTAGCAGTGCCAGCTTGGCTTTTCTGCCAGCTGAAGTCAACATAGCTTGATTTAGGAGCCAACCTGGAGTCAGTCGGGGCAGCTGATTCCCCAGAAAGACGACTGAACTGACAAGAACATTTTAGAAGCAGCCCAGGCAACAGGAGCACTGGTCCATTCACATCTGATTGAAGACCAAACTCAATTAAGACTCAATATGTTTTTAAGACATTTTTTATGACTATGGCTTCCCAACTGGCTATTAATTTTGCTATCACCTGTTTCCCTCTAGTCAACACAAGCCAAACCTCTTAAAAAGCCAAAAATATGTGAATTCCAAAAGGTCACGAGGTGGGAAAGACACAGAGAGCCTTGTGTTCTTCCTGGACGGCCCAGGAAAGAGGCGCCCAAGGAAAGGAGAAGCTGATGCACCTGGGAAGGCAGATGGATTCTTGGGTCCTAAAGGGACAAAGGAAACGTAGGAGCAGGGGATTCATGCAGAAACCCTATCAAAGACCAACCGCTCTAGTGACCTCGGAGCTCAAGGACAAGCAGCCCGCAAGCTGTGCTGTTTTCCAGAAAGAATCCTTTCAGCTTCCTGCCTCCCCTTCCCTGCCCCACTCCTGTCCGCCCCCCAAATCCTGCTGACCCAACCACCATCCAATTTCATTTGCCCTTAGCCCCGGGAAAAACTGGCTTATGGTAAAAGCATTATCTTGTTTTTTCCAATTGGAAGACATAAAAACAGTCCTAACCAAAAACTCTGGTCATTAACACTCACAGAGTGCCCTGGGGGGCCTGGGGAGAAATCCCCGCATTGACTGGGGCTGGAGTCACGGTGTCTAGGTGTAATTGCCACAAATCTGCCCAATCACGCTCCTGGCCTATATCCAATTAACCCTCTTCAAGTTCAGTCCCGGAACCCACTGAACTTGGACAAGAACATAAAAAGGATTTTGATGGTCCACAAAGTAGATAATTCATGTACTTTAATTCATCTACTATATTTTCTACTATATTCATCTACTATAATTCATCTGTTTCCACAATGCCATTTTCCACTCAGGATTAAACTCCATGTCTTCTCTGCCAAGCACTTTGACAGCCTTCTGATAAGCTTGTCATACCACACATGGTCACTTTTCAGTAGCATGGAGGCAACAGGTACTGGATAATTCAGGATATCGAGCAGAAGAAAACAGAAGTTGACTAATCCACAAACCATTTATTTTTAGTTTGAGAATTTTAATGAAACACACACACACGTATGTCCAATCACACTCCTGGCCTATATCCAATTAACTCTCTTCAAGTTCAGTTCTGGGACCCACTGAACTTGAAGGGACAAGGGTGAGGACAAGGACATAAAAATGGACAAGAACATAAAAAGGATGTTGATGCTCCATAAAGTAAATAATTCATTCACTCAGAAAACACTTTTTGAATGGCAATCTGTACACAGAAAACAGATGAGAGGCAAGCTTTGGGTGAGCCAGGTGTCCAGTGAGAAGGTAGCAGAACAAATTTACCTAAGACCCAGCCCTGCCCTCCAGAACCTCAGTGTGTGTTTAGGAACAGGACTTAAAGTATAAAGATAGTTGTGAATAACCAGTTCACATCATAGGGGAAGGGTCAACTAACAGGTATTTGAGTACCTAGTATATGGATTTTTTGCACACTATCTCACTTAAAAGTCAGTATTTGAAGAAAATAATATTCTTCTCTCTCTTTTTTATCAAACTCAATTCTTTTATCTTCAATTCCTTTAAATCATGAATATGGCCGACCACAGTGGTGCATGCCTGTAATCTCAACAATTTGGGAGGCCGAGGTGGGTGGATCATCTGAAGTCGGGAGTTGGAGACCAGCCTAGACAACATGGCAAAACCCCACCTCTATTAAAAATAGAAAATTAGCCAGGTATGGTGGCTCACACCTGTAATCCCAGCTACTCTGGAGGCTGAGGCAGGAGAATTGCTTGAACCCAGGAGATGGAGGTTGCAGTGAGCCCAGATCATGCCACTGCACTCTCGCCTGGGTGACAAAAGCAAAACTCCATCTCAAAAAAAAAAAAAGAAGATAAGGGTTCATGAAGATTTTCCCATGATCAGCAAATTAAAAAAAAATATATAGAAGTGTCTTATTTCTTTGCAATCAAATACCCCAATCTGCCCTAACTCCAAGGGCTGGTCACCATAACTATAACCCATCTACAATGCAGTGCATGTTCTTTGTCATCTACACAGCCTCTGCTACAACAAGCTCCTAGAAACACTTTTCCAAACTCATGGCTAGGAAGGCCATTGTGTCTGTGATTGTCTGAATATTCTGTTAACTCCGCTGTGTATTACGGTGTGCATTAAGCATTAAAGTGATTGTTCTCACTGAGCTCAGACTCAGAGTTGGGGGGAAATTACAGGAGCACAAAGGACTAGCCCCAAAAGAACCTCCACTTCAATCACCAAGCCATACCTGGAACTACCCATTTGCAGACTTGAAATTTGAAAATAACCCACCCGTATACACACTCTACATGTTGAGAGATACTTGTTCTTATCACTCAGAATGCTCCCATTCTCCTGGAATTTTTTGCCCATTACTCACATTGGGGAGTATGAAGAGGAGGGGAAAAAAAAAAAAAAACAAAACAGCCTTTCACTGTTTCCTTATCTAGGATACTGTTCATCCTATAAATCAAAAAAGGGATTTGCATCAAATTCTTTATGACCATTTTCTTCTCAGATTGATTTTAGTGAGAAGGTAATTGTGATGGTTAATTTTAGGTGTCAGTTTGACTGGATTAAAGACTACCTAGGAACCCGGTAAAGCATTATTTTTGGGCGTGTCTGTGAAGATGTTGCCAGAAGAGATCAGCATGTGAGTCTGAGTGGACTAGGTGCGGAAGATCCGCCCTCATTGTGAGTGGGCACCATCCATTCTGCTGGGGGCCTGGAAAACAAAAACTGAGAAAAGGTGAATATGTGAATGGAACTGCCAGAGTTGGATTATATTCTTCCTCTCTCTGTCCCTCAGTGGCTCTCTGAGTTCTAGGCCTTTGGCCTCAAACCGAGAGTTACAACATCAGCTTCTCTGGTTCTGAGGCCTGCAGACTTGGACTGAGCCACGCTACCAGCATCCCAGGGTCTCCGGTGTGTTGTGGGACTTCTCAGCCTCCATAATCATGTAAGCCAATTCCCCTAATCCCCTCCCCTCTCCTCTCTCTCTCTCTCAGAACTCCAACTAGGTTCTGTGTAGCATACATACGCACTTATCGTGGAGTCATGCATAAAGTGGTACTCATCTATTTAAAATATGTGGCAGCCAGGCATGGTGGCTTACGCCTGTAATCCCAACATTTTGGGAGGCCGAGGCAGGAGGATTCCTTGAGCCCAGGAGTTCAAGACCACCTTGGATAACATAGCAGGACCCTGTCTCTACAAAAAAGTGGAGAAATTAGCCAGGTGCGGTGGTGCATGCCTGTAGTCTCAGCTACTCAGAAGCTGAGGTAGGAGGATCACTTGAGCCCAGGAGGTCGTGGCTGCAGTAAGCGTGATTGCACCAGCGCACTCCAGCCCAGGCGATAGAGTGAGACCCCATCTCAAAAAACAAATACATAAAATAAAATATGTGGAAAATAGAGCACGGAGCACAGTGGAGCAATAGCACCAGAGCCAGGCTCATAAGGCTGGGTCCAGCACTGACTCTGTCATGGACTCCGTAGAACACAGAGCAAGTTGCCCCATTGTTCTGAACTTCAGTTTGCTTATCTGTAAAATGAACAGAGTGTGCTAGACAATCACATAGGCCCTGTCTAGCCTTAAAAGTCCCATGACGCTAAGCTAAGAAATCTTCCATTAAGCCTGTTTGAAGGCTAAGTGGAAGACACAAAGATTGAGAAAGAAGGGAGTTGCTGGCTATTCTAAAACACGTGAACTAAACCACGAGGGTAGGCTGACGCTGGCTGGACAGTGGGGAAAGAATAGCAGTCTAAGAACAAACGTGGTTTAGAGGCAGCTAACAGAGACACAGAAATGTGGCTTCCTGGTTCACTTCCTGTATGCTCATTTGATAAGTGTGTCCTTTAACTGTTACTCTCTTTCCAGGTTATCATTTTATAACAATCTCTAATTTTATTAATAAAATCATGAGCCGATACTTCACAGCAGGAAGGGATTCGAGGGATAAACTGTTCTAATTCTTTCTTTCTTTCTTTCTTTTTTTCTCAGAAAGGGTCTCTCTCTGTCACCCAGGTTAGAGTGCAGTGGTGCCATCACAGCTCACTGCAGCCTTGACCTCCTGGGCTTAAGCAATCCTCCCATCTCAGCCTCCCGAGTACCTGGGACCACAGGCATGAGGCATGTGCCACCACACCTAGTTCTTTCTTTCTTTTCTTTTTCTTTTTTTTTTTTTTTTTTGAGACAGAGTCTCCCTCTGTCGCCCAGGCTGGAGTACAGTGGCGCCATCTCAGCTCACAGCAACCTCTGCCTCCCAGGTTCAAGTGATTCTCCTGCCTCAGCCTCCACAGTAGCTGGGACTACAGGTGTGCACCACCACACCTGGCTAATTTTTGTATATTTAGTAGAGACGGAGTTTCATCATTTTGACCAGTCTGGTCTCAAACTCCTGACCTCAAGTGATCTGCCTGACTCAGCCTCCCAAAGTGCTGGAATTATAGGCGTGAGTCATTGCGCCTGGCCACACCTGGTTATTTTCTGTATTTTCTGTAGAGACGAGGTCTCATGACATTGCCCAGGCTGGTCTCAAATTCAGGGGCTCAAGTGATCTGCCTGCCTCAGCCTCCCAAAGTGCTGGGATTATAGGCATGCGCCACCACACTTGGCCCCAATTTTTTCTTTTTCAAACAGGAAACCAACAGCCCAAAGAAGGTAAATGACAAGTGTAAAGTCACAGAGGTATTTAGTAGCACTGCAAAGAATAAAACTCGAGTTTGCTGACTCTCGGGGCTCTTTCCACAACACCAATGCTGCCCTTAGAGAACAAGAATGTCAAACTCCTGGTGGGCAGAGAAGGCATCTGAAACTTTTTTCTTAACCCTCTGGTGCTTCTGCTGACAAGAAGGATAACTGTTAACAGTTGCTCATTCTATAAAATGGATATGCCATTGTTGAGTGTGTTGTTCTTTTTTGTTTTGTTTTGTTTTTGAGACAGTCTCTCTCTGTCGCCCAGGCTGGAGTACAGTGGTGCAATCTTGGCTCACTGCAACCTCCCTCCACCTCCCTGGTTCAAGCGATTCTCGTGCCTCAGGCTTCCGAGTAGCTGGGATTACAGGTGTGTGCCACCACACCCAGCTAATTTTTTGTATTTTTAGTAGAGACAGGATTTCACCATGTTGGTCAGGCTGGTCTCGAACTCCTGACCTCAAATGATCCGCCCACCTTGGCCTCCCAAAGTGCTGGGACTACAGGAGCGAGCCACCCCACCCGGCCTGGTTGAGTGTTTTCTATATGCCAGGCTGTTTTCTAACCACTGGGAACACAGTAATAAACAGATGGGGCAAAGGTCCCTGCTCTCAAGGACCTCAAATTCTTATGGTTTAGCAGAAGGGATGCAGAAATGAGAGACAGATCATCAACAGAGAAAAATAAAAGAAGATGATAATTTCAGAAGTACAAAGTGTTATAAAGACAATAAAGCTGAAGAATGTAGCCTCAAAAAAGCTAAAAAATATGTTAAGGGCAGAGAGTAAGTGGCAGAGCCTGGACAGAATCCATGCAGATCACTCCAGAGTCCGTGGCTTTGCAAACTATGCCGTATTGCATGGTGAGCGCAGCAGTTCGATAGCAAGTAGAGGATGAATGATCAATTGAGTGGAATGCATATCATCAGAAGGGGTTCCAGTGTAATTTTAATTTTGAAGGGAATTCACAAGCAGATTCTTGTAAAATCTGGCCAGGCGCGGTGGCTCATGCCTGTAATCCTAGCACACTGGGAGGCCGAGGAAGGCAGATCACTTGAGCCCAGGAGTTCGAGACTCCTTACTATGTTGCTAGGACAACATAGTAAGACCCTCGTTTTTATAAAATAAAAAATAAAAATAAATTCTAGTGAAATCTGTTTTGATTTTAGTTCATCCTAAGGAATCTCTACCTAGTCATAATAGACACAAAGATTATAGTTTAATCAAATATTTTTCCCTCTCATCTCTATATGTTGGGCAAAAAATAGACTTAAATGTTCAATTTCCTACTTCCCTAAATATTAAGTAGGGCTCTTATACATCTTACATGAAGTACATATTCAAACAATACTTGTCATTGATGTTGATGGGGATAAAACATCACAAAACTAGTAAAAGACTAAGTGCTCATAAAACATCCTTCAGATATAACAAGTTAAAGCATTTCTTTAAACATAAGAATTACATGCACCTAGTCCCACAAATACAGCCTCACTAAAGATGGAATAAGCATTTTAGGGGACATGTAAAACCAGTCCTATTCCCACATATGTCTCCTATCTCTCAGAGGCAATCTTTAAATCTTACCTTGGTTCTTCTTTACAACCTCAGACTTTTCTAAGAAAAGTTCTCACTCTGTATCTTCTCAGTAGCATCAAGAGCATCTTCTCCCCTAATTATAACCCACTGTCACTCATTTCAAATTTGGAAGACACTGCTGCCCTCTATTCACTTAGGGCCCTCCGCAGAGCCTGGTGGCAGTACTGCTTAAGCTGACATCAAAGTTTCATGAAGCCATTTTATAGGAAATTCAGCACAAGGCAAGATATGCAGAACATCCCCATGGCTAGTTACTCATCCCCTGCCCTTAACCATGAGAAGGGCAGATCAGGTTCCAAAAGTGCACCAGGAAATACTAACAGACAATAGAGCCTGCGTTGGCTGATCACGGCACTAACCACTCTCTAAACCGCTGTCTTTTCCAGGTCTGCCAACCCCAAATGACTCAGCAAAGGTGCCTGGCAATGACGAAAAAACAACGCAAGCCCTGGGGCCTGTCCTTCAGATCAGATAAGCTTGGCCCCAAATGACACCCATATGAAAACACCTCCTTCTCTTAAATTTAAAGGGGAGAGGGACAAAGGAAGTAACCAGGAAGTGAGTATCTACAGGATGTCAGGAAATTGGAGAGATGCCTTATCTTATTTCATCTGCAAACCAGTCTTCAAGGTAGGTATTATCATGATGACCAATGTGTGTAAGAGGAAGCTGATGATGCAAAGCTGCCTGCGGAAAGAACGCTTGTCCCAGTCTGGAATTTTACTCCATGGAAGCAGGATTGAAATTATTACCAGGATAAAAGTCACACTCAGCTGCTGGGAAAGTATTTACCCTGGCCTTGCTAGAGGTGGGGATAGGTGAGGAACAGTGTTGGCATGGGCCATTATCAACGGGATTTTACAAAGATACAGAGCCTTGGAAGAAATAGAAACACATTTCTGTTTCTTAGCTGTCCCTGATCACCCTCGAATTCACAATCAGTAGCGACCTGGGACTTCAGATGCTCCATTGCTCAGCCCTCTTTGGGTTTACTTTGTCCTCCCCTATAATAAAACAGGCAAGATCCAGAAATCTCCCTGAGGTGCATAGGTTTGAGTCCAATTGCTGGTATTAAAACAAGTATCATATGCAACAGGCAAATTAAAATTTCTTTCTGAAATTTGAGTCAGTATTCCAGGACCAAAAAGTACTTAGCCTGCCCTAAGGAATATCCAGGTTTAAAAAATACATACCTATATATTGCCAGGCACGGTGGCTCATGTCTGTAATCCCAGCACTTTGGGAGGCTGGGGCAGGAGGATTACTTGAGGTCAGGAGTTCAAGACCAGCCTGCCCAACATGGCGAAACCCCGTCTCTACTAAAAATACAAAAATTAGCTGTGTGTGGTGGCGCGTGCCTGTAATTTCTGCTACTTGGGAGGCTGAGGCATGAGAATTGCTTGAACCCAGGAGGCAGAGGGTGCAGTGAGCCAGGATTGCACCACTGCACTCCAGCCTAGATGACAGAGTGAGATTGTCTTAAAATAAAAAGATATATATACTTGCATATACATATATACTTATATTTAATATATATTGATGTGTATTAGATATATACATATATTTATTAGAAAACGTTTATGTTTCTGCATGTATATATTCCACTGTATTTTTCAATTTAAGCTGGATTAGAGGTTTGGAGTTATTTGCACACTGACAATTGTTTCTTCCTAACCTTCTAAGGATACTGTTGAACTGATCAAGACCATGAATATGAGTCATTTCCAAACTAGCCACCCAAAAAGGCCTTAAACTAGTCATTAATTAAGGTAAAATGCTCTAGAACTCTAGATTCTCCATGGTTATGAGGAACAAGGTCAGAAAAATGCACTGAAAGTAACACAAAATTATCTAAATATTGAATTCTTTACTTCAGTGGTGCCTGTGAAACACAAGACCGAACTTTCACTTCCCTACCCCTTCTTTCCTGGAGAAATGAAAGGGAAGCCTGGTGGTTCTACATCTGGCAAAAAGGGAGAAGAGAAGCAAAAGGCCTGGTTAGAAGAGAAGCAAAAGGCCATGGCCAGAATTCCCTAGTGAGCAAAGCCCCAGACATCTTTGCCTATTCTGTGAAATGAATGAAGTAGACCTAATATTGAGAGTAAATAGCTTCTGTTTTCCAAAGCAAAATGTCTATCCAACTCCACTTATTAAGGAAGGTCTTTTTTTTTTGAGACAGAGTCTCACTCTGTCACCCAGGCTGGAGTGCAGTGGCACCATCTTGGCTCACCGCAACCTCCACCTCCCAGGTTCAAGCAATTGTGCTGCCTCAGACTCCCGAGTAGCTGAAATTACAGGTACCCATCACCACGCCTGGCTAATTTTTGTATTTTTAGTAGAGACAGGGTTTCACCATGTTGGCCAGGCTGGTCTCGAACTCCTGACCTCAGGCGATCCACCTGCCTCGGCCTCCCAAAGTGCTGGGACTACAGGCATAAGCCACCATGCCTGGCCAAGGAAGGTCTTCTACCAGAAAAAATGTCCTTCACAAGATCTGGCTAATTGCCAGGATTACCAAATGTAACAGTTACTGCTGTCCTCTTCTTAGATGCACTTGTCACATTTTTATTATATGTTTTTCCTTTAAGCTCTGTTGGACTTGACTGTCACATTTTAAATTTTTACATTTGTTCACAATTACTTGCACTGACTGCCTAACGGATGGTCAAAAAAATCTGCTGTCGGACTGGGTGCAGTGGCTCCCATCTGTAATCCCAACATTTTAGGAGGCCAAGGAAAGAGAATTTCTTGAGGCTGGGAGTTCAAGACTAACCCGGAAAACATAGTGAGACCCTGTCTCTATAAAAATCTAAAAAATTAACTGGGCATGGTGGCACGTGCCTGTGGTCCCGGCTACTCAGGAGGTTGAGACAAAAGGATCACTTGAGCCCAGGATTTAGAGGCTGCAGTGAGCTATGATCATGCCACTGTACTCCAGCCTGGGCGAGAGAACACCACCATACATACATATATATATATAATCTGCTGTCAAACAAATGAATGAATAATAAATAAACTAGACTACATCTTTCAAGAGAAGAAGCCAGCCACACCTCAGTGGCCAGCACATAGCAGCCAAGCAACAAGTGCTGGCTGGCGGGATTTGGACTCTCCTCTCTCTGGCAGCCTGACTGTGTAATGTGTCCCTCCAAATGGGAAGGGGAGCAGGGGAGGTAAAATCCAGTCAAAGCTGTTCACAGAAGCTGCTGCTTTCAAACAGTGGAGCACACCGAAACTGCTAGTTAAAATGTTTGGTCTTTATGTTTCATTTCCTGTGGATTTGAA
This sequence comes from Homo sapiens, assembly GCF_000001405.40. Lineage (NCBI taxonomy): Eukaryota > Metazoa > Chordata > Mammalia > Primates > Hominidae > Homo > Homo sapiens. Next base: position 123,451,532 of record NC_000011.10, on the reverse strand, counting down.
TTACCCACACTGTCAGCATGTATCCATAAGCCTCAGTATAATGTCAGATACAACACACGTATGGTACAACAAAGAAAGGGCCCTAAATTAAAAGTGACATGACACAACCTCTTTTTGAGTCTGGTTTCTAGCATTACTTAGCTGTATGGATGTGGGCATATTTCAGAATCCCCATTTCCTTAAGTGCCAGGTGGGTCTACTCATTACATCTGCCCCACAGGATGCAGGAACAAATGAGGTAATAGATTGTCATGCCATACGCTTGTCACTGGACATCCTGGTGTGTGCCAGTGCTACAGCAATCACAAAGAATAATTATACCCTGTCCCTTCCGTGGGAGAGCCCATGGCCTGGTAAATTGTTTTGAAAAGGTAAAGTGCTACTCAAATTAAGAGATTGTGATAAATTGCTATTGTCTGCATCATTTTCATTTGTGTCCTTGTGAGTGCCATTCTCTGCCACCCTGATGGGACGCTCCCAACAGCAGGTATCAGTACCCCCTCTTTCCTCTCTACCTTCCTTCTTGGAGCCCAGTTTAAGGTACCGCACTCTGTGGTAGCTTAATAAATGGCATTCCCTGCCTGTTTTCCAGGCTTTCATTACACTGGATAATAAAGGGCCATTTCTGGCAGCTCTTTGGCTCTTGGCTTCTGTTAGTGCCAAGAGACTCCCACAAACACCAGAAGAGCAACAGCTTTGACATCTGACAGCTGCAGAGAGACCCAGCTTAATCCTGTCATCTCCCAAGGTCTTAGATGATGTCAGAGCACCAAATGCATCTGCATTCCAAAGTGCCCACACAAATCCAATGAAGTCCCACTATCAGTGGGAAGAGAGTCAGCTTCCCACATTTAGCCACCAGCTCCTCCCCGCTCCCATATCGCTCTTCAAAGCAGTATGGAAGACACTTCTTTTACAACTCTTGATTTCCAAATTTTAGAAAACAAACTAATTCCCTTTCAGTGATGTGGCCAAATAATTCGCTTTTAAACAAATAGGGACCAATATTGCACTGATAATTTGCTGACAGTCTCTCTACCCCACTAGAGAAGCCCCTGTAGGGCAGACTCTATTTTGTTCACTATTATTCCTGGTGTTAGGAACGGTATCTGGCATGTAGTGTATGTTCAATAAATGTTTGTTGGATTAGTTAGTTGGGGAAAAAAGGTGGAAGGATGCATATATTCCAAAATCCTCTTCCCCTGCAGGAGGAACAACTGTTGCCCTGACCTGGAATCAGAAGACGAGAAAAAGTATTGCATTACCATGGCAACCACAGCTCCAAAAATAAATGCTCTTCAAAACTGTTATGGGTCTTTGGTGGGGAAAAAAACCTAACTGCTGTTTGCAGACTATACCAGGGCCCTGGGTCCACCATCAAACAAAATATTGTTCCCAATGTGCTTGTGCTCTCTGGAACCTCATTTTGGGAAAGACTGATCACTCTCCACCTAACTATGCCAAGTTTGGCTCCCCTGAATAGAGACTACCTTTAGAACGGCAGTCTCTGGTTCAGGTGTGGTGACTCATGCCTGTAATCCCAACACATTGGGAGGCTGAGGCAGAAGGATCCCTTGAGCCTAGGAGTTCAAGACCAGCCTGGGCAACATAGCAGGATCCTGTCTCTACAAAAAGTAGAAAAATCTAGCCGAGCATAGTGGCACATGCCTGTAAACCCCAGCTACTCAGGAGGCTGAGGCAGGAGGATCACTTGAGCTTGGGAAGTTGAGGCTTCAGTGAGCCATGATTGTGCTACTGTGTTCCAACCTGAGTGCTGGGTGACAGAGTTAGACCCTGTCTCAAAAAAAAAAAAAAAAAGCCAGGCATGGTGGCATGCATCTGCAGACCCAGCTATTCAAGAGATCAGGATGTCAAGGCTGCAGTGAGTCAATATCTCACCAGCAATCTCCACCCTGGGTGATATATGAAAAAATAAAAATAAAAAGCAGTGTCTGCTCTCTGGGCACTTACTAAAGACTCAGAACCCAGTTAAAACCAGAACAGAAACCAACAGGTTAAAGACAGACAAACAAGCCAATACATAATAGTACAGATTTACATAAATGGCATATGAAGGGGTAATTATTCAGCTTCAAGAGGACTCCTTGCTTTGCAAAATGATTTATCGTAGAATTCCATGAAAATCGAATTTCCTTAGAGGCTTTCATCATTTGATTATTCATTCATTCCCTAAACACATGCTTACTGAGCTCCTACCATGTTCCATGCAAAGAGCTTAGCAGGCACTGAATAAAACAAACACTGAATAAAATAAACTCTGCCTTCAGTGTGTAGGATCTAATAAACGATACAATGCGAGCACGTTATCACACTCCAGTGCAGGATGCTTCAGAAACACAGACATAATGAAGACCTCAGTCAAGAACCATTCCCTAGAGGAAAGGCTAACTAAACAAACGAAAAGGCCTTACGGTGGCAAAGTAGGTCAGTGTTATGAAAAAGGAATTCTGTCTGACGGAACAACGTTGATGAAACCTGGAAATAAGAGAGCATCCCATTCATGGAACTAAAAGGTCAGACTGGCTGGAGGCAGAGCACACAAGAGCAGCAGGTGGATGAAGCAGGAGGGGAACAGAAGTGAGGTTATGAAGACCTTTCTGGCTGCAGAGAGAAGAAGCACAGGAGAGGGGCTGTGATGGAGTCAGGATGCTTGTGTAATACACGTGAGAGCCGGCTATGGTGATGGAGCTGAGAAGGCAGGCTTGAGGAACATTTGCTTGGAGGGAGAGAAGCCTCGTGAAAACAAAAAGTACCAAGCCCCAATGTAAGTAACAGAATGGAGGGAACTGGTTTGAAGGGAAAAATAATGAGTTCAATTACAAAAAGACAAGCTGAGTTTTGAAGAACATCGCAGTGGAACTGCCCATTAGTCAGGTGGAGGTATAAGCCTAAGGCCCAGGAAAAATATGAGGTCTCAGACAGGAATAATTAAAGCCAAGAGAATGGATGAAATCGCCCCAGGACAGTATATGGATTTAGAAGTAGAAAGTGGAGGCTGGGCATGCTGGCTCATGCCTGTAATCCCAGCACTTGGGAGGCCAAGGCGGGCGAATTGCTTGAGACCAAGCGTATGAGACCAGCCCGGCCAATATGGCGAAACCCCGTCTCTACCAAAAATACAAAAGTTAGCTGGGTGTGGTGGCACACACGAGAATCGCTTGAACCCAGGAGGCAAAGGTTGCAGTGAGCCGAGATTGGGCCACTGCACTCCAGCCTGGGCAACAGAGCAAGACTGCCTCAAAAAAAAATAATAAAAAAATAGTACAAGGGGGAGGGTGAGAAAGAGAGTGAGCGAGAGAAAGGGTAAAAGGAGGAAAAGGAGGAGAAATAAGAAGAAACCTGGGGCCAGGCTCTGTGGACCACACCTGGAAGCCCAATACTTTGGGAGGCCAAGGCAAGAGGATTGCTTGAGTCCAGCAGTTTGAGACCAGCCTAGGCAACATAGCAAGACCCTGTCTCTCTCTCTCTCTTTTTTTTTAAATACATATATAAAAGAAGAAACCTGGAGTCGGAATCTTAAGCAGGCCAACACTGAAGGGACATACAGATGAGAGCAGCCCTTAAACTATAAACACTAGGTTAAGATAACTATTGTGGGAGGTTAAAAAAAACAAACTAGGTTTACAGGCAGTTTTTCAGCACCCATCAATAGATCAGAAAAGCAACATCTCATAAATAACCAAAGAAGGAATAAATCACTCTTCCAGCCTCCACTAACCAGAGAAGCAGACTTGGAGGCCTCATAGATAGGCACAAATGTCTTTGCTTTTGTAAACTAATATATGCATTAGCATAACTCTTCAGACACATGTGCTTAATTTTGTCTAACAAGATGAAACAGAAATGTACACTCTCCATTTTATAATCTCACTGAGGCCCAGAGAGAGTGAGTAATCTGCCCAGGACCACACAGCGAGAAAATTAGCAGAACCAGAGCCTCCAACCCATGCTGCCTCAGCCTGTCTCTAGGACTGGTGCTGGGGCAGTCGTCCTAGGAAAAACTGTCACCCTGTCCCCACAGATGGAGGGGCCCAGCCTGAGCGTCATGACTCACTGCCTGAAGATACGGCTCCTTCCTGGATGAATATGGGCTCCCTGAGAAACACAGTAAACTGAACCCTTGTTCTGGTTGCCGGAGACCTGTATTCTAGATCCACCTCTGTCACTGACCAGCTTCATGGCCCTAGACTTCTCAGTTTTTCTGAAGGTGGAAATAATTTCACAAATCCCATCTACCAGGATGACTGGATTCTCTGAGAGACCCGTCTGTCTGACAGAAACAGGTGCTGACAGGTGGCAGCTGAGTGTGAGTGAAATAGGTGAAGATTTGGTAAAATCAAGGCCCTAAGCCCCTCTTCTCCTCTCCCACCCAGCAGATCCTGTCCTCAGATCAATTTTTTTTTCATGCTTTAGTCTGAATGCCATATGCCACTGAAATTAACTTTTACATAGTGATCTCCCACACACTCAATTGGGAGCTCCCCAATGGAAGGGACATCTGTAACCATCTTTTCTTGCCTTTCCTGCCTTTCTTGCCTCTCTTTCTCTTTCTCTCTTTCTCCCTTTCTTTTTCTTTCTTTCCTTTCTTTTCTTTTCTTTCTTTCTTCCGAGACAGGGTCTTACTCTGTCACCCAGGCTGGTCTCAAACTCCTGGGCTCAAGTTATCCTCCCACCTCAGCCTCCCAAGTAGCTGGGACTACACGCACACACCGCCATGCCCAGCTTGCATCCATTTTTGTATCCCAAGCACACAGCAACAGTGCCAGGTTCCCAGTAAGCGCACAATAAGTGTCTGATGAATCGTGAGAATTACCTCTCCTGAGTTATCTGCATTTTCAGTCGCATCTCTCTGGCAGTGAAGCAAAAGGCATTTTAAGAAGCAATCCAAGCATGGAGAAGGCACTTCAGAGAGAGAGAAATTTTCAGTGTTCTGAGAACTTTCTGAATGGGCAGGCGACTGTCCTCTCTGTTAACCTCTAAGACAGCCCTGCCTTCAAACATACATGGCTGACAATGGCTGAAAACTCCTCCAAGAAGTCTGCAGAGGGCTGGGCGTGGTGGCTCATGCCTCTAATCCCAGCAGTTTGGGAGGGCAAGGCGGGTGGATCACTCGAGGTCAGGAGTTCGAGATTAGCCTGGCCAACATGGTGAAACCCCATCTCTACTAAAAACACAAATATTAGCCGGGCGTGGTGGCACACACCTGTAATCCCAGCTACTCGGGAGGCTGAGGCGGGAGAATCTCTTGAACCTGGGAGGTGGAGGGTGTAGTGAGCCGAGATCATGCCACTGCACTCAAGTCTGGGCGACAAAGAGAGACTCCATCTAAAAAAAATAATAATAAAAGAAGTCTGCAGAGGCTCACAGACCCTACTAGAGAACCAGTGAGGTCCAAGTACAAAGCCTGGACCTTCCTCGGAATCTGGAAGCAACAGGCCAAGCTGAGCAACAGTGAGTCTTGGGAGAAATACTCTCAAAAACAAAGATCCACTAGGTATTCTTCCATCTTCACAAAACAAGAGAACATGAGTGTGGATTGTACTGTGGGGGATTTCAGTTAGATCTTAGGTAGAACTTTCCCAATAGTATGTCTTGAAAACATAAAAAGATATAACCAAGAAAGACAGTGCAACCAATCCTCTTTCCTGGGGTTGTTTTTGTTTGTTTGTCTTGTTTTTTTTTTTTTTTTTTTTGGAGACAAGTGTCACTCTGTTCCCCAGGCTGAAGTGCACTGGCACCATCTCAGCTCACTGCAACCTCTGCCTCCCAGGTTCAAGCAATTCAAATCCACCTCAGCCTCCCGAGTAGCTGAGACTACAGGCGCGTGCCACCATGCCTGTCTAATTTTTGTATTTTGTGGTAGAGAGGGGGTTTCACCATGTTGGCCAGGCTGGTCTCAAACTCCTGACCTCAAGTGACCTGCCCACCTTGGCCTCCCAAAGTTCTGGGATTACAAGGGTAAGCCACTGCGCCAGGCCCCAGAGTCTTTTTTTTAAAGTGATATTTTCTGATCAGGAAGATGTGGTTCATCGTAGACACTGGTGGAGAAAACACATGTTGTCACCTAAGTTAAGGGCAAACTCTTCCAGGAGAAGCTCCACCCTGTACAGAATGACCTTTACGGTTGCCATTCCATCCAACCCTGAAAATCAACAAAAAGGTCAAAAAGAGCTCCAAAGTGTAATGATCCAGCCAGAACACGAATGCTCTCTAGATTAAGGCAGATTGCTCTGAGGGGTCAGCCTGGCACTCACTGACATTCCTGCGGGCAAAAGAACACGACAAGGTTAAGTGGCAGAAATACCTGACAACACTCTTCCCACTTTGGAGAAGCATCTCAGCCTGATCCTTCTCTAGAAATAGTGCTTCAGAAATGTACCTTCCTCCTTATTTCACAGACTTCCTGTAGTATGAGATGAAATATATTTGGTCCTTTCCTGGTTCTTGTCCCAGAACTCCTAAAACCCTTGGACTTTCCTGAGTGACAGAAGTGTCTCTTGTTATTTGTAATGAGCCCCATAGATAATACCTGAGTTTATGCTAAGAAAATGACTTAGGATACAGCCCCTGGGGAGCCTCAAGATGGGGAGGAAGGACCAAGAAAGACCAAGTGACTAGAGGATTAGAAGGTTGGATCTCTCAGCTCCACCTACAAACTTCCAGGAAAAGAGAGAGGGAGGTGTGGCTGAAGATCAAGCTCTATGAAAACTCTTGGACATGGAGCTTTGCTGAGCTTCTGGGTTGCTGAACTCGTGCAGGTGCTGGGAGGGTGGTGTGTCCAGGGTGAACACGGGAGATCCATGCCCCATCTAACCCCCTGCAATACCTTGCCCTGTGTAAACCAAGCTAAAATTCTAAAACCCCCAGCTGACTGAATGGACACCACTTTAGGAGACCCAAGGGGACCCAAAGAAAAAAAAAACTAATTCGGGCCATGGAAAGACGTGGGGGCTCAAACATGCCTCATTATACTCTCCTCCTTGTGGAGCTCAGGCACAACTGACCAGCTTTAACATGAAAACAGAATTTTTTTTTTTTGAGGCCCAAGCTAGAGTGCAGTGGTGCAGTCACAACTCACTGCAGCCTTAACCTCCCAGGCTCAAGTGATCCTCCCACCTCAGCCACCCAAAGTGCTGCGATTATAGGTGTGAGCCACCATGCCTGGCCAAAACAGAAATCTTAAGAGTGGCAAAACAGACTATGTTGCAATAAGACAACAAATTCCAACCTGACTCTAGCATAATATTACGATAAAGAAGGAAGTTGAAATATTTTACTTCAAAATATGTTTCTTTGTTATATTTTGAAATGGCCCTGCAAAGCCATCTTTTGTGGGGAAAATTTGCATCTGTAAAGAATCTCTATTAACATAACTAGACTTTTCCCCTTCCAGACCTTCCTAATCCTGAAGAGATTAACTGAAAGTCTAGCACCTTTTAAAGGTCTGAATACAAAATACTGGCCATCCATTGTCTCTAAGGGCAGCCATGTGGGAGACTTCATCTACATAATAAGAACTTTGGTCTCCACAACCCCTTATCTTAACCCAGACACTCTTTTCTACTGATTCCAGATTTTAGATAATAACTTAACTCTTTTCTGACTTGCCAATCAGAAAATCTTTGAATCTGGGCCAGGTGCAGTGGCTCACGCCTGTAATCCCAGCACTTTGGGAGGCCAAGGCGGGTGGATCACAAGGTCAGGAGTTCAAGACCAGCCTGATCAATATGGTGAAACCCGATCTCTACTAAAAATACAAAAATTAGCTGGGTGTGGTGGCGCACACCTGTAGCCCCAGCTACTCAGGAGGCTGAGGCAGAAGAATGCTTGAACCTGGGAGGGGATCAACCTCTTGAATCCCAGAGGTTGCAGTGAGTGAGATCGTGCCACTGCACTCCAGCCTAGGTGACAGAGCAAGACTCCATCTCAAAAAAAAAAAAGAGAAAAAAGAAAATCTTTGAATCCACCAATGACCTGTAACACTAGCCCCCAGCTTCGAACTGTTCAACCTTTCTGGACCAAACCAATATATACCTCACATGTATTGATTATTGTCTTACATCACCCTAAAATGTGTAAAACCAAGCTGTAACCCAACCACCTTGCACACATGTTCTCAGAACCTCTTGATGCCTTGGACTGTGCCTTGGGCCATAGTCACTTGTATTTGGCTCAGAATAAACCTCTTTAAATATTTTACAGAGTTTGACTTTTTTCATCTACACCTATGTACCTCTGCATCTCATTATTGATCTGTATCCTTAATATCTTTTATTATTAGCCTATAAACATAAGTGTTTCTCTGAATTCTGTGAGCAGCTCTGTCAGAGGCGTTTAAATCAGAGCAACTCCATCTTGAATAGCGCCTTGGTAAAATAAGGCTAAGACCCGCTGGACTACATTCGCAGTAAGTTAAGGCATTCTTAGTCACAGGATAAGATAGGAGGTTGGCACAAGATACAGGTCATAAAGACCTTGCTGATAAAACAGACTGCAGTAAAAAAGCCGGCTAAAACCCACCAAAACCAAGATGGCAATGAGAATGACCTCTAGTCATCCTCACTGCTACACTCCCACCAGCGCCATGACCATTTACAAATGCCATGGCAATGTCAGGAACTCACCCTATATAGTCTAAAAGGGGTGGGGGGGGGCATAAATAATCCACCCCTTGTTTAGCATATGCTCAAGAAATAACCAGAAAAAGAGTAGCCATTATTTTATTCCTTTACTTTTTTTTTCTGAGATGGTATCTCGCTTTGTCACCAAGCTGGAGTGCAGTGGTGCGATCTCGGCTCACTGCAACCTCCACCTCCCAGGTTCAAGCAATTCTCCCACCTCAACTTCCTGAGTAGCTGAGACTACAGGTGCCTGCCACCACACTTGGCTAATTTTTGTATTTTTAGTAGAGACGGGGTTTTGCCATGTTGGCCAGACTGGTCTTGAACTCTGGACCTCAAGTGATCCTCCCACCTTGGCCTCCCAAAGTGCTGGGATTATAGGCATGAGCCACCGCGCCCAGCCTTCCTTTACTTTCTTAATAAACTTGCTTTCACTTTGCATTGTGTACTCGCCCTGAATTCTTTCCTGTGCAAGATCCAAGAACACTCTCTTTGGGTCTGGAATGGGACCCCTTTCTGGTAACAGCTCTAGTAAATTAATCGAACCCTAAAAGGGAGTCGGGAACTCTGGTTTATAGTTGGTTGGTCAGAAGTATAGATCTCAGATGCAACATGCAGATAGAGAAAAAATAAAAAAAGAAAAAGTACAGGTAGCTCTAACTTGTGATTGGCATCTGAAGTGGGGGCAATCTTAGAGGACTGAGCCCTGAACCTGTGGAATCTGACACCATCTCCAGGCAGAAGGTGCCAGAATTAAATTGAATTATAAGACACCCAGTTTGTGTCCACTGGAGAACTTCTTGGTGTGTGGGGAGAAAACCCCACATATCTGGTCACAGAAATGTTCTGTGTTGACTGTGAGAAAGAAAAAACAGTTTGATCTTTCCTTTCAAATTCTCTATCCTCAACGCATGGACTAACACTCTCCCTTACCTTCTAGAAGTGCAAGGCACAGAAGAAAAAAGTCTCTCAAATAAAAGGAAAATCTGAATGAGAAAAAACACCAGGAGATAATACACCAAACATGCCCTTGATATAGTCGGGATATTTCTCCCCTCCAAATAGCATGTTGACTTTTTTTTCTCTCTCTCTTTTCAGATAGGGTCTCACTCTGTTGCCCAGGCTGGAGTGCAGTGGCGTGGTCATGGCTCACTGAAGCCTCAACCTCCCAGGCTCAAGTAATCTTCCCACTTCTGCCTCTGAAGTAGCTGGGACTGCAGGTATATGCCACCATGCCTGGCTAATTTTTTTCTCTTTTTTTTTCTTTTATAATAGAGGTGGGGGTCTCACTATGTTGCCCAGACTGGTCTCAAACTCCTGGGCCTAAGCAATATTCCTGACTTGGCCTCCCAAAATTCTGGGATTACAGGTGCAAGCCACCATGCCTGGCCCTGGCTAATTTTTTAAATTTGTTGTAGAGATAGGGGTCACTATGTTGTCCAGGCTGGCCTCCAACTCCTCGGCTCAAGCGGCAATCCTCTTGCCTCAGCCTCCCAAAGTGCTAGGATTATAGGCGTGAACCACCACACCCGGCCTGCATGCTGAGATTTTGTCTCTAGTGTAGGAGGAGAACCTGGTGGGAGGTGTTTGGGCTGTGGGGGAGGATCTCTTATGAAAGGTTTGGTGCCATTCTTTCGAGAATGAGTGAGTACTCATTCTTAGTTCCTGCAAGATCTGCTTGTTAAAAGGAGCCTGACACCCCTACCTCTCTTTCTTGCAACTTCTCACCATGTGACAACCCTGCTCCCCTGTATTAGTCCATTTTCAGGCTGCCAATAAAGACATACCTGAGACTGGGAAATTTACAAAAGAAAGAGGTTTATTGGACTTACAGTTCCACGTGGCTGGGGAGGCCTCACGATCATGGTGGAAGGTGAAAGGCACATCTCACATGGTGGCAGACAAGAGAAGAGGGCTTGTGCAAGGAAATTCCCATTTTTAAAACTATCAGATTTCATGAGACTTATTCACTATCCTGAGAACAGCACAGGAAAAACTTGCCCCCATGATTCAATTACCTCCCACCAGGTCCCTCCCACAACATGTGGGAATTCAAGATGAGATTGAATTGGGTGGGGACGCAGCCAAGCCATATCAACCCCCATTTGCTTTCCACCAGGAATAGAAGCTTCCTAAGGTCAGAAGCAGATACTGGCACCATGCTTCTTATGCAGCCAGCAGAACCATGAGCCAAATAAACTTCTTTTCTTTATAAGTTACCCAGTCTCAGGTATTACTTTATAACAACACAAACAGATCAATATACCCTCTAATAACTGAGTTAACATGATAAAATTATGTTTTCCTTTTTCCTACTATCCAAAACTTTACAATTAACTAGCTATTTTATTAGATACAATATGCTGACTTTTTTTTTCTTTTGAGACGGAGTCTCACTCAGCCGCCCAGGCTGGAGTGCAGTGGCGCTATCTTGGGTCACTGCAACCACTGTTTCCCGGTTTAAACGATTCTCCCGTCTCAGCCTCCCGAGTAGCTGGGATTACAGGCACCCACCATCATGCCTGGCTAATTTTTGTATTTTAGTAGAGACGGGGTTTCACCATGTTGGCCAGGCTGGTCTTCAATTCCTGACCTCAGGTTATCTGCCTGCGTTGGCCTCCCAAAGTGCTAGGATTACAGGCGTGAGCCACTGCATCTGGCCGCGTTGACTTTTATGGCATAAAAAATGATTTCTTGTGCTCACTTCAGCAGCACATGCACTACATTTTTTAAAATGATTCCTTTTAAGACAACAAGCTTGAAGACTCTTGGAGAGTCTCAAAAATGTGTCACTAAACTAACCATCCATTGCCTTTCTGTATTTTCCTAATTGCTGAGGCAAATATTGCAAGGGTTACCATCCCCAAACTGGGCGCTCCCCCTCCCCCAGAAAATTATTTTTCTATGGCTGCAAAAAGGAGGGCAAAAACCAAATAGGTTGTTTATTGTTTTTCTAGTCATCTCCCTCAGCTCCATCATTTCCTGGATAAACTTGCCAACCAGAAGCAGCAAGACTGAAAATCTCTGTGGTCAGATTGTGGAGGGAAGAGGCACCAGGCTGGGTGGGGGAACAGGCTTGACCACAGTGATGTGCTGAGAGGGAGAGACCTTAAAAAGAATGAGGCTGCTGCAGAGATGTAATAGGTCTGTTAGAAACTGGTCGAGATTTCAGGTCAGAGGCCTGAGTTTCAGCTCTGACCCTGCACTGCCTCCGTGACGTGCCTGGTCATCTCATTCCTCCATCTCATCTACAGATCAGAATTGGAGAACCGGAGTCTCATCCCAGCTTGAGGACATACAGAGGACACAGAAGGGCTTCATACCCTCTGACTACCCAATGTGTTAGGGCCTCAAAGGAAAAACCCATGGTTTTCTTTATCCCTCCCTTCCACAAAGGGACCAAAGGCACAGCCACATTTTCCTAGTGAGGATTTCGAGCTATATGACAATATCTGAATCGAAAATCCAGACATGTGGTCTGATAACAGAAGAGGATATTTGAAAACAGGAGTGTGTTTAGGAGGTTGCTGCCTATGGTGGCAGGGAGTGGCTGGCTACTGCCCAACATCTCCTCACCAGCTGAGGCATCACCATCCTGCTTCCCTTCTCCCACTGGAAAACCCACATTCGATTTTCTGTTCTGAGTCCCTGAGAGAAGCTTTCTGTTCTGAGTCCCTGAGAGACCCGAAACAAGTCTCCTCTGAGAGGACACTTCCTTCCAGGCTCCAGAGTCACAGGAGAAGAGCTCATAGATTCCCACCCCCCAAGACAATAAGAAGCTATGTCCCTCCTCACACCAGGCACAACAGCCCCTTGGCAAGTCACACACTGATATGTGCTATGGAAGAAAGAATCCCATTGGGGCAAATGCCCCAGGAAAAACCCTCAGGTTTCATCAAGCTCTTGTACACACAGCAACCCAGCAACCACCTCCAGGCTCTCCGGGCCAGCCTTGGCCCCAGGTCTAAACACCTGCTTCAGGGCCAGCAGTTTGCCCACTGGGGTCAGGAAGAAAATTCCCCACTGGCAGCTTAGCCATTCAGACTCCTTAACTTCTGCGTTACCCTAGAAGCAATTATCAGTGACCAGCATAGCAATTGGAGGCTATATAATACCTGGGAGAAATGCACCAACTAGGACAGAAAGATCACCTGTGCATCTGCCCCATGTTCATACCAGCCCCTTACCTGATGTGTAATTGGCACCCTCTGAGTGCATAACCACCAAGGAAATTTTCCAAATACCAACTCCCACAGAGGAAGCTGGCCAGTATGAAATCAGCCCACAGGGTTCCATCTCTACCGTCTCAGTTTCCACAGATTGTTTTAATCTAGAAACCACATCTACAGCCAGGCGCTAGCTGATTCTCACGGAGGAGTCCACCTAGACCGTCAACAGGGTCATCCTCACACCTCTCTGCTTCCCACAACCTCACACACATCTCCTCAATGGCCTCCCGACTGTCCACATTCCTACCTTGCTTCAGGACCTCCCCCTCCACATCTACAAGTTCTCAAGCAGGGGAGGGCTGACTGCTTCCAGGCCCTGGGGGGATAGGGCAGTGGAGCTGTAATGAGCTCAGGCTTTGGAATTAGGACACGCTTCAAATCCCAGCCTTGCTTCTGTTGGACCAGGAGAATGTTAATCTCTGAACTTCAGGTTCCTCAGCTGGAAAACCTGCCTGGGGGGACCGAGGCATTGTTGTGAGGATTTAATGTGATAATGTATTTAAGGCTGCTTGGCAGAAAACTTGGCACAAAGTAAGACCGGTCCCTGCCCTCAAGGAATTATGAATCTGGTGGAAGTTTTTGCCAGTTAACCCTATCCAGCACCGATCACTTACTTAATCCACTGACCAATCATAGGTCTCCTTTGCATTTGTTCTTTGCTTTGTGTTAAGAAGGACATGAGTTTTCTCTCTCCCACACTTCCTGTGCTTCTCATATGTAGCAGGGCACACACAGAGCGGAGAAGCTACACCAATAGTGACGGGGGCTGAGGGGGAGAGCATTCAGATGCACAAAATCACCCTGCTCTCCTGGAAATGGAGCTGAAACCCGAAACAAGTCTCCCTCCAAAGGTCAGAGGAAGGAGATGAAGAATCAAGATAAATATACCAATGCTGTGTATTCATTACAGGCAAACCACACGCCAGCTAGGCTGGCACCAGAGAGATGACCTAGCCTAGCATGCTGGGCACAATTAGTGAGCGGCACTACCAGTGGTCAGACATGGAGCTAAGTGGAAACCCTGAGGCCCTCCACTCTCTAGCCGCCAGCCTGCTAGACTGTGAGCAGTCATGACGGGGGTAGGTGTGTTATGTAGAAGAAGGGACATAACAGCCAGGTGAAAGATGGTACAAAAGATAGTAACAGTGAAGGTATACTGGGCAGAGATGCAGAGAGGTGCTTCTGCATCCCCTAGAAAGAGCCTGCAGTTGGCCACCACCCAACTCACTCACCCGTCGTCAGCTTTCCCTTCCCCCTCCAGAGAGTGATGACAAGAAGACATCCTGGGAGATGTGGTTTCATCTAATTTCTGAGTTTTCTGAACCTAGCAATTCAGAGAAGGGTTCCAATCCTCAGTTTGGGTTCTGAACAATCACCACAACCAGTTTTGGGCAAGGAAGTTAGAAAGACATGTGAGTATTAATGCTAAGAGCCTGCCCCATCAACTGCAGGCTACGCTATTCCCTGAGCTCAGAGGGCAACATGGCCAGCAAAAAAATTGTGCCATCTTGATAGACTGGATTAAGAAAATGTGGCACATATACACCATGGAATACTATGCAGCCATAAAAAAGGATGAGTTCATGTCCTTTGTAGGGACACGGATGAAGCTGGAAACCATCATTCTCAGCAAACTATCGCAAGGACAAAAAACCAAACACCGCATGTTCTCACTCATAGGTGGGAATTGAACAATGAGAACACATGGACACAGGAAGGGGAACATCACACACCAGGGCCTGTTGTGGGGTAGGGTGAGCGGGGAGGGATAGCATTAGGAGACACACCTAAAGTTAAATGACGAGTTAATGGGTGCAGCACACCAACATGGCACATGTATACATATGTAACAAACCTGCACATTGTGCACATGTACCCTAAAACTTAAAGTATAATAAAAAAAAATTGTGCCGTCTTATGTTCAATGGTAGTTAAGATGATGCTTTGCAGTTAGACCACTGAAAGAAAAGAGCAAGACTCCAGGCCTTCACCTCCCCACGCTTCCTCCCCACTACACGGAACAGCAGAAAGTAGTTGCCTCGAGCAACACTTTGAGAGTGTCTCTCCCAAGCTCCAGAATCTACGACAGCTCCTCATTGAATTGACTTCACTTTGCCTAGGAAGCGCTCTGCATATAGGATCTCAATACCTGTTTGATGACTGAGTGATTCATTGAAATTCAAACTCTTTGGCATAAATCACCTTCGGTCTGTCAGCCTCACCACCTTCATTTTTCCACATTCCTCAACAAGATCACATTTGGTCATCCATCTCTATCTTCAAGCCAACACATCCAAACTGCTTTCACCTATAGGCATTTGTTAACCCTTCAAAACTCAGCTCTCTATAGATCAGTGGTTGTCTAGGGCTGGGGAAATGGGATGGAGAGGGTGAAGGTGCTAGCCAAAAAGTATGAGTTTCAGTCAGGCACAGTGGTTCATGCCTGTAATCCCAGCACTTTGGGAGGCTGAGGTGGGCAGATCATGAGGTCAGGAGTTCAAGACCCACCTGGCCAACATGGTGAAACCCTGTCTCTACTAAAAATACAAAAATTATCTGGGCGTGGTGGCGAGCTTCTGTAATCCCAGCTACTCAGGAGGCTTAGGCAGGAGAATCACTTGAACCCAGGAGGCAGAGGCTGCAGTGAGCCGAGATTGAGCCACTGCACTCCAGCCTGGGTGAGAGAGGGAGACTCCGTCTCAAAAAAAAAAAAAAAAAAAAAAAGTATGAGTTTCTTTGTGGGGCAACAAACGTTTTTAAAAACTGACTGTGGTGATGGTTGTACATAGCTGTGAATATATTAAAAACCACTGAATTATGCTTTAAATAGGTGAATTGTATATTATATAAATTATATCTCAATAAAGCTGTTTTTAAAAACTCAGCTCTGTACTCATCTCCTTTTGGAAATTTTCCCACACTCATGAATAAAAGAATTTCACTTTAAACAGTAGAGAAAAAGGAATCATTTATTTACTCATTATTAACTCATCAACAAACATCTATAGATCTATAGATCACTGTAAGAGGTCAGGTACAGTGCTGTGACGATACAAAGATGAACATGATTGGTCTTGGAGTATTCCAGTGAACACTGGAAAGTTAGTAAGCCATGCTGTCTTTACCATTTGTTCCACTTCTTCCTTCCTAGGGTTTAAGGAGAAGAAAAGGGTCTCCTAATCCTCTTCATATTTTCAACTTTGTGCAGTGAAAATCCGCAAGCTTGAGCTTCAAGTCAGTGACAAGTAAAAAAACAAACAAACAAACAAATAATGAAACAAATAATGAAAAAACAAAAATTAAAAGAAATCCACAAGCTATGGCCCTCTCAGCCACTTAACTTCTACCACATCACGCTGAATTTCATAGCAAGCCTGAAAGGTGTTTTTCTCTCTTTTGGAGCAGGAGATTTGGGGTGGGGAATGTGGAGACGTCATGCTGGGCCTGGTATGCTAATCCTCCCTAATCCAGGCCAGAGCAGAGCCATTTTCCAACCATCATTTCCAAATCCTGAATTGTGTGAGGAGGCTCAGGTGCTGCTCCAGGACACGTGAGTATGTAACCTCATACTTTTAAGCAAACATCCATTCCATGTGAGAGACTCACAGAGTAATGAAATAAGCCTTCACCCTTGCACAGCAAGAGGAAGTTTGCAAAACATTTTCACATTCACTACTCTTCAGACTTCCCATTAACCCACAGAGATCCTCTTCCACAAATGAAGAAGGTGAAACTCATGGAGGTAAAGTGAAATGCTCAAGCTAATCTCCATAGCTAATCGATGATAGAACTTAAATATACAGCTGTCTTCTGATATTAAGTCCAATGTTCCCTGCACTCCATTGCCTCTAAATGCCAATTCTATTTTCTTTTGGAAATGGAGTCTTGCTCTGTCGCCCAGGCTGGAGTGCAGTGGTGTGATCTCAGCTCACTGAAACCTTTGCCCACAAAGTTCAAGCAATTCTCATGCCTCAGCCTCCTGAGTAGCTGGGATTACAGGCGCGCACTACCATGTCCAGCTAATTTTTGTATTTTTAGTAGCAACAGGGTTTTGCCATGTTGGCTAGGCTGGTCTCGAACTCCTGGCCTCAAATGATCTGCCTCCTCAGCCTCCCAAAGTGCTGGGATTACAGGCATGAGCTACCACACCCCGCCACCAATTCCTTCTCAGGCCACTTGGTGGTATCTACGAGCACCTATTCACTTGATTGCTGCTTTTCTTGGAAGGAAGCCTTTCATCTTCGAGGCCTAAAAATGATGGGGCTTTGTTTTACACACAATCCAAATAGATTCCAACAGAAGGCAGTATAACAGTAGCTAAGAGTAGATGTGAGTCACACGAATTTGAATTTGAATCCAGAGTCTGCCTTTTCAGATACATATGTTCTTGTTTTTTGTTGGTGGTGGTTTTTTTTTTTTTTTTTTTTTTTTGGAAACGGAGTCTCACTCTGTTGCCCAGGCTGGAGTGCAGTGGCGAGATCTCGGCTCACTGCAACCTCCACCTCCTAGGTTCAAGCAATTCTCCTGCCTCAGCCTCCCGAGTAGCTGGGACTACAGGTGTCCACCACCACACCTGGCTAATTTTTGTATTTTTAGTAGAGACGGTGTTTCTCCGTGTTGCCCAAGTTGGTGGCTAACTCCTGAGCTCAGGCAATCTGCCTGCCTCATCCTCCCAAAGTGCTAGGATTACAGGCGTGAGCCACTGCGCCCGGCTGATACATAGGTTCTTCTAATCCAAAAGTCACCACTTAAAATAACTGCCTGAACTACATCTAGATGAAAATCCTGCCAAATTTTAAGGATATGTCCCCAAATCCAACAAAATGAAGGTTCCACTACACACATAGACAACTCTCGAAACCAGGAATACCTTCCTAAATCTAACCAAATCTACTGTCATCCCCATCCTAGCCAGCAATGCAAGATTTTTTTCTTCATACACACAAAGACACACACACACACACACACACACACACACACACGCACGTAACATTTTAAGCGTTGGGGGTGGGGGTCTCACCATGGCTGAAATGCAGTGGTTATTCACAGGCACCATTATAGCCTACTAAAGCCTTGAACTCTTGGGCTCATGTGATCCTCACACCACAACCCAAGTAGCTGGGAATACAGGCCATGCCATTGCACCCGGCTCTTTTTACCATATTTTGTCCTCAGTATATATGGCAGAATCTCAAGATCAAAAGAAGGTCTCTTTTAGTTTCTTTTACATTGGAGGGAAAAGCCGACAAGCCATGACAAACTACTTTATTTATTTATTCATTTAAGATGAAGTTTCGCTCTTGTTGCCCAGGCTGGAGTGCAATGGCGCGATCTTGGCTCACTGCAACCTCCACCTCCCGGGTTCAAGCAATTCTCCCGCCTTGGCCTCCCGAGTAGCTGGGATTACAGGCACCCGCTACTACACCTGGCTAATTTTTTGTATTTTTAGTAGAGACAGGGTTTCACCATGTTGGCCAAGCTGGTCTCGAACTCCTGACCTCAGGTGACCCTCCCGCCTCACCTCAGGTGACCCTCCCGCCTCAGCCTCCCAAAGTGCTGGGATTACAGGCATTAGCCACCGCCCCTGGCCTGACAAACTACTTTAGTTCAAGGTTAGCTCCCACCAAGCTTGCCCCATTTCCCTCTACTCTGTGAAAAGGGTAGCAGGATGAAGTACCAAACAGAAAGAACTTCTATCCCCAGCGTCCACAAAAATCCACGGAACAAAGCTCTGTATCTGCACCTGCTGAGAGAACCATGCTCAGTTGTTGCAAACAGAAAAGATAAACTCTGGAAGGCCCAAAATGCCCATCTTCTGCATAACGGATCCTACTCCTCAGTCCCCACCCCGCAAAGACACATGGCTCATCCTGTTTCTCCTGCCATTCTTCATATTGTTCCCTTCAGCCAGTCTTATGCACCCAACCTCATTCTTTTCCTGCTGTTTTCTACTACCCATCTGTATTTGTCATGGTGTCAGCCTCTTCCTTCAAGAAGTCTTCCTCTACTTCTCCAGAACTCTCTCTTTTCTAGTACAATCAGTACCACACAGCACAGTATGTTTTCCAATGGCTCCCACAGGTCTTCAATTTTTTTTTTTTTTTTTGAGACAGAGTCTCACTCTGTGGCCCAGGCTGGAGTGCAGTGGCACAGTCTTGGCTCACTGCAGCCCCTGTACCCAGGTTCAAGCGATTCTCTTGCCTCAGCCTCCCAAGTAGTTGGGATTACAGGAGCCTGCCACTACACCCAGCTAATTTTTGTACTTTTAACAGAAATGGAGTTTCGCCATGTTGGCCAGGGTGGTCTCGAACTCCTGACCTCAAGTGATCCACACGCTTCGGCCTCCCAAAGTGCTGGGATTACAGGTGTGAGCCACTGTGCCCAGGTGTTCATTTCTTATACAAGCCTCCCCTCATCTTCCTTCTCAGCCTCTACAACCCCTTACTCTACCTATCCTTCCCCCACACCCTCCTCAACATCACCACTATTAGCTGTTACTAGACTGAGCTCACAGAAATATTCAGTAAGTACTTACTGAATTGAAATCAATGTAATTGAACAGATTTGGAGAAGGAATTCCAGGGAAAGTGATCAATGACTCAGTTGCTCCGCACAAGAACACAAATCCATTAAGAGACAGGACCCTAAAGTCTCAAAGTAAATATGTAGGATTCGTGGTACCGATGAACAAGTGAGGACTCCCTGCCCTCCACCAGGCAAGGGGCTTGGCTCAGACACAACTTCCTGAAGCAGCAGTCCTGACCAGGGCTGTGTAGAGCTGCTCTAGGGCGCCCTGCAGCAATTCTCTACGTGAGGGAAGCTCAACCTTCTCCCATTACCCAGATGCCACATTGACCTAGGCAAAAAACTAGCTGGTACAAACCACAGTCTTGTAGGTATCGATGTCTAAAGACTCTGATATGGTAGGAAATGTGACTCACTCAATGTCAATATTTCACTTCCACACAAGTGAGCCAGTTAAGGCAATCCGGTGTGGCCAAACATAAAATAAGATTGAAACGGAGTCCTGAAATATAAACCACTTAACTGTTCTCTGGCCTTTTACTATCTCCTTCTGTAGAAAGGGAGCCATAGTAATACCTACCTCAGAGAGTTTGCGTAGGGATGAAATCTGGAGGTACATGAAGTGCGCAACATAGTGGCCCGCACATGGTAAGGGCTCAATAACTATTAGCTGTTATTATTTTTATTATTTATTTCGCTGCGAGGATCAAGGGAGATGGAATGCAGCGTAAAGCCCCACGTAAACGTGTCGTGCAACATGAAGCCCCTCACCCTGAGTTGGGGAGCGGGTGGCACGCGTGGAAGCTGAATGCCACCATCCCTGGGACCAGGCGCAGCGCCCTCCAGAAGCGCCTCTGGTGACGGGCTCCTGTTCTCCCCCAGGACGTTTCCCCCAGAATGCCCCGGGGCCCTGGACGGCTCTGGAGAGGACGGGAGGGAAGGGAAGGAGACGGGCGGAACGGGGACGTACCTGCTTTCACTGCACTCCTTCCGCTCCCTCACCCTCAGCCACTTGCGGAGGAGGAAGCGTTTTCGGCGCGGGGACGCGCTGGGTGTGGAGCAGTTGGACCACGGGGTGTCCTCGTCGCTGGAGGGCGTGATCTCGATGGACGGCAGCTGCAGGAACTCCTTGCCGGGGGCCAAGACGGCGGGCAGGTCCCGGGCCAGCCCGGCCTCCAGGCTCTGCTCCTGTACGTTCTTCATGCGGCGCATCTTGAAGCGCCGGCGGCGAAGCGTGGGGGTCGACGAACTGGACCAGACCGGGCTGCCCTCGGGCGCACCCTGCGGCTCGGGCACCTGCAGGGCGGGCAGCGGCCGGTTCTCCATCATGTTGGCCGCCGGCATGGGGGCCGTCGCCTCTGCGCTCCCCCTGAGCCCTCCGCCAGCGGCCTGGTTCGCGTCTCCCTCTGGCTGTTCCCCACCCTCGGCCCCGCGGCACACTCCCCAATCCTGGGGCCGAAGGAACAAGTTCCTTTCCCGGAGCGCAGCGAGGAAGGGACGCGAGGGGACGCGGCGTAGCGCGCCGCCGCCCGGAGTCTAACTTTTCGGAGCGCGCGTCCTCCGGGCCGTCAGCCGCCGGCGAGGCCACCCGGGAGGGGCGGGAGCCGCCTGCCAGCCACTCGGCAGCCCTCCTGGGGCTCCCCTCGCGCGCCCGCTTGTTTTTCTTCCGCTGCGCTTCCTCGCTTGCTGGCGTCTTTGCCTTAGCGGGACTCGGCAGCCAGGGGCCCCAGGGGGCGGTGCAGCAAACTCTCAGCGGTTTGCGTTCAGCAGACCAGGTTGGGGAGCCGGCTTGGCGCTGCAGGGAGGTAGAGAGCGGGAGGAAGAGGCAGTGGTAGGAGGGAAAGGGAGAGAGAGACAGAGAGAGAGAGAGAGAGAGGAAGCGAGACACTGGATAAAAACAAAAAAGGAGGAGGAGGAGCGGGGGCTGGGGGCGGGGTGAGGGGGGCTATCCTGAATGGGCTAGCACTGGCAGCGACCGCTAGTGTAACTGTACACGGATTCCCTCGGGGAGGGACTCGACCTCCAAGTAAAGGCTGCTCCAATCAGCCTACTGAAATAGGATCACAAACCAAACTTTCTCAGGGCAACGATTGGCCAGGCAACTCCCATTAGTCGAACTCGGCTATTTCCTTGGGGGTGGGGGGTGCAGAGAAAGGGGAGTCAATGAATTCAGTCCTCACTCTCTCAGGCCACCCATGATACAGGGTTGAAGGAAAATGAGGAGACTTTTCAACTAGCTCTTGTCTCCTAAGAAAGGCAGTTTAAATTATTTGGGGGCGTGAGTAGTGGCACTGCAGGCCGGAGTATAGTCAGAGGAGGAAAGCAAGGTTGCTGGAGGCTGCTTCCAAAATGACAAGCTGAGAAGAGGACAGTTCTCCCGTGGCGGCGTGAGCTGAGGATACCAGACATGACATACCAAGGAAAGACAGACAACAGGGTCTGAGAGACAAAGGACACAGGACCAGTAAGGAAAATGGGGCCTGAACCCTGTACATGAGCCAGCTGCCAGTACCATAGCCGCGTCCCTAGCAAAGAATGAAATGAGGAGTCGGTGAGCACCCACAAAGCAATGCATCCAACAGAGCCCCAGGGAGTCGAGGGTACCCCCCCTTACATTGCTGAGGGCTGATTCAGTTCTGCTTCAGCCTGCCATGGACTGAGTCACAGAATCCAGTATGTCCCCATGTCATGGAACCTAGGAAGTCTGGTTCAGTCCTGGTAGCATCCCAAGATGTGCTGAACCACACTCACTCTCTAGACCCAGGCCCTAAGAGATCATCAACCCTAGAACCGATCCATCCTATTTAGGTGCTCTCTGTGGGCACTGAGTCTAACCCAGCCCAGCTCCTAGAGCAGGGCTGTAGCAGCCATTCTCCTCCTTCAACCCCAGCCCAATGCATTTGTCTCTTGGGTCAGTAACTGTTTTGTTTTGTTTTGTTTTTAAGAGACAAAGTCTCACTCTGTTGCCCAGGCTGGAGTGCAGTGGTGCAGTCATGGCTCACCGCAACCTTGAATTCCTGGGCTCAAGCTGTCCTCCCAGCTGAGCCTCCTGAGTAGCTGGGAGTACAGGTGCGCACCACCACACGCAGCTAAGTTTTATTTCTTTTTGTCGATATGAGGTCTTGCTATATTGCCCAGGCTGGTCTCAAACTCCTGGCCTCAAGTGATCTGCCCACCTTGGCCTCCCAAAGTGCTGAGATTACAGGCATGAGCCACCATGCCCAGCCTGGTCAGTAACTTTCAAAGAGATCATGAGAAGCACCCAAGAACATACCATGAAGTCCACAATCTGATCCACCCTTCTTTTCTGCCTCTCTCAGAGTCCAGTTTCCATCTGGGAGCCAATGCCCAGCTTCCGTGCCAGGACAAAAGTCACATTTCACAAGTGTCCCGAAGCTGAGGAAAATTCACATCCCTAAAGATCACAAGAATTCACTGCAAGTAAATACATCCCTGCAGTTCAGCAAGACATCAAGGATGACAGCTGGCTATGGATCTACCAAGCTCTGCAATGACACTTGTCAAGTATGGAAAAGCTCAAGGCATCCTGACATTACACAACTTTTGAGAGGCTGGGAAACCAAGGGAAATATTTCTTCCTCAGGGAGAGAGATACTGCGGCTGAAGAGCCAAGGCCAGGCCCTCCCATAAATGACTCCCTGGAATGTCAGCCCCCGTTTCTGAAATCCAGCCACTGGCCCTCTCAGGAGTGATTTGGTTTCACTCTACTTTAACTCCTGGACATAGCACAGAAAGCAGAAACCCCTTGCCATCAGGTGTCAGGCCTGCCAAGGTCACCTCTTCCGGCTCCAGGGATGCTGAGGAGATTGCACTGTAACTCCAAACTTCAGGATCGGGAGCTAAGCCAAGTTCCACAGAGTTTGTTCACTGCCTTGTACTTCCTCCAAGGACGAGTGTTTTGCAAGGGATCTGATAACTTCCCAGTTCAAGGAACCTGAGTTTTGGGCGGGCTCTTGACATAGAAGATGAGGGTCTCAGGGGCTTATGGGAAGAAAGGAAGCCAGGACACCACCATTCGCTTGGAGGCCAAAAACACAAAAGGATGGTCCACAAGACAGGGGCCAGAAGATTCTATGGGCAGCTTGGGAAGAGGGAGAAGAAACAAGGGAGGAAGCTTTAAGTTTGTTCTGGGCACTCTGAATTTAAGTGTATACCTCTTACAAGGAAGAAAAGCCACCAGCACCCTCTTCCCACACACTTCAGCCACTTTTCCCACTCACAGTAGATTCTGGAACTGAAATCCTGTGAGATTTAATTCAAGCCTTGGGCACAGCAGTGGCTAAGAGTGATCATTTACATTTCACCCGGCCTGAGGGAAAACCTCCAAGCAGGAATCTAAAATGTTTCACTTGATTGGGAAGCAGATACCCTGAGCTCTCTTAGCCTGAACGCTGTCCTTACTCACTTGCACCTGCAGTCCCTTCTTTTTTTCAAGCCATAACCCTTTTGACCGTTAAAACCCTGTTCAAAACACATCCTTCAGCCCTTTCCAGCTGTTTCTGTTGCCCATGGCTCTGGCAAGTAAGATAATAAATGAGGCACTGCTTTGAAATATGAAATGCCCTACAGCTGTGAGCCAACATTACTGTTAAGACTATAAGCTCCTTGAGAAAAGAATCAAGTTTCTCCTTCCTTTAATTCTCTCCAGTATCCTGTGCTTGTTATGTGTATGGTGACCTTTACACTTTTGGAAAGAGCTTTCATACATCACACTGTGTCTTCCCAGCGGCCTTTACAATTGATGAAAGTGGGACAGAGAGATTCAGTAGTTTATCCAAGGTCACAGATAAATGATGATGGCTAATCAATGACAAGGCCAGAATTGGAACTCATGCCTTCTGAAGCCAGTTTAGAGGCCTCCAAAAGTGTAGAGAAACAATTTCTCAAAGTAGCTGGTGCCAACATCAGAACCAAAGAGTTTTCATGCCCTGCGTCAGAATCTCAGCGATTGCACTTGCTCCCCAAGTCTCCCCACTCCCATATTTCTTCTCTCCAATATTTGGCTCTCAGCGACCGCACAGTTCTCTGTGAAACAGACCTCACCTTTGCCCCCATTCCCCGCTTCCCCAGACAGGTGGTAACCAGAACAACCCAGCCTCCCCTTTCCCCACCTGCAGCCAGGCCTCTGACTTTAAATGAAAGGAGGTCATATTACCAAGCAACTGTTGTTTATTCTCAGCTGCACAAGCTCCCTTTTCCTACAGACACAAGACACCCAACACCTGTCTATTACTTCTGGAGACTCATAAACTACTATTATTATTCAATTTCCAGGGGAAAACTTTAGTGAAACATAGTAGCTTCCAGACTAGATTTCTCCTGGGTACACATCCAAGTAAATGTGAACTGGAAGGCGCTGGCACCCCGGACACCTTATTGCACCTGCTCCAGGATGCCAAGGCAGGGAACTCCCAAAGACACAGGAATGTCTCCCCACAACACTGTTGTTGCAAGACAGACAATCCCCACTCTCAACACTGGGACACAGAGTCTCTCCCCTACACAACATTCGAACGGCCAATCCCAACGGTTGGCCCATTATGAGGGAAAGAAGCAGGCAGTGAGCATAGAAGAAGTGGAATTTGAGGCTGGCAGGGAAGCTGGAAATACGGACAGAAACGTGGATGATGCTGAGAGCAATGTTGACTGTCTTCAAACACACAATGAAGGATGGCCAGATTTCACTCTGCAGCTCTCATTTTGCTGCTGAGCAAGAGGAAATGCATTTCTGTAGAGTGCAGCATGGGGGATTTGGGATAGATGATAAACATTTACCGAGTGTAAGGCTGGTTAAGGACTGGCCTGAATGACTAAGACTGGGTAGAGAATGGCTTTCTCTGTAGGTCTTTTAAAGGTAACTGGAGCCTACTTAGAGGCAGTGGCAGGAAAGAGATGATCTCTTAAAGGCCCAGCCCACCCTACTACTGTGGGTCTCTAAGACCCAGATTGTTTCTTTTTAAAGTAGAAGCAATTCACTTACACCTAAAACAAAGTCTGTTTGAGCTGACCTGTTACTGGCTCAAAGGCATTTTGATCACCGGATGCTAAACACCTCCCTGAGACCCACAAATAGCTTTAATATCTTGCACTGGTGAACTAGAAATACAGGGATCAATTACCAGGATGGTGCTGAAGCAAGGAAGTGAGGGTTCGGGGATGAAGACAGGAGAAAGAATTGGAGGGAATAACTTAAACTCCTCCCCATGGTATCTCCTTTTGTTTCTTTCACGAGTCCTCCCTTCATTTCCCCAGGGAGGGGCTCACTACTTTAAGAAGGGTCAGAGGATGCTGCACTGAATTGGTGTGGTTAGAGAAGCAGTGTGGAGGAGGAGGCTGGTGCTGGTTAAATACAACCTAAATCAAACCACAGTTGACCAACCACCACATCCAGCTTCTCCTTCCAAGGAAAAAGGGAGAAAATGCTTCAGGACTTTGATGGAGACTCAGTTTCCGAGAATAGAGCCCTGGGCAGTGCTCTCAACCTTGGGGAGTACACAGGGTCAGCTCTTTGTTTCCAACAGCCCTCACAGGGGCCAGGGTGAGCAGTGACGTCACCTCAGGAGAAGGACTGTCACCAGATAAGCCTCCTTGGTTTAATCGCTCATCAAAAGGCTTAGGCGTCAAAGAAGAATGTTTTGCACAATATTTGGCTGCCCTTGTACTTGACACCAAGGATACCAAGGCACAGAAGGACATCATCTCTTGTCCTCTAAATCTTGCAAGGACTTATGTGCAAACCAGGGCTGCAAAAGACTTTCTGAGGTCGCCCCACCTGTCCTTGGCTGCCCATCCCAAGGAAAGCAGGTGGCATGTGCTGGAATTTCTGCTGTTGCTTTCCTCAGAAGCATTGCAAAATATCATCAGCTTATACTAACTACCGACTAGTGATTGAGTGTGCAGACCCAAAATCAAGCCACCTGAGTTTTGGACCTGTTTCCATCACTTGCTAGCAGTTTTATTACGGTTAAGTTATTTAACTTCTCTGCAACTCAGTTTCTCATCTGAAAAATTAAGTAAATAAATAGCATCTCCTTGCTGGAGTGATTGTGAGCATTAGTGCTGTGTAGGGCACTTAGAACAGAGTTTGGCACACAGTAAGTGCTCCATAAATGTTAGCCTTTGTTATGTATAAGTTTCCTTTATAATACCCTTCGTAGGAAACAGGACTATTCTTGTTGATTTTCAACTCAGTTTAATTCTACAAGTAGTTGTTACGCTAGAACACTGTGTAAAGCTCCTTGTTCAGGAAGTCCTTGGGATATAGCTAGATAAATAAGATACACATGGTGCATTGGAGCACATGATCCCTCAAAGCAGAATTAATTAAGTGCAAAATACAAGTGCACAAGAGGTGTGACTGGAAAGATTGATAAATTTTAACTAGAGGAAAAGAGGTAGTCTAAGCAGGTCCTATGGAGGAATGGGTATTTAAGTTAATACTTCAAGTCAGAATTTCAATAAAAAAGAATAGGGTGTTAGCAGTTTGAATAAAAGCATTGAGGAGTGAAAACTCACAAAGAGGTTTTGAAAATAGGAAAAGATAAGTCAGAGCATAGGGTGAGACATACAGGATTAGACAATGAGGCTGGACAAATGAGGGGTCAGATTGCAGTGCAGAAGGGTTTTTGGTTGGTTGTTTGTTTTTAATTAGAGACAGGGTCTTGCTATGTTGTCCAGGCTTGTCTTGAACTTCTGGTCCAAAGGGATCCTCCTATCTCAGCCTTCCAAAGTGCTGGGATTACAGGTGCGAGCCACCACACCTAGCCTAGTGTTGAATTATAGATTTTATTCTTTAGGCAAGGGTTGCTATTCAGATTGGTTTGGGTTTGGTGGTTTTCTTTTTTCTTTTTTTTTTTTTTTTTGGTGTTGGGGGACTGCATTACTAACCTGTATTTGAGAAGCATCAACTCTGGTGACAGCATGAAATTTGAATTGGAGAAAAAAGCAGATGGGAACCATAAAAACCAATTAGGAGACTATCATTCAATCAGCCAATATTTTTGGAATATTGACCATATGAATGGCAAATAGTTCTGGTAAGAGATGGAGAAAATCTGAAATAGGGCAGGGGAAAAATGTGGAATGAGAGGAGATAGGCAAGGAAAAGGAGGAACCTCTGGAAGAAAACCAAGAAACAGCAATCACTGGGAAGCCGAGGGGAGAAAGGAGGCGTTTATTGCATGGCTACACTAAGCCAGGCGCTGTGCTGAGTGCTTCACCCACAAAATCCCAGCTGACTCTTGCAACAACTCTGAGAAATAAATATCAAAAGCCCTATTTCAAGATGATGAGAGATTTTACAAGGTGACTTGCCCAAGTTCACACAGCTAGTAGAAGATGAACACAAATTTAAACAAGGGTCTCTTTGCTTTAAAACTTATACTTTTTAAAGTATACTACATTTCAAAGAGATAAATGATGCTATATCCTATAATGAAGTCAGGCAGAAGAAAGACAGAGATAATTCCATTAAATTTTGTAATTAGGTCATTGATGACCTCTGAGACAACAATTTCAGTAGAGTGGTCAGAGAAGAAATGAGATTGCTATGGGTTGAAGAGTAGTTAGGGAATGAATTAATGGAAGCTGCAAGATTAGACTGCCCTTTCCAGAAATTAGTCAGCAAAAAGAATGAGGGACATCTATTTTCAAATAGTTTTTGAGCATCTACTAAGTGTTAAACATCCTTCTAATGCCTAGAGTTAGACTGTGAAAAGTTACTTGTGGTTGGAGTGGGAGCAAAAGGAGAGAGAGAAGAGAAGAGGAGAGAGGAGGGGAGTGGAGGGGAGAAGAAAGGAGAGGAGAGGGAACATTTGGGGTTGGGGATAAGGTTTTTTTTTCTTTTAATCTGTGTGTGTGTGTGTGTGTGTGTGTCTTATTGTTGGTAGATGTTATGTTTTAGAGGAACAAAATGTGACTGTATGATTATGCCATTTACAATGGAGTTCTGCCTATATCTGCTAAGAAAATTGGAGCTTCGTGGTGTACCTGGTAATCTAGCAAATCAATCAAAAAGTATTTAATCTTCCCAGACTCTAAGCATACCTTAATAGTAAGTAGTGTGAAGTTTCTGAAAAGTTTATGAAAAATGATTATTGCTTCCTACAAATATTTTTTGAATGCCTATCAAAGATGACTCTGGCCTCAGTTGCTTCAAATCTGGGGGAAGGGAGGAAGGAGCAGAAAACCAGTCCAAGAACTACAATTTGGTAAATTTACTTCAGGAGAAATGTGTACCAAATGCAGAGTGAACACGAGGGAGAAGGATCCTGATCCAGAGAGAATTTCACAGAGAAGACAGTACCTAGTCAAGGTTTGAACGTGAGCAGAGGCATTTTCCATGTTGAACAAGGGGGTCATATTTCCAGCAGAAGACCCACATGTGCAGAGGCATTGAGGCATAAAAGAAAGCATGGTTTGATCGCTTCTCGGCCTTTTGGCTGAGGTCAAGTGTAGAAAGCATGGTGTGTTATTGGAATTCCAAAAAGAACATTTGGAGCATAATGAATGTAATGAAAAAGTTTTAAAAACTAGAAAACAGTTGCCTGGTTTGTTCTGATAGGACAGCATGTTTGCCAAACACCAGAGAAATATTAGCCTTTACATATTATGTCAAGCAAAAAATTGGAATTACTTTTTATGACACAGGAAGAAGCTGAAGACGACTAGGCTGTATGGAGGATTTTCATTGGTGGTCCCTGTAATCCAGCTCTGGACAACCATTCCTACTGTACCTTGAGAGGTTTATCTTTCTGCAAACAATGCATCTTGAGGCAGTAACTGTAAACAATTCACCTCTATGCAATTCTGCACTTGGTGCGAACTCTTGCCTCAATGAAATTCACACTGTGGGATGTTCCCACTTTTCAGGAATAGTCCGTTTCCTCTACCCTGCTGCACTGCGCCCCAGAACTGGCCCTAGTGGCAAGCACCCCTGCTTGTATCCCCCCCACATCCCTCTCCTACAAATGGAGACTCAGGACCACTATGCTCACATTTTTGCCTCAAACCAGTGACTACATGGCATTTTAATACTCTGAAATTGAGATTTAGGGATGAGTTATGCTAGGTAATCTACAACGTCTTTTTGTAGCTTTCAGGGTCTATCAGCTGGAAAGGTCTACTTTGCTTTAAGCAATCCTGATGTATGAAAATACAGATTTAAAAAATATCTGAGTCTGGCATGATCCTTCATATAATTCAAATCATTTGTTTTACAGAAAAGATTTATTAGAATACATTGTTTCTTTAAATGTATGAAATTTTAATTCAGTGATAAACTTGAATAAGGCACACTCAAATGAGGAAGTCATTTGTTGCATAACTTTGGGTGTCCAAATAGACATGAAACATGTCACCTTTTCCAGGAAACGAAACAACTTCATTTTCTATGCCCTCAACCACTCCCTGGATGTAAGCAGATACCTCTGGAAGATATATTAATTCTGTCTGACAGTTGGAAATTTTTATAAGCAGTAAAAATATCACCTTCTTCAGGTGACAGAATTATAGCCTGGAAGAAGAATTAGCTATCTCATCCCATGCACATCCTTCTTCTACTCTATCTCACTCAGGTTCATAGATGAGAAACTGAGGCATGGGCAAGATAAATCTTAGACCAAGATCACAAAGCTGGAGCTGAAACTGTTTTATGTGAATCAAACATCTTTCAGTCAAGCGTTACCTTAATGACTTCTAGTATTATTTTGGACATAATATTTTGACCTCTGAGAATAATTAAAAAACAAACTGCACAGAGGAGTCCTAACAGTCAGTCTGCATTTGTTGGCAAACATTCTGTGCGCATCTAATTCCCTCATAAGCCCACACAGAGCAAGAAGTTAATCAAACACAAATACCTCACTAGAACTAATCCCAACATGTGGACGTGTAGATTTGCATAAAAGGTATAGAATGGTTACTGGCATTTGGGGAGGCCTTTTTGCTTTACATAAACAGGATTCCTGCATGTGGGAAATTACCCTAATACATTTTACTTGATTGATATACAACTTTGCAAGAACATCACTACTTACTAAAAGTATATCTGTAAACAATTAACTTACGTGGTCTTGCCCTTTCACTTTAAAGCAAATATATGATACCTAGGACCTGAACCACATGAAAAATCTGCTTCAGTCAGGTATAGATTAGAAATGTTTCAGTGTCCTGAAAATTTTCAGATTCACCTAAGATTTCATGAGCAAGGCACTATATTTTGTTATTTAAGTCTCATAATAATCCTGTGAGGTAAGTGTTATTTTTTCCCATTGTAGTGATGAGGAAACTCAGGCTCAGAGAGATGAAGAACTGCAGAGGTCAAGATTTAAACCCAGGTATTCTGAATCCCAAACCAGTGTTTTCTCCACTTCACTATTGCTCTCTTTTGACTTTCTGTAAAATACACATTCAGACTAGTTCTCCCTGTCATCGTTTGTGAAGACATGTAGTTGATTTGCAATTTGGGAGATTAATTAATTTGGAGTTGCAATTCAGCAAACCAATACCCTTTGTTTCCTTATTCAATTCAGTCAGTTTCTATCTGTTCCCTAAATTTCCTTGGGAGTTTGTATCGAATTCTAAATATTAAAGAGAAAAAAAATGCACTATCCCAAATATTTAGCAGAACTCCCTTGAAATAAATTATTATATTAGCAACATATTCTTTTCATGGCATATTCAGGCCACATAATCAGTTTCTCATTTGCCATTAATAATGTAGGTGTACCTCTACTTTATCATTTTTACCCAAGTGTCTTTAATACCTCTTACCTGTTAAGAAGTCTACCTGTAGATCTGAGATGAGTCATCAGGGATCGGTAAGTCCTGGTGCTTCCTGGTTCCATTATCGAGGACTGCAGACTCAAGGCTCCAAGCAGGCACTTTGGACCGCAGAGGAGAAAACTGCAGAGCCTAAGTCTCCACTATGTTCATTTGCTTAAAATGAGGTTTGCCATCCTCTGTTGCAATAGTAGCTTAGTAAACAATAAAAGACCTTTAAAAGTAGCCTTTCCATGGTCTTAAGATTCTAGTTTAGCTTCCACAGGTAGATCTAACTTGTTTCCAGAATGTAGTCAGGCAATGGTTTAAATCTTACTAGCCAGAACAAAGTCTTCCTTTTTGAAGGCTTGTTCACATGATCATTCCGTGCAAGTTTGCTACCTATGCAGGACCTTGGACCTTGGAACAAGGACACTGGGTTCCATTCCCACCATAATAAAATCTCCCCAGCTTAACTCAAAGAACAGCCAGTCAGCACTCATTGGCCCCATATGTCCTTCAGGCAGAGGCCCACTAGGGTACTGAAAATCTAGTCTACTGCTTTCCTTCCTTTTTCTTGCTCCCTCTCTCTCTTTCTCTTTCTCATTCACACACACACACACACACACACACACACACACACACACACACACACACTTAGAAATTCCCCGACTCCCTTCTTGCACCAGACACTGGTTTTTTTGTTTTGTTTTGTTGTTGTTGTTTTAAGAGACAGGGTCTCTGTCACCTAGGCTGGAGTGCAGTAGCACAATCATAGTTTACTGCAGCCTCGAACTCCTGGCCTCAGGCAATCCTCCTGCCTCAGCCTACAAAGTAGCTTGGACTAGAGACATGTGCCACCACAGCCGGCTAATTTTTATTATTTTTTGTAGACACAGGGTCTGGCTATGTTGCCCAGGCTGGTCTTGAACTCCTGGTCCCAAGCAATCCTTTAGCCTTGGCCTCCCAAAGTGCTGGCAGTACAGGCATGAACCACCATGTCCAGTAGATGCTGTTAATCCAAAAATAAATGATGAGTTCCCTTCTGTATAGGTGGTAAAGCCCAGAGTGAACCTGTTGGGGACAGTATCACTATGAGTTTGAGACCAGACAACCTCTGTGGTCACTTGCAAGTCTAAGACTCTAGAGCATTCCACAGTTCCCAAGTTCTATATGTAGCAAGTCTCTGTCTGCTCTTGCTCTTCAAGTTGACCTTTTATGATGTCTTTTCCTTCTGTTCTCCTTTGAGAATGTCCTCAATATTCATTTATTAATCAATCTTCACTAGCATAAAAAAATCTCAAAGCAGTTTACCCACGTCTCTTTCCAATGCATCATTTCCCACCTTGTATCGCAATTAGTGATGTGCATGTTCCTCCCACCCTAAGACTGTGACTGCCATCCACACAGGATTTATGTCCCATTCATCGTTGTTGTGTGTTACCAAGCTCACTGCTCCAGACTGAGCACTTACATTTATGCTCAGTAAGTGTCTATGAATGAAAAAATGATGGTGGAGGGACAGGGGAGGACAAGGAACAGGGCTGGGAGGTTTGAAGAGGCACCTAGTGCAATTATTTCCCAGCCTGGAAGTCTCTAGAAATTGTTCTTCTGCCACAATGCCCTTCTGGAGAGAAGAAAACTGAAGAATATCATCTGCTTCAGCCCTGCCATTTTCCTAGGGGCAGCTCTGACTGTGGTCACAATATTCCTTAGATTATCATATCACACTAAGCCAACACCACAGAGGAGGTCTCAGGAGAAGAAACCTGGGACTCTAATGCCCTTTGCCCAGAACATTCACTCCTGATTAACTAAAGTTCAGGTTTTTTAGGTAAAGGTGTTTGGACTATGAATCCCTGGGGAGCAATTAAATGAAGGAACAGGAATGTACTTGGAAAAAACAGCTTATCTATCAACTCTTAAGAAAATACCCTGAATCGGAGTTCAGTCAATCCTCTTTCTCCTACTGGTAAGGCCCCCAGCTTAACCACCCCTGAGAGAGGGGATTTCATCCTACTCTCTTTCAAAGATCTCCAGATGGGCAAATCTTCCAACTCCCCTTGGGAAACCCTGACAGACTTGTGTTCTCGTGCTGCCCAGCTCTCCAGAAAAATAACCATCCTCTTCCACGGTTTTCCGTTTGAAGGATGTCTGCAAGTCCTGATTAGAAGGCTGACATTAAGCCATCATTTTATTTCCCCAAAATGTCTGTTTATTCCATTTGAGTTTCAAAGTAGAAAAGTACCTTAGAGAAAGAAAGCCAGCTTCCACATTTTATATATAAAATAGTTAGGGCATAGTGGTTCATTCCTATAATCCCAGCACTTCGGGAGGCCAAGGTGGGAGGGCTGCTTGAGGACAGGAGTTTGAGACCAGCCTGGGCAACATAGCAAGACCTGATCTCTACAAAAAATAATTTTAAAAATTAGCCAGGCATAGAGGCATGTGCCTGTAGCCACAGCTACAGGTTGCTCACTGCAACCTCCACCTCCTATGTTCAAGTGATCTTATACTCAGCCTCCCGAGTAGCTGGAATTATAGGCACACACTACCACACCAGACTCATTTTTATATTTTTCGTGCAGACAGGGTTTCTCCATGTTGTCCAGGCTGGTCTCGAACTCCTGACCTCAAGTGACCCGCCCCTCTTGGCCTCCCAAAGTGCTGGGATTACAGGCATGGGCCATTGCGCCCAGCCTGTTTGTTTCATTGAAATATGATAGGTGTGCATATTTTGGGGGTATGTGTGATCATTTACTACATTTGTATAATTTGTAAACATCAATGCTGATGCCAGAGCTTATGTTCTCACGTGATTTGCTTGGTCTCCCCCAGTGTGGAGTGATTTCAGACTTTCATGTCAACATCTCAGTCCTAAGTTAGTACCTGATTTGATAAGTCCTGAATGCACCTATACTACACAATGATTGCATGTGCCTGTACAAAATACCATTACACATTCTTTTTTTCTTTTTTCTTTGAAACGGAGTCTCACTCTGTCAGCCAGGCTAGAGTGCAATGGCGCGATCTCAGCTCACCGCAACCTCTGCCTCCCAGGTTAAAGTGATTCTCCTGCCTCAGTCCCCTGAGTAGCTGGGATTACAGGCACACACCACCACGTCCAGCTAATTTTTGTATTTTTAGTAGAGACGGGGTTTCACCATGTTGGCCAGAATGGTCTTGAACTCCCGACCTCGTGGTCCGCCCATCTCGGCCTCCGAAAGTGCTGGGATTACAGGCTTAAGCCACTGCACCCTGCCTACACATTCTTAATATCCGTCACATGACCTGTTTGAGATTAATGTACCCTTGCACTTCATTGATAGTTACTTCGTCTCCCATAAGTGAATTACAAGGGTTCTGGATTTAGAAAATCTGAGTTCAAATCCTGGATTCACCACTTATTAGCAAGTTCATTCATCTCTCAGTGCCTCAGTTAACCAATGTGAAAAATCAGATTAATAATAATAGTGCCCATCTCAAGGGCTTATTGTGGAAGATAAACAGATAATACACATAAAGCACTTAGCTCAGTCACTAGCACATAGCACATGCTAAAAAAAAAGTCCATGGTTACTTCATTTTTATGTCTGCAATCATGTGTATAGTCATCACACTTTCATCACTAATGTAATGACATCCATTCAGGCAACAAGTTATGCCTGGCTACAGGGACTCATCACACAGCCACCATAGGGCACTATAAAACTCTACCTTTTCTAAACAGTGCCACACAGGCTGCATTTATGAAATCCAATTATCATTTCAGTAGCTCCCTACTCATACACACAGAAAAACATGAATAAAGACTGAGGTCAAGTTAATAGCTTAAAATAGAGGTTTATTTATTTTAAGACCTGTGGAGTAGCGGGGAGTAGAAAATGGTAACAATTGGTATAATTATGATCATTATCTTTATCATATCATTATTATCACTAGTATGAATAGAACTCTTGGGCTGGTCAGCATCTCAGATTTCTGTACTTGCCTTTTCTAAAGGAACTAGAGAATGCTTCATTGCTCCTTTACAACAGGAGTGGTTTTGCCCATTCAGTTATCATCTCCATCACACCCAATAGAAGTTAAAAGATGGCATTTTGGCCTTCTATTCAAGCAGGGGATCTTTCTACACCTTTCATTACAGGAGAAGCAACTGGTATAGCTAATTCAATGTACTGTAACTAATGCCTTGGAAATGCCCAAAGCACACCAACCCTAATCCACTTTGAAGACTAACTGTATTCAGCATGCTAGGTTTTGTATTAAGCTATACATTATAGTGAAATCAGTTCTAGGGGAAAATCCTCTTTCAACCCAAGCTAAAACCATTTTTATTTATTTCTAAAACCTACAAGAGCCTGATGCAATAGACAAAAACTAAAGAAACCTCAGTAATAAGATACCAATTTAACTGTTGGCTGAGCTACTGCAATGGCAGATATGTGGTTTTTGAAAAAAGGCTGTGTGTATGTGCATGATACCTAGAACTCCCAAGATGCATATTGGTCCAAAAAGTAATAGTGACTATATTTTAATAGAAAACACTAATAGCAAGTTTCAAAGTCACCATTTTGCCTATGAGGCATAATGACAAAGTTAGTCCATTAAACAGTAGACTAACAGGAGAGTCGCTATTAAATCTTTTTAACACACAAAGAATTGCAGAAAGAAGTGAGTGGCTTGGAAAAGAGTGTCTGAGAACCTAACGACATTTATTTACCCTGGCAGAGAATTGCATGCTACCCAGATCAAAGACCTTAATGATAAAAATGATCTTCACCTGACCAAGACCTAAGGCGTCCTGAAGGCCACCGAGAATACAGAGCTTCATCCCAAGACCAAGCACCCCCTGGCTCTGCTGTGCATTGACTGAAAAGATAGCAATGTCACCACAAGACCTAGACAAGCCTTTGGAATTTCAGATAAATGGGGCCCAAAGAAAAGGCAGCCTTGGCTGGTCACGGTGGCTCACGCCTGTAATCCCAGCACTTTGGGAGGCCGAGGCAGGCGGATCATGAGATCAAGAAATCGAGACCATCCTGGCAAACACGGTGAAACCCTGTCTCTACTGAAAATACAAAAATTAGCTGGGTGTGGTGGTGCACACCTGTAGTCCCAGCTACTCGGGAAGCTAAGGCAAGAGAATCGCTTGAACCTGGTTGGCGGAGGTTGCAGTGATCCAAGATCGCGCCACTGCACTCCAGCCTGGCGACAGAGCCAGACTCTGTCTCAAAAAAAAAAAAAAAAAAAAAAAAAAGAAAGAAAAAGAAAAGAAAAAAGAAAAAAAAGAAAAGGCAGCCTGGCAGCCTTAGGGGCCTTTCATACAAACCTGCTTCTCCAAGACGCCAGTAGGCCATTCTGAATGTGTTTTAGCAAATATGAACTACCTTTCAAAGGGCATGTGTGTAGGTGAGAATATCTTCTGAAAGAGAGTCAATGTTGTGGGGTGGCGAAACCCCAAGGCTCTAGAGCGAGACTCATCTCCATCCCTGCTCCACTATCCAGTTATTGAGGGACATTAAGAGATTTGCTCATTATCTCAATCGTGGTTTACTCATCTGTTCATTTATCCTTAGAATAAGTTTACTGAGTAGTTATATGAATCAGACACTGTTCTGAACAAAACACAGCAAAATCTTTCTCCTTGGGGAGCAAACATTCTCATGGGTAGAGGGTGGGAGCTAAGCAATGGACATAATGATTAAGTAAATAAAAAAACAGGTTGGAAGGTGGCGAGAGCTATGCAAAGACAAGGGGGATAGGGATGACATAGGGTAGTCAGAGTAAGCCCCATAAGGAAAATTACATTTGAACAAAGCATATCAATAAGAGAGGGAGCTAAGCATTCATCTATAAAAACATAATAATACTGGTACTATCACAGAAGGTTGTTGGAAGAATTAAGTGAGATGTGGTGCAGAGTACGTAACACTGTCCCTGGCACACAATAAGTGCTCAATAAATACTAGTAAGAATAATAATTATTATTATAATGATGATGATGATTGGGCTGGACTAGGTGGCTCATGCCTGTAATCCCAACACTTTGGGAGGCCAAAGCGGGTGGATCACCTGAGGTCAGGAGTTCAACACCAGCCTGGCTAACATGGCAAAACCCTGTCTCTACTAAAAATACAAAAATTAGCCAGGCATGGTGGTACGCACCTGTAGTCCCAGCTACTCAGGAAGCTGAGGCAGGAGAATTGTTTGAACCTGGGAGGCGGAGGTTGCAGTGAGCCAAGATCCTGCCACTTCATTGCAGCCTGGGCAACAGAGCAAGACTCTGTCTCAAAAAAAAAAAAAAATGATGATGATGATGGATTTCTAAGACCACTAACAGTTTCTTCTAAGTCCTTCTGAGATCATCCACTGTACAGATAATAGCCACGTGTTTTCATTAGACAACCTTGAATAAATGATGACTTGAGCTGCGTCTTCTCAGAACAACCACTTTTTTCTGACTTGGTTCTGCAGATACAGTCCTATCTGACTACTAAGCCACCCAAGGTCATTCTTGCGCAAGGGCTACAGAAGATGCAATTGAAAAGCATGAGTCAGTGAAGGTCAGAGAACTGCCTCCCATCGGGAGCTTGCTCTGTGCAGCCCCTCTTCTTGGAAGCTGGGGTGGGGGTGGGACTGCGGTCCTGGATGACCTCTGAACATTTATCTGTGCAGGATCTGCCTACTCCTCAGGCGAAGACCTATGGGTTGAAGGATTTGAAGGTACCTCATGTATCCTGCAGCTCTTCAGAGAGGGAACAAATAGAAGTAAACCCCATGTAGTTCCTCTGGTTCCTTCCCATGTGGAACATTAAATTCATGCCTCCATTAAAAAAAAAATATGGGCAAATGGACCCTGAATTTTTACAGACGTTTCCCAATGCCTCCTTACCCCATAATTACACTTCCTGATGTTTATTGATCAGTTCTCTCTCCGATACACGTTACCCCAGCACTGCCATTAATGCAATGAAGGAAATACAAAGAGGTCAAAGAAAGCAGAGAGCCCCTAATCTCTCCCATGGACAGAATATGCTTTGCTCCATTTCTCAGAGAGATAAAGGGAATGATAAGAGGGAAGGCAGGGGTGGAAATTTCATTGTTGGTTTGGAGAGCAGGAAATCCACCTTTGAATAAGAGGGAGAGTCCAGGACCAGGTGAGCTCAGGGCAGACTGTGATATAATCGAGGTCCATTCCAGGGAGGTAATACTCAAGCTC
This sequence comes from Homo sapiens, assembly GCF_000001405.40. Taxonomy (NCBI): domain Eukaryota; kingdom Metazoa; phylum Chordata; class Mammalia; order Primates; family Hominidae; genus Homo; species Homo sapiens. The sequence continues at coordinate 123,413,133 of NC_000011.10, read as the reverse complement.
AAGATGAATTTGGCTCTAAGTGCAGCACTTGTAAAGTAAAAAAGAGAGTGCAGGCTGGGTGCGGTGGCTCACGCCTGTAATCCCAGCACTTTGGGAGGCCGAGGTGGATGGATTTCCTGAAGTCAGGAGTTCGAGACCAGCCTGACCAATATGATGAAACCCCATCGCTACTAAAAATACAAAAATTAGCCGGGCGTGATGACATGTGCCTGTATTCCCAGCTACTCGGGAGGCTGAGACAGGAGAATCACTTGAACCCAGGAGGTAGACGTTGCAGTAAGCCGAGATCGCGCCACTGCACTCCAGCCTGGGCCACAAGAGCAAAACTCCATCTCAAAAATAAAAACTTTAGTTTTTTTTTATTAAAAAATGAAGAGAGGGCATATGGGTCTTTAGGGTTTCTTAGCTTAAAATATGAAATCAGACAAAATTATGGAGAAAATGTTATGTTTTCAGGGCTGGGTTTTCTATATCAGCACAACATTTTTGGAAAGCAATGTGGGAAAATGTAGTTAGAACCATAAAACTAGTGATATCTTTTGACCTTACAATCCTGCTCCTAAGAGTGTTGTAGTTTGGAGGAGTGGGGGCATTGGAGTTAGGCAGACCTGAGCATGAATCCTGGCTCTGTACTCTGTATTCACTGGCTTGTGTGATTTAGCTGAACTACTGACTTCTCTGGGCTTAGTCTCTTTCTGCATGAAAGAGGAAAAATAATATGCACATCATGCATTGTGAACATTAACTGATACACCACAGGTAAAGTGTCAAGTACAGTGCCTTGCACATGATAGGCACACAACAAATGGCTTTAGTTTTTCTTTAACAGCAATAATTATTATTTATTCTGCAAGAGAAAATGTTTATTTAAGTGAAAAGTTGACAACAATCAAAACACCAAATAACAAAATGACTAAGGAAATTGTTATATTTCCACTAAAAAAGAAATGCAACTAATTACAAATATAAACATATATCCACTGTATATTAACTAGTTTATGATAACTTTTGCATACATTTGCTGGAAGTGGAATAAAAATACACATACACTTACCACATTATGTATCTCTGTGTATGTATATGTATTACATATATATACAACACATGTATTTATATATAACATAATTTTCTATGTTGTATTAAGTAGTATCATTATAGATTTCACTTGTTCATAATAATTGTTTTCAAAATAATAAAATATTTTTAACCTAAAAAACATCAAAATTGGAGGGTGAGGCAGGCGGATTGCTTGAGCCCAGGAGTTCAAGACCAGCCTGACAATATGGCAAAACCCCATCTCTACCAAAAAAATACAAAAATTACCCAAGCATGGTGGTGCACACCTGTAGTCCCAGCTAGTAGAGAGGCTGAGGTGGGAGGATCACTGAAGCCCTGGAAGTCAAGGCTGCAGTGAGCCATGTTCTGCACTCCAGCCTGTGTGACAGAGCAAGACCCTGCCTCAAAAAATAATAATGATAAAATGGCAAAATTAAATTAATTCCTTAATTGAAAATGAAAAAATCAGGAATGTGCAAGTGGTCATTGGGTATTTCTAAATCTCTGGGGGAATGTAACTTAAGCCAATAATACCAAGCCCACAACTGCTACATCAAACCTAAATAATACCAGATTTGTTCCAGAGCTGACATTATGATTTCGAGAGCTCTACCTACCAGGATTCCCAAAGCCATCATCTTCCTCATTTATTTAATTATTAGCTATCTGTTGCAGATATTTATTATACCTGCTATATGCCAGGCACCATGGTAGGTGATAAATCTGTAAGCATCCTGCCCTCAATGAACACATAACCTACTAAAGAAGATAAGTTGCCGGGTGCGGTGGCTCACACCTGTAATCCCAGCACTTTGGGAGGCTGAGGGGGGCGGATCACGAGATCAGGAGATCGAGACCATCCTGGCTAACACGGTGAAATACCGTCTCTACTAAATATACAAAAAATTAGCCGGGTGTGGTGGCGGGCGCCTATAGTCCCAGCTACTCGGGAGGCTGAGGCAGGAGAATGGCATGAACCCGGGAGGTGGAGCTTGCAGTGAGCCGAGATCATGCCACTGCACTCCAGCCTGGGTGACAGAGCAAGACTCCGTCTTAAAAAAAAAAAAAGAAGATAAGTTATTCAAATATTTAACCATGAGGCAGTGAGATGTGCTATCAGAGGTATACAAGGCACTTTGGGGGTTTCATCCATTTTCTCAAACCATTAGGTAGGCATGAAGATGGAGAGGTGTCTTACAGGTAAATATAAATAAATAAAATAAAGCTTGCCTAGAAGTCACTTGGTAATTAAGTGGCAGAGTGTGGGCCTGATCTCATGTCTTCTAATGACACACTGTCTGCTCTCTTCACTCTAGCACAGCCTCTCCCTACGTAAAGTGATCTGGAAGTTCTCTTTGCCAGCATCTTCTTTCTAGATCTTCTTTGTCTTTCCTCAAACCCTCAGGAAGCATGTGCTCTTCCAGCTCTCAAGAAGAAGACATGGCTGCACTGCTCTTAGGGGATGTGGTCTGCAGGTGCTACTGGCGGGTGGAGCAGGGACAAACAGAAGGGGACTGGTTCCAGGGTCTTGTGTAGGCAGAGAACCGTGATTCTGCAGGTGGGACTCCCTGGCAGTATCGGAGTCACCGATGGAGCATCTAAGGACATCTGGGGACAACTGATTTTGCTCAAAAGTATTTGTTTTTGCTCTCTCTCAGGAGTTTGGGGCAAGAAATCTTCTGCTTCTCTCCAGATCCTATCTTCCTCCCTTCCACCCCATCATAACATTTTCACTTCCCCTTCCTCCTCTGTTTCTTTCTCTCTCTTCTCAGTAAGATTCCCCAACACACACACTTTTTTTTTTGGCATCTGGTTTTTTTGTTTGTTTGTTTTTTGTTTGTTTTTGTTTCTGTTTTTTTGTTTTTGTTTTTGTTTTTGCTTTTATAAGCTCCTTTTTTCTTGTCCCAAAATCTTCTCTTCTATGAGTCCTGAGTTGCTGGTCCCTGACCTCATAATCATAAACCTCATAGTCTCAGCCGCCTGCAGGCCTCCCTGTGCTGATTAGGATCAGCCTGTCTGGCACAGGGGGTCAGAAAGGGAAAGGCACAAGGCAGAGATGGAGAACACATTTCCAAAATCTGATCTTGTGACTCCATAAGTCCAACTCCACCACAATTTGGACTAATTGGACCTCAGTGAGGCTAAGTTACGGAACTATTGTTCGCCACTAAAGGAAAGCGTGAGGCGAGCACTCACTACACCTTTGGAGAAAGAACACTTTCTTTAAATGTTCTAAAGCCTCTTGCTTTGAGCTGCTTGTTGTGGGTTTTGTTGTTAGTTTGTTTGAACTATATTTTCAGGCACCTAAGTCACAGACTTTGAAAGCAGAAATAAAGCCCTTCTTTATTTTTCACAGGCCCTTGTTTGCAGGAACCCATGCTGGCTGCAGGCAGAAGTCGCAGAGTTTCAAGCATGTCTCATCTGTCTACAGGTAATTAGGCTGTGCTGTGGTAACGAGCACCCAGGGGACTGGATGGTGGGCACATTTTAAAAACCAAAGACGAATAATTGACAATTGCAGTCTCGTTCTCAGAAACTTCTGTTTGGGCTTCAAGACAGCGAAGGGCAGGAAAGACAGACACCAGAAGTGTCCCAGCTAAGATATGCAAGTTCTCAGCAGTGTCAGGGGAGCAAGAGTGGGGCATTTTAGAGATCAGATGAGATGACTGCGGCACAGTTACCAACATAAACGCCAACGTCTGTATGTACACAGCCCTTTGAGATTAAAACACTGCTACACATATAACACTCAATAAGGGAAGTGGGATAGGTGGGATGCTACTTTGTAGATGAGAAAAGAGGACCAGAGAAATTATACAATTTGCATGAGTCGCATAGTAAGAGGCAAAGGCAGGATTTCCAGCCAGGTGTGCTCCTTCCAAATTACCATAATTATCAAAAGCACTGGCACAGCAGTTATGTGATAAAACAAAGAACTGCGTTGAGAATCTAAGTCTCCTTAATTCCAGGTCAAAGTCTTTTTACTACCTAAAAAAACAAACTATGTAATCATATTTCTTTTCCTATTGTTCTTGGTAAAGATTAATCAGCGTTGTCTCTGGGTAAATAATAATAACATAAAAAAGAGGGCAAGTGTAATACAACAGCTCAATTCTTGTCCTATGGCATCTAGTCTTCTGAAACAATAGATATTGTACTTTATCTGGAGGGTAGAAGCAGCATTCTGCTTTCAGCTTCAGAGGTCTAGCTTAGAAAAACACAAAAATGTAAATATTGACAGGCTGGGTCAGCATCAGCGTTAGGAGGCAGAGTTATCCTGCATGAATTCATGCTTAGCGCAATTTAGAGATAATTCAAATTGTCCTACCAGAGTCCCAGTACATCCTAGTGAATTCCACTTATGTCTGAATGCTCACTACCCATGAGTGCCTAAGCACATAGGTAGTCTTGCCAAACTTCTTCAGTCTTTCCTATGGACAACACCCTCTGGCTCAAGGGCTGTGGAGGAAAGGGAGGGAGTCTCAGAATTTATCTTCATTCAATTCTGCTGTTTTCTTAGAAAACAGTGAGCTGTAACATGCCATCCATTTACACATCAACTCATCCAAGTTACTGTGAAAAATAAAATAGAATTCTGATCCTTTGGTTGGGCAATTAGTGACTTCTGCGTTCCAGTACTCGTTTTAACATAACCTAGATCCTGTGTCTACACAAAGTAAGAACAATGCAGGGTGAGGGGGGTTATCAGCCATGCAAACAAATAGCTGTAAAAACATAACGAAGGGCCAGAAAAATCCCAACTGGTTTTCTCCACCAGTGTAATGCCATGTTAGAATTCCTTTCCATTTCACTTCATTTTCTATTGTGTGACAGTCGTAGAGTCCTGACCTTTTCTGAGAGTGGCTGAGAAAGCGTTAAGTCCACAAAAGCTGATTATTCCGTCAAGTTTACACAGTGGGACAGTGACTCCTGGCTTAGGATTTACCATTAGGCTACACAGTCAGCCCCACACTGGTGTTCTAAAGTTTAGCTACAATGCTAAAGGCTCCAAAAGGCCACTTTCCTAATCCCATTCACAGACATCTACATTATCTCGTTTGAAAGTGTCAAGATGATGATCCTAACCCCCAGAGGCTTCACCTCATCATAACAAAAAACCTCATCACTTTAGATTCAGGACCCTGTGGAGTTCCCTTAGTGGGCAATGAGCCATTTGCCTATTGTCTATGGAAAAGCCTAGACTGTGAGCCCCTGGGGAGCTGAGGCTTTGCTTTTTTGAAGGTTGTATTTGCAGAGCTTAGTTTACAGGCAGTACACAAGCAGCATTCAGTGGTTACCTGTTAATCAATGAATGCACCTGCACGTTTAATTTGGGGAGATGACAGAGATAAGCCTAAGCCTGTCAATTTGATTTTCTTCAGCATTCTGGGACTCTGATTTGGCCCCTCATGCTCTGAAAAGGTCATGAAACTAACCCCGTGTAAAACTGCCAAGCTATAACCCAGACAGAAATGGCAGATCACCTGGTGGTGTGACCAACAGGTTCCTAATGCCCTCTGGTGGCCAGGATGATTCCAGATGTCCAAGTCCCCACAGCTTTCCTAAGGCTTTCAATTTAAGCACCCTGGAAGCCAAGAGCCTGCAGGTTTCACCTGATCCAAACAAGAGAGTCCTGGGTCTGTGGGCCAGAAACATGCCAGCCCCTTCCCAAAGTTCCCTGAGGAAGTTTCTCATCCGTTTCCTGAGAGCAGACGGATATGTCAAGAAGCCAAAACGGAAGCTTTTAATGTGAACTGCCTTTCAGTGAATGGTCTGTGGTTTCGAGAGTTCCCCGGGAAAAAAAAAAAATTCAAAGGAAGTAATAATTTCCAGTCTGGAATGTTCAGCTTTCCATTTGTTTGGGATTTTCAGATCAGCTCACCTTTCTGAGTGTTATAGACCTGTAGAAGCCTTCAAATTTTGTATTGCTAGCATTCCATGATTACATTCCCATTTTATGGAAAGACAAACTGAAGATACAAAGCAATTATTGAAAAAACAATAACCATTCTCTCAAGCCTACAGAAGGCTTTCATTTTTGTTTCATTTTAAACATGTGGTAAGTGAAAAAGAAACCTAAACTGCCACAGGGAGTTTTAGGGTAAATACCACAGGTGCAGGGATCTGCATGTTTTATTCCACTGTTGACTTCCCAGCACCTGAAACAGTGTCTGGCACATTGATATATATTTGGTGCATGAACGAATGAATGAACTGAGCCTGAAGATAAAGAGGTGTTTCTGATGACAATTATTGTATATTGGTACTAGTTAGTCCTTGTTTGGAGAAAATGTCATCTCCTCCCTTGAGAGCCCTTAAAAGAGAGTTGAATTCTCATTTATCTTAAAAAATATAAAATGTGAGGGCTGGAAGTCTTCATTGTCATTCATTTACTTCATAAATGAGTAAAATGAAGCTCAGAGAAGTTAAACAATAACACTCCATAGATCACAGAGCTATGTAGTGGCAGAGCCCAGAGTGAATCCAATTCTTCACCCCTAACAATTTCTTTAAAAAACAACAATGGGCCCGGCAGAGTGGCTCACACCTGTAATCCCAGCACTGTGGGAGGCCAAGGCAGGTGGATCACAAGGTCAGGAGTTCGAGACCAGCCTGGACAATATGGTGAAACCCCGTCTCTACTAAAAATACCAACATTAGCTGGGTGTGGTGGCACATGCCTGTAGTCCCAGCTACTCGGGAGGCTGAGGCGGGAGAATCACTTGAACCCAGTCGGTGGAGGTTGCAGTGAGCTGAGATCGTGCCACTGCACTCCAGCCTGGGTGACAGAGTGAGACTCCGTCTCAAAAAAAAAAAAGCAACAATGGGCTGGGTACAGTAGCTCACACCTGTAATCCCAGAACTTTAGGAGGATCACTTGAAGTCAGGAGTTCGAGACCAGTCTGGCCAACATAGTGAAAACCCGTCTCTACTCAAAATTCAAAAATTAGCCAGAAATCATTTGAACCCGGGAGGCAGAGGTTGCAGAGAGCTGAGATCGCATCACTGCACTCCAGCCTGGGCAACAGAGCAAGACTCTGTCTCAAAAAAAAAAAAAAAAGGAATAATGTTCAGTTTTTGACTGTGACCCACAATAAGAAGCACGATGTAACCCAGTATATATACATGCACATGCAAACAAGTGTGCACACAAAATACTGAAAAAGAATTTAAGAAACAACACTCACCTTCTCCATGTAAAGCAACCTGGTCTGATGTACAGTATATTCTATTTAATTTTTCATAATATTGTGCTCATAACTCCCTAAATTCATTTTACATCCTTAAATTTCAAAACACTTCACTATAGCATCTTGCCTACTATGCCCTCTCCCCTTGTACAGGGCTAAAGTCCTCCAGAATCTTCTGCCCATAAAGAGAACGAGAGTGATCAGCTTTTGGGGACCTGTTGGCCCAAAGTTCCTAATTCTCTGACTTGGTACAGGCCGTATCTCCCACTGTCAAGTTTCATCTAACTTGCAAGAGTCCAGTCCAAGCAACTCTCATTTCCAGCCAGGGTAACCACAACAGTGCATCTCAAACACAGACCCAAGTTATCCGCAGCAGCCTTGTGCCCGTCCTTGACTGGTTCTCTAACCCACAAGTTAGCAGGGATTTGCATCTCTACATAAAATAGCAAGTCTTTATCTCCCGCTGGCCCCTCTCCACTGCCGTCACTCTCCCCTTACCCTGGGAGCCTTCGAGGGGGGAGGATGGTGGCAGCCAGATGAAGAGCAGAGAAGGGTCAGAGCAGGACAAGTGGTTGGGTCTGAGGTCACCAGCTACATAAGTAGGTGTGAACAGATGGACTGCTAGACAGTCTTAAGGCTGTAGGCAGTCTCTCTCTCTCTCTCTTTCACACACACACACACACACACACACACATGCACACATGATTACAACATACTCTCCCTTCTTTTTAACTGTTTGATAATTTTCTCCACCATCTCTTCCCCCAACTTCTACCAAATTCTCTCCCTCTCTCTCTCTCTCTGTCTCTTGCTAACATAGTTAATATGGTGAGAAGACAGTTTCTTGGCTATTTCCCTTCTGACTGACAGGTTGAAGCTTTCTTCTCTGACTTCCCATTTTCCTGCTGAAAATCAGCAAGACAGGATTTGGCAAGAGAGTGCTTTGTGGTAGCCAGGGCTGAAAACCTCCCTACAGCAACCTGGGCACATTCCCACGACCCCCTGACAACAGGCGGAATTTCTAAGGTTGGCAGCTGAGCCCCTCTCATGAGCACTGCAAAAGCTGCAGGCTGCGTTTGTCTCTTAACGATGAGTATCGACTTGCCTGCAAGGCTGCGCAGTGAAGGCCATGAAACAGCAGACGAAGTTGAGTAATGCTTTGAATTTTTATCACCCATTTCAGATTTTCTCATGAATGATTTTTGACACTAGAGTTCCAGGTCTGGGGTTCTGCTCCAAAAGGAGAAGATTAGAATGAAGTTGGGAGGCAGAAGAGTACTACCCTAACCCTAGCTCTGCCACCAAAGTGCTGTGTGATCTTAAGTGCTTAACATCTCTGGCTCTCATTTATCTCAATTTTAAAATGTGAGATTAGATTTTAAAAACAACAATTGATCAGTTACCTTCAATGGTCTTTTCAGTTGTTCAGAAACTAATTTATTCTATTGAAAACAGTCAAATAAAGGAAATGAATCAAGCATTTGTTCTTGCTTTCCCATATCGACCACAATAGTGAGGAATCAGATACTTGCTGAAGAGAGGTACCTCTTTGAAAAGTATTCCCACAAATTAATAAAAAAGAAATGATAGAAGATTACTGTTTTGCAACATCTAGTGAATTGATGAATCTACACATGGAACAGTAATCACTGCTCACGCCACAAAAAGAGAGACAATCAGGCATTACGTGCTTCTCAATGAGAGAATATAACATTGTGTGCAATCCTGCCAAAAAGATTAGACCTAGGCAGATAAAACTTCTGAATTCAGCAACCAATTTGCAAGGAATAAAAGGGACAGAGAACATGTCAAACTGCACTCTGAGGATGAAATCAGCAAGTTCCAAACAGTGAGAAACACTGTAAGTCAAATGTCCTAGGTTCTTTCAAAAAAATAAGGTTAACAAAAAGAAAGACACGTAAGGTGAACTTGTAGAGTTAAAGCAACTTACAAGATGCGTCAATTTTTTCTTTTTCTAAGTGGCAAAGACTAGGCTAAAATGCCAGGAGAGTCACGGTTGGGTGATAAAACTAATGACAAGCAGGCCGGGCGCGGTGGCTCACGTCTGTAATCCCAGCACTTTGGGAGGCCAAGGCGGGCAGATCACCTGAGGTCAGGAGTTCGAGACTAGCCTCACCAACGTAGCGAAACCCCCTCTCTACTAAAAATACAAAAATTAGCTGAGCGTGGTTGTGCATGCCTGTAATCCCAGCTACTCGGGAGGCTGAGGCAGGAGAACTGCTTGAACCCGGGAGGCAGAGGTTGTAGTGAGCCGAGATTGCTGCCACTGCACTCCAGCCTGGGTGATGGAGTAAGACTCTGTCTTAAAACAATTTTACAAACAAACAAAAAACTAAAACAAAAAACAAAAAAAGCCTAACAACAAGAGACGAAATTATTATTATTATTATTATTATTATTATTATTATTATTATTATCATCATCATCATCATTATTTTGAGACTGAGTTTAGCTCTTGTTGCCCAGGCTGGAGTGCAATGGCATGATCTCAGCTCACTGCAACCTCCATCTCCTGTGTTCAAACAATTCTCCTGCCTCAGCCTCCTGAGTAGCTGGGACTACAGGCATGCACCATCACGCCTGGCTAATTTTTTTGTAATTTTAGTAGAGACAGGGTTTCACCATGTTGGTCAGGCTGGTCTTAAACTCCTGACCTCAAGTGATCCACCAGCCTCGGCCTCCCAAAGTGCTGGGATTACAGGCGTGAGCCTCCGTGCCCGGCCCAGGAAATGATTTATTTAAGAGCCAGAGGAATGATTGCCTTTGGGGAGGAAAGAGTCTGTGTTTGGATCAGGGTCCACAGAGGGCTTCTGAAGAAGCTAGCAGAGTTCTGTGTCATGTGTACTCTTTCCCGTATCTATGTTTTATTTTACAGTAAGATGGTTTAAAAAAAAAAAAGATTTTTAATCCTTTGGGTATATATACCCAGTAATGGGATTGCTGGGTCAAATGGTATTTCTAGTTCTAGATCCTTGAGGAATCGCCACACTGTCTTCCACAATGGTGGAAATAATTTACACACCCACCAACAGTGTAAACTATAATAAATAATAATAATAATAAAAGAGAGAGAGCGAGAGTATTAAAACCACCTTTACTTCCTCACGGAGCTAGAACATTGGGATTCCGGGATTCCAAATCTGGAAAGCTACAAGGGTTACAATTGTGAGGTCACTTGGGAGGCAATGAGGAGGAAAGAGAGCAGAAAGTCTGAAGTGGTTCCAGGTGCAGAACCAGGTAGACCTGGCCTTGAATCCTCACTCTGTCACTTACTGTGATGCTGGGAAATTCAGCTAACCAGTCGAATCCCATTTTCCCTGTTTACTAAGTGGAGATAATAAGAATGCCTGCCTTGCTGTTGTAACAATTAAATGAAACAGCCCCTCGGAGTTTTTAGCATAGACTCTGACACACACCTCGTACTCAATACAGGCTGGCTAATAAAAATAACAATGATGATGACGACCTTTGTTATTATTATCTATCTGGCTATTTGGACACCCCTAATCAGACATAAACCAGAAAGCAGAATGCAAGAACATGGTCCTTGGCCGGGCGTGGTGGCTCGTACCTGTAATCCCAGCACTTTGGGGAGGCCGAGGCGGGCAGGTCACCTGAGGTCAGGAGATTGAGACCAGCCTGGCCAACATGGTGAAACCCTGTCTCTACTAAAAATACAAAAATTAGCTGGGTGTGGTGGCACACACCTGTAAGCCCAGCTACTTGGGAGGCTGAGGCAGGAGAATCGCTTGAACCAGGGAAGCGGAGGTTGCAGTGAGCCAAGATTGCACCCTTGTACTCCAACCTGAAAAGAACGTGGCCTTTTGGGGACATTAGTGATGAAGGTGGATGCAGAGCGGGTAGCTTCACAAGCCTTCTGGCTGTCTCATGCTCACCCCAGTGTAACAACCAATGGACACACTGACTCCTCCATTCATTCTTTTCTTTTCTTTTTTTTAAGACAGGGTCTTGCTCTGTCACCCAGGCTGGAGTGAGTGATGAGACCACGGCTCACTGCAGCCTCAACCTCCCAGGCTCAAGCTATCCTTTCACCTCAGCTTTCTGAGTAGCTGGGACTGCCGGCACATGCCACCACCCCTGGCTAATTTCTTTGTTTTTGTTTTTATTTATTTACTTATTTTTTGGTAGAGACAGGGTCTCACTATGCTGTCCAGGCTCTCAATTCCGTCTTCCTTCCCCCACCCCTGCCACCACACTAAATATTAAACCTGGCTTTCCCCAAAGCCATCTTCATCAGATTAGTCTGGCGGCTTGCCTGTCCTTGGTTCTTCCAGTCTCCAGATGGAGGAGCCTCTTACAGCAACACTTGCTGTTTCCATCAGTCACTGGGGCCATTTTGTGTGAGGGAGGCCATCAGGATGAGCAAACTCCCGTGGGAGGCAGTAGGGTCCAGAGGTTAAGAGCATGTGCTCTGCACGGGGCCAACAGCCCATGCCTGCCTACTGAGTGACTGTGGGGATGAGGTCCAGAGCGGACGCAACAGGCTGTGACACCTGGGAGCACAACACATGCCAGGAGTCACCGGGATGCTTCTAGCAGAATAGCCAAATACCCTCCGCTCTTCTTACTTTAACTTCTTGGGACAGAGGGAGGGGCAAAGTAGGAGAATCCTGTGCCATTTGGGGTTACAGCTGAATCCATCCTTCACGTTACTGTTGAAACAATTTCATCATATCTGCATGACAGTGGGCAAGTTACCAAACCTCATTCTGCCTTCATCTCTTCATCTAGAAAGTGGAAATAAGAGAACCTACTTCATATGGTTGTTTAGGGGCTTAATGAGTTAAAATATATAAATTGCTTTCAATAATGACTGGCATATTGTTAGAGAGAGAGAGCATGCTCTGTTTTCAGACCTTCTGAGTTCAGGTACTAGCTTCTTCCCTTATTAGTTCAATAAACTTGGAGAAGTTGTTGCATCCCTCTACATTTTTGCTTTTTCATCTATAAAATGAGGGTAGTAATAGCACCCAGCTCCCTGCTCAGCAAAGAAATCAATCAATAAAATACTGGAGTAATATAAGGAATGACAGAACATATATGCAAACCATATACTGTAGACTGAATATTATGTTTCCCTGTAATTCATATGTTGAAATCCTAACCCCCAGTACGATGGAATTAGGAGGTGAGTCCTTTGGGAGGAGGTTAGGTCATGAGGGTGGAGCCCTCATGAATGGATTAGTGTCCTTATGAAAGAGACCCCAGAGAGCTCCCTCACCACTTCTGCACATGAGGACACAGCAAGAAGATGGTGAGGAAACAGTCCCTCACCAGACATCAAATCTGCCCACATCTTAATGTTGGACTTCCAGCCTTCAGGACTATGAGAAATACATTTCTATATATTTATTTTCTTTCTTTTTTGAGACAGAGTTTCGCTCTTGTTGCCCAAGGGGAATTGCAATGGCACGATCTCGGCTCACTGCAACCCCTGCCTCCCGGATTCAAGCGTTTTTCCTGTCTCAGCCTCCCGAGTAGCTGGGATTATAGGTACATGCCACCATGCCTGACTAATTTTTGTATCTCTAGTAGAGGCGAGGTTCCATCATATTGGTCAGGCTGGTCTTGAACTCCTGACCTCAGGTGATCTGCCTGCCTCGGCCTCCCAAAATGCTGGGATTACAGGCGTGAGCTACCATGCCTGGCCTGATTTCTATTTTTTATAAGGTATCCGGTCTATGGTGTTCTGTTACAGTACCCCAAATGGACTCAGATACCATATATCCAATAATAGGTTAATATAGAAAATATGCAAGGAACTCCTACAACTCAATAGCAAAACACCAAATAACCCAATTACAAAATGAACCAAAGACATTAGTAGACATTTCTCTAAAGAAGACATATAAATGGTTACCAGGTTCAAATCAAAACAACAATGAGATATTACCTCACACAAGTTAGGATGCTATTGTAAAACAAAAACAAATACAAGGGCCAGGTGCAGTAATCCCAGCACTTTGGGAGTTAGGGGCAGGTAGATCACTTGAGGTCAGAAGTTTGAGACCAGCCTGGCCAACATGGCAAAACCCTGTCTCTACTAAAAATACAAAAATTAGCCAGACGTGGTGGCGTGGTGGGTGGTGCACATTTAATTCCAGCTACTCAAGAGGCTGAGGCAGGAGAATTGCTTGAACTCGGGAGACGGAGGTTGCAGTGAGCCGAGATCATGCCACTGCACTCCAGCCTGGGCAACAGAGCAAGACTACATCAAATAAATAAATAAATAAATACAAAAGGTAAGTGTTGGTATGGTAAGGATGTGGAGAAAAGGGAACTCTTGCACACTGTTGGCGAGAATGTAAATTTGTACAGCCACTATAGAAAACATTATGGAGGTTCCAAAAAAAATAAATAAATAAAATACTGTATGATCCAGCAATCCCACTTCCGGGTATTTATCCAAAGAAACTGAAATCAGGATCTCAAAGAGATGCCTGCACTTCCATGTTCATTGCAGCACTATTCACAATAGCATGAATAACATGAATAACACTATTCACAATAGGATGAATGGATAAAGAAAATGTGGCATACTTAAATACAATGGCATATTCTTCAGCCTTTAAAAAGAAGTCAGTACTATCACTTGGGACAACATGGATGAACCTGCAGGACATTATGTTAAGTGAAATAAGCCAGGCACAGAAAGACAAATAATGCGTGATCTCACTTATATATGGAATCTAAAAAAGTCAAAGTCGTAGTAACAGAGAATAGAATGTTGTTTGCCAGAGACTGGGAGAGAGGGAAATGAGGAGTATAAGTCAAGGTGTACAAAGTGTCAGTTATAAAAGATAAGTAAGTCCTAGACATCTCCTGGGCAGCATAGTGCCTGCAGTTAACAATATTGTTTTGTATACTCAAAAATTTGCTAAGAAGGTAGATATTATGTTGTTTCCTTATCACATACATATAATAATAATAATAAAAGTGGGTGGGAGGAAATTTTTGGAGACAATGGACAGATTTATGGCACAGGTTGTGATGATGATTTCACAGATGTATACTTATTCCTAAACTCATTGAGTTGTATACATTAAATATGTACAGCTTTTTGTATGTCAAGCATACCGCACTAAAGTTGTTTTTTAATAAGATATTCAAATAAAAAAAGAAAATATATAAATGACCGATAAATACATGAAAAGAAACTTAGTGACATTAGTCAACAGGGAAATGTAAATAAAACCACAATAGGATACCACTACACACCTATTAAAATGGCTAAAATAAAAAAATTGACAATACCAAGTGGTGCCAAGGATGTGGAACAACTGGATTTCTCATACACTGCCAATGGGAGTATAAATTGATACAAGTATGCTATGGTTTGAATGTGTCCCCTAGATTTCATGTGTTCAAAAATTAATCCCAAAATTAATATGTCGATCTATTTGAAGGTGGGCTCTTTGGGAGGTATTTAGGATTAGATAAGGTTATTAGGGTGAGCTCTTATGATGCAATTGGCAGCTTTATAAGAAGAAGAGAGACCTTAGCTGGCATGCTCTTGCTCTCTTGCCATGCAATGACACAGCAAGAAGGCCCTCACCAGTGCCTTCTTGAAGTTAACTTTCCAGCCTCCAGAACTGTAAGAAATATAGTTTTTAAACTTTTCTTTATAAATTATCCAGTCTGTGGTATTCTGTCATGGTAAGAGAAAATTAACTAAGATAAAGCACTTTGGAAAACTCATAGTTTTTCAAACATACATTTACTATACGACTGAGCAATTTCACTCCTGAGTATTTTCTCTAGAGGAACAAATTCATGTCTATGCAAAGATTTGTACCTAAATGTTCTTAGCAGTTTAATTTTTAATAGCCCAGAATTAGAAAAAATCCAAAAGTCCGTCTACAGGTGAATAGATAAATTATGGTATACCCAAACAATGGAATACTCTTCATTAATAAAAAGGAACAAGCTACTGTTATTTGCAGCTATGTAGATGAATCTCAAAACCATTATATATGCTGAGGGTAAGAGGCCAGATGGGAAAGTACATATTCTATGTACTTATACATGAAATTCTAGGTTGGGTGTGGTGGCTCACACCTGTAATCCCAGCACTTTGGGAGGCCAAGGTGGGAGGATTGCCTGAGCCCAGGAGTTCGAGACCAGCCTGGGCTACATAGCAAGACTCTGTCTCTACAAAAAACAAAAAATAAAAAAATTAGTCAGATGTGGCGGCACACTCTGGGGTCCCAGCTACTTGGGAGGCTGAGGCAGGAGGATCACTTAAGCCTGAGAGTCGAGGCTGCAGTGAGCCATGATTGTACCTCTGCACTCCAGCCTGAGTGAGAGCCTGTCTCAAACAAGATTTTTTTAATCTAGAATAAGCAAAATTAATCTAGTGACAGCAAATCAATGATTGCCTGGGTCAAATATTTTTCATTTGTTTTTGTTTTGTTTTGTTTTGTTTTGTTTTGTTTTTTGAGACAGAGTCTCGCTCTGTCACCCAGGCTGGAGTGCAATGGCATGATCTCAGCTCACTGCACTGCAAACTCCCGGGTTCAAGCAATTCTCTTGCCTCAGCCTCCCGAGTAGCTGGGATTACAGGTACCCACCACCATGCCCAGCTAACTTTTTTTTGTATTTTTAGTAGAGATGGCATTTCGCCATGTTGGCCAGGCTGGTCTCGAACTCCTGACCTCAGGTGATCCTCCCGCCTCTGCCTCCCAAAGTGCTAGGATTACAGGCGGGGGACACCACACCTGGCCTGTTTTGTTTTTTAATTGAACGAAGATAAGCACAGGAAAAAATGTTAGGGTAATGGGAAACATTCTGTATTTTGATTTTGGTGTTATAAAATGTATACATTTGTCAAAACTCATCAATCTGCATTTTATTATATGTAAATTATACCCCAGTGAAGTTGAGTTAAAAAAAATAGTACTCAGCTTGCTGGATTGGTATGAATATTAATTAAGATTCTGCAAGTAAAGATCTTGCTCACACAAAATATTCAATAAATATTAGCTATCATTATCCCCATAATGACAGATAATTAGCAAAGTTTCTGTTTTTCCCTCTCTGCCTAAATTAGAGCAAAATGCACAAAATATTTCAACAGGAAACCCCAGTCTGTAGCTAAGTCCTTGTCTCTAGGCACCAAGATATTCTTGCAAACCACAAAGTAAAATCCCTGAGGTCAAGAATAGGCAGTTCTCTCTGGATTCATCACATTTGGGGTGGGAGAGGCAGCAGAGCAGTGGGACACATGGCACAGCACTTCTAAGTCATAAGGAAATAGAAGTGCATATGGGGGCTGGGAGTGGTGGCTCATGCCTGTAATCCCAGCACTTTGGGAGGCTGAGGCGGGCGGATCCCCTGAGGTCAGGAGTTCGAGATCAGCCTGGCCAACATGGCGAAACCCCATCTCTACTAAAAATACAAAAATTAGCCAGGCGTGGTGGTACATGCCTATAATCCCAGCTATTTGGGAGGCTGAGGCAGGAGAATTGCTTAAACCTGGGAGGCGGAAGTTGTAGTGAGCCAAGATTGTGCCATTGCACTCCAGCCTGGACAACAAGAGCTAAGCTCTGTCTCAAAAAAAAAAGAAGAAGAAGAAAAGAAAAGAAAAAAGAAAAAAATGCATATGGGGAAGCAGCAAGAGGACTTTTCCATCTAAAAAAAAAAAAGGAAAGAAAAGAAAAGAAAAAAGAAAAAAATGCATATGGGGAAGCAGCAAGAGGACTTTTCCATGGAGGAGTCTGGTGGGTCAGGGAAGCCAAGGAGTAGCAAGGAGGGGGAAAGGAACTTTCCTCTGTACCACAGCTGGGTCCATTCATCGACCCCAGCCTCAGTTTTTCAAAGAATGACCAAGTTATTACTACTACTAAATATAAGCTACTAATAAATAGATTACAGTCTTCTAGTCTTTATCCTAGTTGCCTTTTATCTCTGATACCTCCTTTGAGTTTCCCAACAGTTCTGCAAGACAGAAAATATTTTTAAAAGGAGATCCTATTTCACAGAAGAGAAAAAGAAACTTCTCTAAGGTCACTGAGTAACTTAGGTCTCTTTATTACCTAACCAGGGCTCTTTGGTTGAGCACAGGGGTTTTCATCCTTGGCTATTCATTGGAATCACTTGAAGAGCTTTAAAAAATACTGATGCCTGGGTCTCACCCACAAAGATTCTCATCTCTTTGGTCTGAGGTGCAGCCTGGATGTTGGAATTTCTAAACACGATTTAACTGGTTGTAATGGAAAGCTAAGATTGAAAACCACTACTCAAGCATACGTGACTGCTTGGATAAGTAAAACCTACACCTCACCTGGGGGAACTCTGATATTTTCTTTGTCCTTTTTGGTGAGGAAGGTAAACAGGCAAAGGAAACCATGCAAACGTTCACTTTTTGTTGTTGTTGTTGTTGTTGTTAATGAGGGCAGGCATCATTTGGCTGTATATGAAGGGGATGTATTGGAAACTTGGGGAATGTATAAAGGGAAACATGAGCCTTAAAGAAAGGAGAATTCATGTTTCCCTTTATACCTTCCCCCAATTTTACTATGTAATCTTATTTAATTTTATTTATGTTTAGCTGAGAAAGAAAGCCACTTTTAATAAAGAAGCCTTTCCTTAGTATGAAAATCTACACAATAATACCTTTGCAGAAATTTTCTTTCCCAGAATCTGTTTTATTTCATTAAACTAGAATTTATTAAGAACCCAAAACATTCATGCAACATTCATTGAGATCCTGGCTAAATGAGTATGATACAGTCCTATACTTAGGGGATTATAAACTTGTAGGGGGGATGCTATGTTTCAAATGTTTGGCCCCTCCAAAATTCATTTTGAAATTTAATCATAACAGTATTAGAAAGTGGGAACCTTAAGAGGTGATTAGGCCATGAGGGCTCCCCACCATGGGTGGGATTGGTATAAAATGGTGAGTTTGGCCCTCTCTTGTTCTCTTTTTTGTCTCTTCCACTCTTCTGTCAAGTGAGGAACAGGGTTCCTCGCCTCCAGAGAAGGCAATGTTCAAGTTGCCATCTTGGAAGCAGAGACCAAGCCCTTACCAAACACTAAACCTGCTGGCACCTTGATCTTGAACTCCCCAGCCTCTAGAACTGTGAGAAATAAACTTCTCTTATTTGTAAATTACCTAGTCTGTGGTATTCGGTTATAGCAGCACAAAATGATTTAAGGCAGGGAACAAGACAGGTACATAAATAACTACCAGAAAAAGTTTATGCTAAGTTCATGAACATACTTAGAATGGAGCTTAGCACATAGAAGATGCTCAAGAATTATCTAAGAAAAATGAAAAGAAGAGAAGAGAGATGGGAGAAAGAAGGGAAGGACAGAAAAGGTAAAAAGTACTATGGAGGTTTCAAGATGAAGCATCACAATGTGTTGGGAGGAGGCTGCAATTGCAGCCTTGAAGAGAAGATTGGAGTCCACAAATACGGAAGTGGAGAGGCCGTTCCATTTGGAAGGAATAGTATATGCAAAAGCAAGAATATGTTAAAGCCTGGCCATGTTTGAGAGACACAAAATGGTATCATTGGATAGAGCAGAAGGAATCTCAATGCTGATAGTAAGAGAGAAAATTATAAACTAGAAAGCTGTTGCCAATATAAAAAAATGGACAGAATAATGTTCTTATTTTTAATAGCAGGCAAAAGAATGACCATATGTCCTGGATTTCTCAAGGCAGTACTAATTTACATGTCTGGTTCATGCGTAATTGCTAATAGCATCTCATTTCATTCTCAAAATTGCTCTGGTTTGGATAATAAATTATATGATCATCTTAGTAACAAGAAACCTTTAAACCATTTTTTAAAAATCAGAGTGCAAAAGAGTAGAATAAGGATGACCTTTTCAGAGTTGCATTTTACCAAGATTCATCAGGCAGTTGTAAGGGATTTGCAGTGGAAAGAGAATGAAATTGAAGAGAGATGGGAAGATCATTCAGAGGTTATAGGTTTACTCTATTCAAAGATAAAAAGAGCCCCAGTCGAGGTGCTGGCCAAATGTGGTAGACAGACCATGAGACAGCCCCAGCAAACCCCACCTTCTGGTGTTCAAGCCTGTGTAGTCAGTCCCCTTCCACATTGAAGAGGGTGGACCTGGGTAACCAACAGGGGATTACAAAGACAACAGGATGTGACTTCTGTGGGGAGCTTGTAAAAACAATAAACAAAACAAACAAAAACCACCGTGGCTTTCTCAATCTCTCAGATCATTCATTCTGGGAGAAGGCAGCTAACATGTTCTTAGGGTTCTCAAACAGCCCAAGGAAAGATGCACGCGGTGAGAAACTGAGACCTATCATTGCCAGCATGCATTAGCCATCTCTGTGAGTGTGCCATCTTGGAACTGGATCCTCCAGCCCCAGTCAATGCTTCAAATGACTGCAGCCACGGTTGCCATCTAAGCACAACCTCCTGAGAGAGCCTAGGCTAAAACCACCCTGTCAGGCTTCTCCCAAACCAGATTCTGTGGCAATAAACCGTGGTTATTAATGTTTTAACTTGCTATGTTCTGGGTAATTTGTTATGTGGAAACATATAATAGACATTAGAAATAAAAAGGAAAGGATAAAGATAAATTGCACAGGGAAAGCTAAAGTAACTGGCATTTGGTTCTCCCTCCCAGCACTTTCCCTAATAACTGCGTGTTATTGGGGAAATTACTTAATGTATAGGAGTCTTGATTTCCTCATCTGTAAAATACCCAGGCCTGACTAATGATCTTCAATGTCCCTTCTAGCATCCAAATTAAATGATTTCATTATTCTAAAAGCTCATTTATTAGTCACAGAGCAGGGTTTAGAAATTATCATATTATCTGGAGAGCTCTCTGAGTGTCTGGCCTCATCCTGTTCAACAATCTTATCAATGACTGAACTGAAGATACAAAAGGCATTCTTGTCAAAACCAAAGGCGAAGTGAAACTCAGAAGAAAAGTGGTTGAAGTAAAACGTCTAAAAATCTTGAAATTCATGAACAATGAGCCAAATATAACAAGATGAAATGTAACAGACTCACAGGCAGCCTGTGAAGTTCTGAAAATTTATCTCTAGGAGTATAAAAGTAGATAGGAGTAATATTAACTATTAGTCAGTAGTATGAACTAGTTGCCAAGGAATAAATCCTGCCTTTCTTTTATTGGATTCATAAATTCATTCAACAGTCACCCAAGCACTGCACCAGGCATTAGGGCTGTAGTGATGACTAAGACACAGACTTTATAGAATGATAAAACTTAAAATTAAGGGAGGAGAGAATCCCATTTTCCTCTTTGCTTGGTCATGCATACTGTATAATATGAGTATCAGGCCATAATTCCATAGCTTTATAGGTAGACTGAAGTTTGGTCTGAGGAGAGTTGCCAGAATTGATATGAAACTGACAGTAATCTGAGTCAACCAACCTTTATTGAGTGGTTTCTCTGTGCTCTGCCCAGGGATAAGATATCCAAAGAAAAGAGAGGATGGCTTAGGATAGAATCTTGCCAAACACCAATACTTAAAGGACAAGCAGAAGAGCAGAGTCTGAAAAAAGGCTGAGTAGGAGTGGCAGGAGAAATAGGAGAAAAACCTGGAGGCTAAAACTAGAATGCATTCAGAGGGCAAAGACATACGATCTGGAGACTTGTCCCTGCTTTCATTCTCCTCTTCTACCCTTTCTAACTTACTCATTCTGACCCAGTCACATGGGCTTCTGGTTGTTCTTCAAGTGTACCACACTCCTTCCTAACTCCGGGTCATTGTCTTCGCTGTTCCCACTGATTGCATGCTCTTCCCCCAGGATCCATGAATGGTCCAGTCCCTCACTCTATTCAGATCTCAGCTCAGATGCCACCTCCTCAGAGAGGACTTCACTGTTCAGCTGAGCTAAAGTAATAACCTCTCTACCCTCTGCCCTCAGAATTTGTCACTAATCTCCTGACATTTTGTAAATGTACTTGCTCCTCTGTTTGTTATCCCTGGCCCCATGCACACGCAGTGGCTTGGAAAGAGCAGTGATTCCACCTGCCTCTTTCATAGATGTATCCACATGGCA
Source organism: Homo sapiens (assembly GCF_000001405.40). NCBI lineage: Eukaryota > Metazoa > Chordata > Mammalia > Primates > Hominidae > Homo > Homo sapiens. Next base: position 123,391,820 of record NC_000011.10, on the reverse strand, counting down.
TAGTGCCATGTCTGGTACATTGTAAGTGCTTAGTCACATATTTGGTGAAAGAATTAAGTAAAATTGGCCGGGTGTGGTGGCTCACACCTGTAATCCCAGCACTTTGGGGGGCCAAGGTGGGCGGATCAATTGAGGTCAAGAGTTCAAGACCAGCCTGACCAACATGGTGAAACTCCATCTCTACTAAAATACAAAAATTAGCCAGGCGTGCTGGCAGTCACCTGTAATCCCAGCTACTTGGGAGGCTGAGGCAGGAGAATTGCTTGAACCCAGGAGGCGGAGGTTGCAGTGAGCCGAGATCATGCCACTGCACTCCAGCCTGGGTGACAGAACGAGACTCTCTCTCTCAAACAAACAAACAAACAAAAAACAAACTAAAATCAAGATGCCAAGAAGGACTTTAGTGATCTCGGCAGAGAGATTTCAATGAGGTGACAGAAAGTTAGATATATAAGGAACAATAGATTATACAAGGTCTGAGAAAGCAAGAGAAGATTAGACTCACAACACTAATGGTGAGAGAAAGAGTAAGGCTGCAGGTAAGCTCCTGGGTATGGGGTAAAGAAGTTGCAAGAGCTCTCATCTCATGATTTCAATTTTATTTTTAAAATAGTACTAAGAATCTGTCAGCTGAGATGAAGTAGGGCAAGTGGCGGGATTATGGGCTTGAGGAAAGTGGAGATCTGAAATAGCTAATGTGAAAAAAGAGCAGAGCTGGGTAGAGAGAAATGTGATGTCCAGCAAGAAGGGCCAAGTTTAGAAACTGCAAATTTAGAGTGGCACAGGCCATGTGCTTGTGTGCGTCCCTCCGGTAACACTCAGTGGCCTAGAAGAAGGAAAGGCGGGCAGCTGAGTGGATCTAAGCCTGGGTTGCAAGCTGCATTCAGTCAAAGGGCAGTGAGCATGAGAGTTAAGGATACTGGGAAGAGAGTGGTGGAGTAAAGTGCCATGGAATCAAGTGAGATGGGAAGAAAGGGAAGCTAAGGGAGCTCCTAGATGAGGTCATGGAAAGCAAACATGAGTTTGGCCTAGATGGGGTCAAAGAAAAGTGGCATACCAGTCTGCCACTATCAACCAGTTGAAAGGACAGAAATTATCAATCCTGCAAAGGAAATAAGCAATGGGAGTGAGGGAGAGCAAAAGAATGTCTTCAAAAACTAGAAAAATTACCTGGAAAGGTTGTATTTGACATATATTCTATATGGACTCAAAGCCATTATAAAATTCTATAAATAGAAATTACACACGGATTTGACCCATGTAAAAAAATGCTGAGAATCATAACAGTAGTGAAAATTCATTACAAAGATAAAAACTCTTTTATTTTGTTTTGTTTTTGGACGGATATCCATTTCTAGAGATAGATGCTCAAGGAAGATTGGGAGGTTATGAGGAGAAGAGGGATTCAAGGAGCAGGGTGATGCGTACAGAGTGCCAGACGTTGCTCAGCAATGCCCAGAGACAGGCAGGAGGTGAGGAAGGAAGCAGATGGGTGGACACAGGGGCTCCTTCCCCACTGCCGCCAGAGCAAGTCTGCATTTATTTCATGTCATTGGACTTCCACTTAATATCATGTTTGGGTAGTGTTTTTGTATAAAGAAATCAATATCAAACACCATTTGACCAGGTGACTTTTGAGGTTCTTTCCAAGTCAGAGAGTCTCTCTCTCTTTTTTTTTTTTTAATGAATTGATGTGAACATTAGCTATTTGTTAAATCAATTTTTTTTTATTTTAGAAGAGTTTAAAATTTACAAAAAAGCTGTGGCCAGGTGCAGTGGCTCACACCTGTAATCCCAGCACTTTGGGAGGCCGAGGCAGGCAGATCACTTGGGGCCAGGAGTTTGAGACCAGCCTGGCCAACATGGTGAAACCCTGTCTCTACTAAAAATGGGAAAACATTAGCCAGGCACTGTGGCATACGCTTGTAATCCCAGTAATCACAGCTACTCAGGAGGCAGAGGCACAAGAATCGCTTGAACCCAGGAGGCAGAGGTTGCAGTGAGCCCAGATTGTACCACTGCACTCCAGCCTGGATAACAGAGTAAGATTCTGTCTTCCCACCCCACCTAGAAAAAAGTTGTGAAGATAATACACAGAGCTCTTATAGACTCCACACCCGGTTTCTTCTATTATTAACATCTCACGTTAGTATGGTGCATTTGTTGAAATCATTATACCAACAATCAATATTAATACATAATTATTAATTAAACTCCATTCTTCATCCAGTTTTCCTTAACTTTTACCTAATTTCCTATTTCCATTCCAGGATTCCATCCAGGACGCTGCATTACATTTTCTCATCTTATCTCCTTAGGCTCCTCTTGGCTGACAGTTTCTTAGACTTTCCTTATTTTTGATGACTTGGACAGTTTTGAAGAGTACTGGTCAGGTATCTTACAGAAGCTGCCTCAGTTGGGATTTTTTTTTTTTTTTGACATGGACTCTGGCTCTGTCACCTAGGCTGGAGTGCAGTGGCTCGATCACGGCTCACTGCAAGCTCTGCCTACCAGGATCTCGCCATTCTCCTACTTCAGCCTCCCAAGTAGCTGGGACTACAGGTGCCCACCACCAGGCCTGGCTAATTTTTTGTATTTTTAGTAAAGACGGGGTTTCACCATGTTAGCCAGGATGGTCTCAATCCCCTGACCTCGTGATCTGCCTGTCTCGGCCTCCCAAAGTGCTGGGATTACAGGTGTGAGCCACCGTGCCCGGTCGGGATTTTTTTACTGTTGTTTTTCTCATGATTAGACTGTGGCAGTGGGTTTTGGGGAGGAAGATCACAGAGGTAATGTGCCATTGTCAGCACATCGTCTCAGGAGTATGTACTATTATAATATCAATGTGACTCATCATTGATGTTGACCTTGATCCCCGGACTGAATGTCTTGGTCTGTTCGAGATGCTGTAACAAAACACATGAACCTGGATAGCTTTTAAACATTAGAAATCTATTTCTCACAGTTCCGGAGGCCAGGAAGTCCAAGATCAGGGTGCCAGCATGGCTGGGTTCTAGCAGGGCCCTCTTGCAGGTTGCAGGCTGATGACTTCTCACTGTCCTCACACAGCAGAAGGGGCAAAAAAGCTCCCTCTGACCTCTTCTTTGTTTGTTTGTTTGTTTGTTTGTTTGTTTGTTTGAAACAGGGTCTCACTGTCATTCTGTTGCCCAGGCTGGAGTAGGGCAATGGTGCAATCTTAGCTCACTGCAGCTTCAACCTCCCTGGCTCAAGTGATCCTCCCACCTCAGCCTCTCGAGTAGCTGGGACTACAGGTATGTGCCACCATGCCAGGCTAATTTTCATGCTTTTTTGTAGAGACGGGGTCTTGCCATGTTGCCCAGGCTGGTCTCAAACTCCTGGACTCAAGTGATCTGCCTGCCTCAGCCTCCCAAAGTTCTGGGATTACAGGTGTGAGCCACCGCACCCAGCTCCTCTGACCTCTTCTTATAAGGGAATTAATCCCATTCATGTGGGCTCCTTCTTATGACCTAATCACCTTTGAAAGGCCCCACCTCTTAATACTACCACATAAGGGATTAGGTTTCAATATGAATTTTGGGGTTCATATTGGGGGATACCAACATTTAAATCATAGCACTAAGGTAGTGTTTGCCAGTTTTCTCCACTATAAAGTTACTATTTTTCCCCCTTTCCATACTAACCATAGCTATTTTTTTTTTTTTTTTTTTTTGAGGAGGAGGAGTCTCGCTTTTGTCGCCTAGGCTGGAATGCAATGGTACAATCTCGGCTCACTGCAACCTCTGCCTCCTGGGTTCAAGCGATTCTCCTGCCTCAGCCTCCCAAGTAGCTGGGATTACAGGCACCTGCCACCACACCTGGCTAATTTTTTTGTATTTTTAGTAGAGATGGGGTTTTGCCATGTTGGCCAGGCTGGTCTTGAACTCCTGACCTCAGATGATCCACCTGCCTCGGCCTCCCAAAGTGCTGGGATTACAGGCGTGAGCCACCACACCCGGCCAACCATAGCTATTTTTAAATAATCACATATAATCTGTATTTGTGGGCCTTGTTATTTGAAAGAAAAAAGGGTTGCACATTCCTAGGCCAAACAGGCTACTTGTGGGGCGGGGCGGGTGGGGGCGGGAGGGCAGGGGCAGGCTGATGCTTGTCTCTATGCACACTGAGGGCCAGGAAACAAAACCCTGAGATGTCTGGAAATGCTGGAGCTGGAATCCAAGTAGTAAAGGAACTTGTTGGCTTTGTGGATCCATAAGCACAGAGAAGAGCCTGGGGGTGGGTGCTTTGTCCTTTGAGAAGCCCTCCAAACCCACTCACCTGGCACAAGAGCCCACTCTCCCTGCAATGCCCATCTTTTGTTTGCCAGCCAAAGAACACTGCCTCAGTGACTTTGGGGAGTTTTGTTTCCTCCATTCCTTCTAAATACAGTCTGGCTGTGATGATAAACACTGGGCCTCATGTACATGTGTGTAGGCCTGTGTGTCAGCAAACACGCTGCCTTTCTGGAGTGCGTGGCATCCACTGCGAGCCGTGACTCCAGGAGAAGCCTGTGCCAAATTAGTCCTTGTCTGAAAAATCTTCCTGGGGATACTTCACATCCAGAGCCATTAGTCATGAAGCCAGACGATACTTCTTAAAATGCCAGCATTTTGGTATTCAATAGCTTTGCACTCCCTGACCTGGGAGGCTCAGAGACTGCTTCTAGCTGCTTCTACCTTTCACATCTCACCTCCTTTCTGAAAATAATCTAAACTACAAAACGTCTCTGCCAAAAGACCCTCTAAGCACTTAAACAGCTGCAGTCATGGTCTAACAGGCACCCAGCAAACACATGATGAAGTGGTTCCATGCTCATGAAATGGACTAGGCATTCCTTCCTGTTTCCCTCACACAAACTGAAGACAGAGGCTGATGTCATCTTCCTCCACTTATGGACAAGCCCAGCAAGAGTGAAGAATTTGCTAAATATTTCACAGCCAAGGAAAGGGGTTCATCTGCCGAGCATGCTCTGCCTAGCTGCGGCTACTGCCGATGCACTGTGGCCAGTGGGGACTGGGCAGCTTTCTGTTTTTTAAGGAAGAAGTATAGTGTGAGGCTGGGCATGGTGGCTCATGCCTGTAATCCCAGCACTTTGCGAGGCTGAGGCAGGCAGATCACCTGAGGTCAGGAGTTTGAGACCAGCCTGGCCAACATGGTGAAACCCTGTCTCTACTAAAAATACAAAACAAAACAAAAAATTAGCTGGGTGTGGTGGCTGGTGCCTGTAATCCCAGCTACTTGGAAGGGTAAGGCAGGAGAATCGCTTGAATCTGGGAGACAGAGGTTGCGGTGAGCCAAGATCATGCCATTGCACTTCAGCCTCAGTGACAGAGTGAGACTCCATCTCAAAAAAAAAAAAAAAAAAAAGTATATTGTGAGTAACATTCAAAGTGAAATTCTAAGAATCCGGGGATGGAAGAGATTGAGTGCCTCAAAAGCAGAAAGAGAAGGACACCCCTTGAGGAGGTCTTCCTGGATTCTCTCAAGGGGCCTCCTGTTCAGAACGCTGGAAGCCACCCCTACAAATCAGCCCCTAAATCTTTAGAAATAGTGGAGAAAATGTGGCAGAGGAAAGGCAGATATGGAAGAGAAAAATATGTATGTAAAACCTAATTTAATCTTCATAACAGCCCTATAAAGTTGATATTAGAATCTCACTTGACAGATGGGAAAACTTAGATGTGGAGAGAGGTTTAATAACCTGCTCAAGGCCCACATCTAGGTAAAAAACTAGAATTCCAACTCAAATCTGTCAAACTTCCAAGCCTATACATATGATGTTCTCTTATTCTAGAGTATCTGCCTGACAGAAGTGGACAGAGAAGTGAGAAAGTATTTTCCCGTCCCTCCTTTGGCCACTTCACAAAGCATAATTATGAGGCCTGGGAAGGGAACAATAGAAGCATATGCAGGAAGAAGCATCATTACACACACACACAGACTCACAGTGGCACAGGGAAGGACCTCCGATCTCCAGCAACCAATGGGACTCATCCCATGACCACAATAAAGGGTTCTTGGGTTAAAGTTGTAATTCAGTTCCACAAACAACAATCTATGAGGATGGATATGCCATGGTCCCTGCCCTCAAGAAGCTTTGCAATACTAAGGGGGAGAAGAGGGGTATAAAGAACCAAACTCACCCACACTACAAGGCAGAAGGGAAGTGCAGTGGGATAGGTGACTCTCCAGGCTTGTGGGGCTGGGAAGGGCCTCCAAGTGAGTAGCAGTTGACTTGAGACCTAGAGCATAAATATGTTCATGGGCAGTGGACAGGAAAGGTATTCCAGGATGAAAGGAAAGAAAGAACAAAGGTATGAAGGAAGGGGAGTCAAGAAGGAAGTGAGGAGGCTGGAAACGATGTTAAAGAATTTACACAGTATTCGGTAAGCACCAGGAAACTAATGACGGGTTTGAGAGGAGTGAGGAGAATGGCATGGTCATATCTGCTCAAGAACAATGAGGATGATTGATTAGGAGGGGAGGCAGTGATCAAGGTAGAGTTAAGGAGAGCTTGAGCTCAGCAAGGTCTGAGTAAGGAAAACTGCAGAGACAAAATGGTCAGAATGGGGTCATTGATTGGACTGGGGGAAGGAAAATGTAAAGATGAAGCTATCTTAGGTTTCTCTCCCACAATACCAGAAGAATTGGCATAGTGTAAACTGAGCTGAGTATCACAAGCAAGTGGAGAGGCTTTTGGAGAATGAAGAAAGAGAAGATAATTCCAGGTCAGATGAATTGAATTTGAGGTATCATTAAGTTAATCATGCGACAGTTTTCACTGAACTACTGGAAACATAAGCTAGAGTAGGGTTCTGCAAATTATGACCCGTGGGATGTGTGTTTTTGTAAACAAAGTTTTATTGAAACACAGCCACACCTATTAATTGATATTTTATTTATAGTTTCTTTTGCTTTACAGTGGCAGAGCTGAGTAGTTGTGATGGAGACCATATGACCTGCAAGCTAAATATATGGACTATCAGGTCCTTTAAGAAAAAGTTTTCTGACCCATGATCTAGAGTCCAAAGAAAGAGGTCACAGATGTCTATGTGGGGAGGATATAGTTGAGAAGCAGGCTAAGAGAGTTACCTTGGAGGAATAAATTTTAAATCTATTCTTCATTCAAGTAGTATTTGCTAACACTTTATATCAAGCACTGGGACACTGGGTTCAGTAGTGAGAATAAAACAATAAACAGAACAGATAAAACCCCTGCTCTCCTGAATGTTACAGGAGGAGCAACAGGAAGAAACAGTCAAATAAATAATCAATTACTAGCAACATCTACACTTGTGTGCAAGAAAGAAAACATAAGTGACTAGAGGGTTTAGGGGAAGGGGGTTACCTGGGCAGGAACACTGAGAACCAAGAAAATACAGCAGCACAAAGACCAAGGAGGAAGTGTATTTCAAGAAGAAAGACATAATTGGGAATGTCAAATGCTGTGAAGCAGGATGAGGTCTAGAAATAGGCCACTGGATTTGGCATTTGGGAAATTAATTAGAGACTGCTGAGATCATTTTTGGCACAATGGTAGAAAACAAACAAATCTGCAGGGGGTTGAGAAGTCAAAAGGTGGTAAGACACTTAGGGCAATACATGTATGCTGATTTTTAAAGATGAATGGATGGGCCAGGCACAGTGTCTCATGCCTGTAATCTCAGCACTTTGGGAGGCCAAGGCAGGTGGATCACTTGAGGTCAGGAGTTCAAGACCACCCTGGCCAACATGGTAAACCCCATCTCTACTAAAAACACAAAAATTAGCTGGGCGTGGTGGTGCATGCCTGTAATCCCAACTATTCAGGAGGCTAAGGCAAGAGAATCACCTGAACCCAGGAGGTGGAGGTTGCAGTGAGCTGAGATCGCGTCACTGCACTCCAGCCTGGGCAACAGAGCAAGACTCCATCTCAAAAGAAATGAATAAATAAAAATAAAAATAAAGATGGATGGATAGATGCATTAATGGACAAATAGAAAGAAATATATATTCATATATATATATATATATTCATGAAGGGAACAATAGCCAAAATATAGAAGCTAGAGAAGAATTTAGGTTGGGAGAGAGGTTTCTTTGTTAACATCAGGGAGATGTGTATTTAAGAAATAAAAACGAAAGACCCACTAGAGAGCAAAAGATTAATGATGTAGGAAAGAAGAAGGAATTCGTGAAGCAAAGTATAAGAGAAAATGAGTAGGTGTGACCGACAGCCCAGGTGGTGGATATGAGAAAAATAGCCAGTATTTATTGAACACTTAACATGAATGAACCACTATACTGGGAGATGAAGATACTGACACAGATAAAGATACATAGTCTTTAATTCTTATATCAACCTTGCAAGGAGTTTAACATTACCAACATTTTACAGATGAGGAAACTGGAACTTGCAAGGTTAGTAACTAGCCCAAGGCTCACATTCAGTAAGTGGCTGAGCTAAAATTTCAAGCTAATATGATTTAGCTCCATAGCCCATGTACTTTCCATTTAATCAAGATGCCACACATTGGAAACTAGGTTCTTCCCTACCACAGGGAGAAAGAAGCAGAATAGGTGAAATGAGAGAGAGAGAGAGAGAGAGAGAGAGAGAGCAAGACTCTGAAGTAGGAAGCACTCTTTAAATTCAAGTCCAGGTCAGCCCCAGTTAATGCCTGAGTGTTCTCACAGTAAGATTTTACCCGACCTACCATTACACATTCAACTCTGGATCCACTCTGCATGTGTAGAGTAGATCCCCCCATCTTGCTACACAGCCCCACAGCCCCATCTTGCTCTGTGACCCAGGAGGCTGGCCCTTCTGAGAAGTGTAACCAGTTCTCTTGCCTTCTGGCTTCTGGTTGGGTCCTGCCAAGGGAGGCACTGGCTGGATACAGGAGGGCAAGAGGAGAATTGGGACAGGGGCTTGTCCCTCAGCTTCTCCCTTGCTACTTTCCTGTGGATTGACTGCATCTCTGCACCCAAGGCCACAGCTCAGGTCAGGTGACCTCTCTTGCCTCATTTATCCTTTGCTCCATTTATCCTTTGCTGATATCCCTTAACTTTACCCACACCTTTAAAGAGAGTCCCTTTCTTAAACGCCCCCCATTACCCTATCCGAGTGTGCCATCTGCATCCTGCCAAGTCCTGACAAGCCACATGATCACCTATATTCCTGGATGCTTTTTCACAAACGCATAACATAGTCACCCACATTCATCCACTTTCCCACACACTTAAATATCACACTCCTATATGCAAATCAAGCAACTGCAAGGTCTTCAGAATGGAAACACTGAGGCAGTTTTCACAATATAAGAGAGTTCTAAACTGAACCTGAGAGTTCAATGCCAGTTTAAACCTCAGAGCCAAAATAATTTAAAAATCAATGATGCTTAATTATGGACCTTCGTGTTCTCAACTCCTCTGAAATCCCCTAAAAAAAACAAGTTCTGGATTTGACTGGCCTAGGTACAGAAGTGGGGAGAAGTGCACCAGATCTAAATCCACAGTTAGGCTCAGGTTCAAAGCTCTTCCCAGCGCTGGTCTTGAAAGGGAGGCCACCCAATCCTTCTGTTATGATTCACACTCTGTGATTAGGAACCTAATTTAAAATATTAATTTATTTTTCAAAAAGATAATGAATGAAATCAGTATCCTCAGAACTGCTGCTTCCTTGAACTCCCTTCCCCCCAATCCCCAGAAAAATCCCCTAGCTTTTCTACTGATATCATTCATTTATTCTGGGAAGATGAAACCACCTCAGTTTCACTTTTAATGTGTAGTTTCTTTCTCAGGCTCTGAGCTGCAGGAGTAGGCACTTGCTGGTCAGAGGAGGCCTCCTTTTCCCAGTATAGCACTTTCCACAGTGTGGGTAAACAGAGCAGTAGGTGCTGCCACTAACACTTACCCCACCCCAAGCCTCCGGTCCTAGCTGGCTGACTTCAGGCTAGTCGCCACCTCACTCTTGCTGTCTGAGCCCCTGTTTACTTCATTTGCAAGGTAATAGGTCTACAACAAATCAGTAGTTTGCAATTTTTTCAAGTATGGGATTAATTTTTATCATTTAAAAAAATAGCATAGTTCCAAGAGATGGTGACCACGTTGATGTATTTGTTCCCCAGGCAGCATTCAGTGCACACATGGCCTCTTAGAGCCTTTGCTGTAACTCTGCAGTCCTCCAGGAACCTTCAACCTATATATTAGAACCTCGACTCTGAATCCCTTCCAGTTCCAGCATGTTAATTTGCTTATATGCATGCCTAAGACCTGCCATTCATATAAAGACCGGGCATACAAGAATCTCAACCAGAGATGGGAAGGCCTTCCGGTGATTATCACAGCCATGCCTTTACCTCCAGAAGGCCTTTCCATCTCTGTCTAATAAGAGGAAGACAATGCTGGTAATTTGGGACCCAGCTCTCCTAACCAGGACTTGTCTCATGACGCAATAGGGAGAATTGGATTGCCATTAAGCACTTCCCTTTTCCTGGGAAACACACCAGATTTCAGGTTTTCTGCAGATGCCAAACAACCCACCCAGCAGCAGCCTCTTCCTAGAGCCCGGACTCTCAGGGCCATCGTCACCACCATCTGTTCTATCCTAAGACAAAGTTCTGGGGGCTCCTGAAGCATCTTATAGAGACAGACCCAAGAGCTGACCCAGGAAGAGTTGGAGAGGGAGTTGGCGGAGGAGTGAGGGAGACACTCCCAGAGCCCCTCAGAAATGAGCAAAGCTTGTGTATCTCACCTCTATTCAAGAATCCCCTACCTCTGATCAGGGGTTTCCATGGAAACCTTATGAGTTCTATCTATAGGAAGAGAAAAAAAACATGAAAAATAAGAAGCACCCTGAGGTATGTGTGAATTAGCTCCAAGGAAGGTACGTAGAGAAGAAGGGAGTGGGAGCTCATATGGGAAGAAAAAGAGGTGGTCATTATCCTGATACATAAAAAAACCAAACTGTCTCCAGTCCCAGAATGAGGAGGGAGATGGGGTGGACAGGCAGACATGAGGCTGTGGGGGTGCACTAGCATGTGTAAGCAACTACGTGGACAAAAGGGGACCAAAAATCACCATCTGAAAGGATCTCAGGCCAAGAGATCCAAAGGAGGAAGGACACAGGACAGGAGGCAGAGAGCAGAGCTGCTGGCCGTGTTGAAACGGCGGTGGGCAGCAGCCTCCTATTCTCTTTATCACCTAACGCCAACTACAAAGGGTCCATCCGTCTATCACCCATATTTGCAGGTTTGAACACCTCGAAACCCAAGCCTTAATGAAAGTCATAATAAAGTCCTAATAAAAGTCATAATAAAGTCTCTGGAGATGTCTAGTCTATTTTTGTCTTATAAAACTGCAACCTTTTGGGTCACTTGCAAGGAAGGACTCTGCTAAACTCTTTTTCCTCTAATCTTGATTTCAGATGAAGTTTTAATGAGGACTGAGTATCTGAGTTTTAAATGTCATACAACTTGCTTTTTAAAAATAGACCATGAGGATCAAAGACCTAAATGTAAGAGCTAAAACTATAAAACTCTCAGAAGCATTGGCATAAATCTTTGTAACCTTGGATTAGGCAGTGGTTTCTTAGCTATGACACCAAAAGGACAAGCAATAAAGGGTGAGTGAACTGGACGTCATCGAAATTAGAAGGTTTCGTGTTTCAAAGGATACCATCAATAAATGAAAAGACAACCTGATGAATTGGAGAAAAGTTTTGCAAATCATATATTTGACAAGAGACTTGTGTCTAGAATATATAAAGAACTATAACTCAATAACAAAATAATTTTTTTAAAGCTGGAGAAAGGACCTAAATAAACATTTCTCAAAAGAATAGATACAAATGGTCGATAAGTACATTTAAAAATACTGAACGTCATGAGCCATCAGGGAAATACAAATCAAAACCACAATAGATAGCACTTCATGGCCACTAGGATGGTTATAACATAAAAGACAGATGATAACAAGTGCTGACGAGGAGATGGAGAAGTTAGAACCCGCATATATATGCAATATACTTACACTGAATGTAAAATAGTGCAGTCCTTTGGAAAATAGTCTGGCGGTCACTCAAAGTGTTTAACATACAGTTACTATATGACCCAGTAATTTCACTTCCAGGTGTATATCCCAGAGAAATGAAAACATGTCCACACAAAAATGTGTGCACTAATATTCACAGGAGCATTACTCATAATAGCTGAAAAGTAAAAACAACCCAAATATCTATGAGCCGATGGTTGGATAAATAAAATGTGATATTAACCATACAATGAAATATTATTCGGTAATAAACAGGAATGAAGTGATGATAAATGCTAAAACATGGATGAACTTTGTAAACATTAAGTGAAAGAACACAGAAGGCCAGAATTAAAGCTAGAAGATAGAAGTTTGTTTTTTTTTTAAGATATCTCAACAAAAAGCAGTGTCTCTCTTCACAGCCTGAGCTTGCCCTACAATCCAATGGCCTGCCTTGTCAGGTAGGCATCATCCGTCAACGAAAGCATTCAAACTGAAAGTCTTCCTGGGATGTTGCAGATGCCATTTGAATAATTAGATGAGGTTGGACCACATGTCTTATTGGGTCCCGTTCAAATCAGAGAGACTGTGAATCTGTGGTTCTTTTCTTCTCTCCCTTCTAACCTATGCTTCCTGCTGCAGTAAGCGAGAATTTGGGAGACATTCCTAAGGTATAACTCATTATTTTTACCTCATTCCATCCCTCTAACTTTAACCCCTGATTTAACTTTAACTTCTTCCTTATCTCCATCTTCCCTTGTTCCTCTTTAGACTGACACTGTACAACTCCACATGCCCTGCCAACTCCCATCAAAACTGGGGTATGTAAGAAGCCTCAAAAAAGAAAAGAATAACAAGAGAAGACTGAACACAGGTGGCCTGTCACACCTGTTACATTTAGATGTTAAATCCTATTGCTCTTGTGCATGAGAAGACTCTAAGCAGAAAAATAATTTAAAAATTAATGAAAATAAAATAAATACTGTTGCTTGCTTGGTCTGGGATACATGCAGATGTTCACTGAACTGGCTGAACCAGATTCACATGAATTACCCTCAGAAGGGCCTACATATGCTGTAATCTTTCTGCATAACACTCAACCCTTGTAACATATTCAGTGGCTGTTTTCCCTGCTTCATTGGTTTTTCAAAGGCCGAACCATGACAGTTTTGGTCTCTGCTATATCCTTGGGGAGGCACTCAATAAATAGTAATCAAAGAATTTCTCCTACCATTTCCCCATACATTCCAGACTGCTTGAGATTATACTCATGAAAGTCCTGCTTAAAACTAAGCAAAAGACAACCTGATGAATTGGAGAGAAGTTTTGCAAATCATATATTTGATAAAAGCCTTAGACAGTGCACTGGACTTCAGAACTAGTAGGAATGTTAGAAAACACCTAGCACAACCCTTCCATTTGACAGACTGAGGGCCAGAGTCATGAAATATTCAGCTAGGGAGTAGCAGAGCTGGGAATTTAAACTAGTTGTTCTGGTTTCTGGGAGACAGATTGCCATAGGCAGTAAAAAAAATGCAGGCTTTGAAGTCAGATCAACCTGGGTGCCAATGCAGGTCTTCCTCTTACTAATTCCACGGTCTTGGTAAGTTAATCAATGTCTTCAAGCCTCAGCATCTTCAGAAGTAAGATAGCACCTTCGACTACCTCCCTGGTGCAGAGAAAACGCTTAATAAACAGTAGCTTTGATAACCATTACCAAGTCCAGTGTTCTGACCACTAGAACACATAGGTCCTTGGCTTTGTACCTGTGGACACAGAAATATACCTATGCTAACAGGGAAAAAAGGACAGAGTGTGCTGAGCACCTTTCCATACTCAGTCTAAAACACAAAGGAGCCACATAGAAGGTGGCAGAGCCACTGCCATACACACACATGACCACTTTTCAGCTGGAAGCGCATGGTGGTGGAAGGCGATCCATTTCATTTGAGTTTGAGATCTTTTGCAAGTCTTTTCTTTAGATGGCTAATCTTTCTCCTCAAGTTCCTAGTTCAGGGTCTTCCATTGGAAGAATAACAAATGGAGAGCCACTGGACCTTCTAAGTGTATATTATCTTCCAGCTCTTCTGAATGTTACTTGCAGGAAGAGGTCAGGGAGCACGTCTAGTTCAGAGATTTGTCCTCTTGGGTGCTCAATAAAAGCAAGCAACAGATAAACAGAGCAGGACAATAGCCACCCTTTCCCTTCCAGCCGGCCTCCTTGTCTCCCCATCTGCTGCTTTTGATATTCACCAGGCCTGGCGCTGGCTTCCTGTGCATCACAGACCCCTTCTCTTCCTTGGTGATGTTACTACTGAGTTATACTCTGGCGACTGCTCAACTCTGTTTCTCCTAAGGAACTTTCCTTTTTCCTGCACCCACCACGCATTTTGCTCTCTTTGCTCTGATGCTTTATCCACCCAGAACATCTCATCAAACATGAGAATGATCATTAAGTTCACATGAGTGAGATAAATTCCTGAATTAATTTGGTTGCTGATGTTTTTAAGCATTTATCTTTGGATTTTTATGCCAGCTACCATCTCAGTGCCAGGTGTACAGACAAGAAAGAGGAGATGCTCCCAAGATAAATCAATCTAAAGGAAATGCAATAATATTGTCTTATTGGATCTATTTTTTAGACTGTCAGAAGAATTCAGAAGCTGAGCAGAGGAATGTTTAAAGGGAGGTGTAATTTGTCAAAGTCAATACTTGTGTTCTTTTAGAGTAGTTCTTGGAGATTATTCAGGCAGGCGAAAATGGATGGGAGAGAGAAGGATACTGCTGATTAATACACGTAGAACTCTGTACTTTTTATGGGTTTAAGATTGGCAGAACTGAACCACAGAACTAATTTCACACCTGTTACTTTAGTTAACTAGCAGTTACTGAGGTTTCCAAAAGCCCATGGCAATTCTGAACTCAGCAACTACTTGGATCACAGAGTGGGCAAGAACAGCAACCCAGACAACCACCGTGGGAGGAAAAATTCAAATTCCAAGGACTTGGTCCCAGTTCTCCCACATCCCTTATCTGAGAACTTCCCTGTTCCTTGACCAGATGCCGGACAAAGGGGCAAGATTTGGGCAATTAAAAGCAAAAAAAGGAATCATGCCCATATTTGCAAATGAGAGATTGTCTTTGCGCTTAAGCTGGTTCTCCTTAGGGATAGATGGAACTAGAGTGATATTTATCTTGCTCCTGCCTATCAGGATTTCAATTCTCAAGTCTCTTGAATCCATGCTAAGATAGTTCCGATTGTCTGTATCAGAATTCAAAAGCCATACCTTAAAAGTAGGATGCCTGAAAACCTTCACTGACCCCATCTCCATTAAAATAGAGAACATTCAAAACAATTTATATTAACAACGGAGAAGAGGCAGTACACCTGGTTCCCGTAAACACTATGCATCAATGTTCATTTACTCAACACATTTTCATGAGTTCTAACTGTAAATAAAGCAGGATGCAAAACTGTACACACCATCTGATTAGAAGCATGTAAAAAAGGCATTATTTCCATGCTAAAAACTAGAAAAGATTAGAAACCTTAGTTATATTAAGAAGGTAGTACTATGGGTGATTGCCCATTTCTTTTAAACATTTTTCTAACACTGCTATATTGCTTTGATTTTTTTTTCAAGTTTAGAAATAAATCAGTAAGATTGATATACCAAAGCTGGTCTCTTTCCTTCTGACATATTGGCCAGGGAAGAAAGGTCAGAGCCAGAACATACTCCAGCCAAGTGTGCGTAACTGTGAAGTTAAGAGAAGAGGCTGCTGACCAAATGCCAATGCCCAACATGTTTGCATGAGGCAGGCCAGCCAGACAACTCTGGAAAAAAAAAAATCTACCTTTTCACCCTTCTCTCTTGTTCTTCCCCCAGAAACAACTTTAGATAGCAGGCGCTCAGTAAATATCTGAGGGCCAAATAGATGAGTACACGAAAACTTCTTTCCTGAATAACTGACTCTTCATCTACCCCATTCCCATCATTCTCCAACCTTCAACAACATGACATGCCTTGTACTTCCTCATCCTTAGGATTTGTTCACATCACCTCCCTGGTGTGAAATGTGTTTCTTATTTATTTTCCATCTATATAAACCTTGCCCAGTGTTCAAGGCCCAGTGTGACTCTCACCTTCTCCAAACTTCCTCTTTATTCATATAATATTTACTATGCTCCACATACTTGGCATCTAGTACATTGCTAGTTATCTTTTAAATGACTTCTTGGCCAATAACACTTAAAGCCATTTGGGGATGGAAAGTAACTTATGCTTTTTTGTACCCCAACCCCACAAATCTAATATAGCATCTTACAAAGAGGAGATGCCGGATAAACAGTTTCTGATTTCTTTGCTTGCTTGTCTCTCTCTCTTTTTTTTTTATTTAATAGAAACCAGATGTTGCTATGTTGCCCAGGCTGGTCTCAAACTCCTGGCCTCAAGGCATCCTTCTGCCTCAGCCTCCTGAGTAGCTGGGATTAACAGGTGTGAGCCACCACGCTGGTTGATTTATTTGTTTAATATGACATAGTTGTGTTAAAAGCTCGGGCTCTGAAATCAGACCTAGATTTGAACCCCAGATCTGCAAACCAGTAAAAATAACCTTAAG
This sequence comes from Homo sapiens, assembly GCF_000001405.40. Taxonomy (NCBI): domain Eukaryota; kingdom Metazoa; phylum Chordata; class Mammalia; order Primates; family Hominidae; genus Homo; species Homo sapiens. The sequence continues at coordinate 123,375,173 of NC_000011.10, read as the reverse complement.
GAAGTCTTTTAGTCTCCCTAATCTTAGTTTCCTCCTCTCTAAAATTGGGAAATTAATAATACTCACTTATTAATGTTGTAAGTTAAGTGAGATCATGAAGATACTATCCTTAGCAAAGTGTTTGGCACATAGTAAAAGTTTCAATAAAAGATTTTTAGTAAAAAAATAAGTAAAAGATTGTTAGTGACGATGATGATAAGGATGGTAAAGATCATGTTACTTCCGATATGTTAATAGATCAGACCTGGATCAATGCCAAGGTCAAATGAACATGCTTTGTTGAAACTCTGTGACTACTTTGCTTTTTGTGACATTGGGGAAGACAGACGCCACACTGCCCCTGCCTCATGGCAACGCAGCACCAGAGTCTTAGATTATGTTTTAATATAGCTCATTCCTAGGATTGCTTCTCCTACATCTGTCACCGCATGACCCAAGCACTCAGCCCAGAGTGAAAGCTCATTAGCCCTACCCTGAAGTGAGCTAGAAATAAAAGCAGAGGGTCGCTGTCTATTGCTTTGCAACAATTTAACCAAATAGCAGACAAGTACACTAGGAGGCTGTTATCAAAATAAAACTCGAAGGCTATAATGCCTGTAGGGTCAGTGATCTCAAGGATGCCAAGGCTGTTTTTAACTTGCCCTTCCTGCATTAGACGTGAGTTAGGCTGCTCTCAGGCTTTTATTCCAAAGATAGTAAGTCTGTGGTTAGAAATCTCTGGACCTTAATGATACCCATGTTTGAGAGATGGCTCCTTGAAACTCTGGACTGTGGTTGCAGTTAAAAGTTCAACAGAGACAGGGTTTATTATGAGAGAGGAAGGGGGCTATAAGTAGTAATGTCTATTTTGCATTACCATTCTTTGTCTTCAAGACTCAACAGCAAAATGGCCTACCTCATAATACTAGGCTCAGTTTGACTGGGGCAGGGGAGAATGAAACAGATACAACACAAAAGTATTTGATGAGTGATTTAAGAACAGACAGAAACACTAATATAGATAACAGAGAAACAATCCACACTACAAACACATCATTTATAACATTTTGGAAGCAGTTAATAGCATTTGAACAGACCAGGAAAATAATCAAACCATAGGTACCATTGATATATTGAAACACCTACCGCATCTCACATTTCTCTACACGGCTAGCATGTCTGAGTAGCTAGCTACTCAGTAAAGCTATTAACATGGATGACTACATGGCTGTTAACTGATAGTTTATCCAGATGGGATTCTCCCTGGGGAAAGCAAAATTGGAGAGCCAAATAATTAGCAAATAGAAAACAATCCTCCAAAATGACCACACATGCTGTATAGCTAAACTAAGGGATCTCAAGCTCTAGCAAAGGAAGCCTATCTGATTTTGTTTAGGGTTTCACAGAATAATTCATTAACTCCTATTCTAGGGAGGCAGAGGGGTGACACTTTCTTAGAGGACTCCCTTAATTTTCTTACAGCAATTTAACTGGTTCCTATTCAATTTCTTGTTCATAGTCAAATAACCTTCTCCCACCTAAGTATGTAAGACATACATACACCTTGGAGATTTCCTTCTTTCAAAGAATGTTTTATCCTCTTCCACTATGCCTTTTCTGCAAAGTGACAAAAATCCCAGAGTTAGGGACATTTCCTTGGTCCCTGTTTCTGCATCAATAAACATCAAATCTACCAAACTGACTGACAAGGCCCTGAGCAGTGACTTGGGAGAACTTCTACCTTTTCTGAAAGGGAACGCCAGAGTTCTAATAGCACTGATTCAGTCTCCTCTTCTGGGCAGATCACAGAGAGTCTGTGCCATACCTTGGTAGATCAGAAGCCAGGTAACAGTTGACTGGCCATCAGAAAAACCAGTGCCCGTGCTATCTAAATCTCATCTACACCCCCACACCCTCCAGCTGTAAGACCAGGTAAACCTTACTGCTGCTCAACACAGTTTTAGCCTCTTTGTTGTATAACAGACCAGTGAAATTTTAGGGTAAAAAAAGCTCTCAATTATTATTATCATTATTTTATTTATTTATATATTTTTTTGAGACAGAGTCTCACTCTGTGGCCCAGGCTGGATTGCAGTGGCACGATCTCGGCTCACCACAACCTCTGCCTCCTGGACTTAAGCGATTCTCATGCCTCAGCCTCCTGAGGAGCTGGGATTACAGGTATGTGCCACCACACCTGGCTAATTTTTGTATTTTTGGTAGAGATGGTTTTCGCCATGTTGGCCAGGTTGGTCTTGATCTCCTGGCGTCAAGTGATCTACCCAACTCAGCCTTCCAAAGTGCTGGGATTACAGGCATGAGCCACTGCACCCAGCCAGAGAGCTCTCAATTATTAACACAAATCTCTGCCTGTTAACAGAGAGTGACATATTATAAATAATCAGGAGATTAATTTTTATTTGCTATTCATATGCATATGATATTAAAATGTGTGGTGGTAAAACAAAATTTACCTGCTCGAATTATTTCACCTTAAACACACACCCACCAGAAAACGAGGGAAGGAGGGGAGAGATTTGGTGGGTACTGATGAAAAACTTTACAAGATATTCTGCTTGTAAGGCCAATGGAGAACCAGAATACTTTACATGTTGCCCCACAAGCTGTCCCCTAAATGAGAGCACCATTCCACACCACCTCTGAGTCCCCTTCTCCAGCAACTAGAGGGTGGGGCTCCTCCCCAGAGAGCTGCAGAGCATTAAATTCTGTATCAGGAGATGGGGGTGCTAGTCCCAAACCTACTCCCAGACAGTTTTCTGAACCTGGATGAGTGATTTCCATTTTCTTGGTCTCTTTTTCTTCATCTGTAGAAGTTTAAATGAGATGAATCTAGGTTCCTAAATGGCCAGGAACATATAAAGGTTAAGCCATAAAGGGCAACTGAGATCCTAATTATTAGTATTTCTTATCTAGAATTCACCATAAAACCAAGTAACAACTGAATCATTGGGACACTCTAACAGATTGTTTTCTGTATAATCGTGTTTGACGTCTAAATTGAAGTGCTGGGTAATTACATTTAGTCTCCTACTGTAATAACAGTGGAAGAAATCAGAACCACCTGTAAGGCAGGATAACAGGTTGACAAAGAAAGGACATTTGAAAACCTTGCTTCAGTGCTCTGTAATCAAAGCAACAGGCAGATAAAACACAACAGAGATTTTTTTTTTCCCCTGATTTTTAAAGCTCTTTTTGGATGATGTCAGTTGTTCACAGATACCTAGAGACCTGTGTTCTTTTGGTATTTGTATGTAGAACAGAGACATGCAGCTCCACCAAACTGCAGATGTTAAAATGATCCAACACCTAGATACAGGGGGAGCTTGAGGCTGAGCCTGGGGTAAGGACAGAGAGTAAGGATAGACAAATCATGGAGAACTCTAGCAAGACAAGCCAGAAAGGGCCAGAGAGGCAGGGCTCTCACGTGCTGGTGCTCTTCCCTGCATGACAGAAAGATCCTTTGTCTGCCTCAGCAGGTTCATCCTATGCCTGGCACCTGGTGACAACACTTGTAAAAAAGCATGTGTCTGTGTGGTGAACCAACCCCACAGAATATGCATGATTGGATGAAAATGCAAACCATGATATTAATTGGCTGGAGTGGAGGTATGGGGAATGGCCTAGAAAATTCACTTCATGGGCCTAAAAGTTCATAAAGTGAGAGATAGGAACTGTCCTCTGGAAGAGACAAATTTATTGTAAGGCATTGTGACATAAAATAACTCAACCTTTAAAAAAAAATTCTGTGGTTTAAACCTTCAAAAGTCCAAGGTAGAAAAGGCTCACAATTATAGGTTTTAGAAGCTTTTCAAAACACCTATTAGCTGGGCTCTTTTCCTGTACATAATCATAAGACCTGGCAGACAGGCCGTGAGACCTATCTGATTCCAGAGAGGCCCACACTAACTAATCCAAGATGGTGGGGATTACCCAACCTGGATTTTTACAGCCTTTCTCAGTCACCCTCTCAACAATTCAACAGCTCCATATTTTGTTCATGTAAATAAGACCAGCGTCAGTTTAAAGTAGGTGGTCACTGACATGCATCCTGCTGAAGCCACGTTTTCTCCAGTGTCAGCCTAGAATCTTAAAGTGCCTCTGAGATCTGTCAAGATCTCAATCTGCAATCCATTGACATTTCTCATTCAATTCCTCCCTTAAATCTCTTCTTCTATCTCATCGTTCTCCCAGTTTCAGGCACCTTCTAGCTTTACTCTCCCCTGGGTCTCACCAGCATGCTCAGCGCCTTGTGATTCTGCCAGCCTTCCCAAAACATCTACCCAAAGAGGACCCCAACTCGCTGCTCATGGGGTATGGTGCAGATTGAGACGATCATGCCACATAGAGCATGCTTTCCAACTCCAACAGAACACTGTATGGAAATCTTTTCCTTTGTCCCCAGTCAATAATTTTGACTCTTCAAAAACGTTTCCATTCTTTCTGAACTCCCACCTCACTCCCTATTTCACTCTCAGAAGATGACTTCACCTTCTCTTCAGAGAGGAAATATAATTTATCTCTTGATAACTCTTGAAGGCGGGTGCAGTGGCTCACACCTGTAATCCCAGCACTTTCGGAGGCTGAGGTGGACGAATTGCTTGAGCTCAGGAGTTCGAGACCAGCCTGGGCAACATGAGACCCCTGTCTCTAGCAAAAATACAAAAACTTAGCCAGGTGTGGTGGCATGTGACTGTAGTCCCAGCTACTCAGGAGGCTGAGGTGGGATAATCACTTGAGCCTGGGAAGCAGAGACTACTGTGAGTCAAGATCGCACCACTGCACTCCAGCCTGGGCGACAGAGTGAGAATCTGTCTCAAAAAAAAAAAAAAAAAAAAAGAGATAACTTCTTTTTTTTTTTTAGATGGAGTCTCGCTCTGGCACCCAGGCTGGAGTGCAGTGGCGCAATCTCGGCTCAGTGCAACCTCCACCTCCTGGGTTCAAGCGATTCTCCCACCTCAGCCTCTCAAGTAGCTAGGACTTACAGGCATGCATCACCATCCCCAGCTAATTTTTGAACTTTTAGTAGAGACAGGGTTTCACCATGTTGGCCAGGCTGGTCTCGAACTCCTGACATCAAGTGATCTGCCTGCCTCAGCCCCCCAGTGTGCTAGAATCACAGGCATGAGCCATCATGCCCGGCCAAGAAGTTATCTCTTGAAGTGACTTCCAGGGGTCCTTCACATCTGCACTTCTGAAAGCATAACTCATCTTTGCTGTTTTCCCATTTTCTCCAAGAAAGGGGCATTCCTTCTCTCCCCTTATAGATTTTTTTTTTCTTTTTCCTTTTTTTGAGACAGGGTCTCACTGTTGCCCAGGCTGGAGTGCCCAGGCTGGAATGCAGTGGCGGGAACTCGGTTCATTGCAACCTCAGCCTCCCAGGCTCAAGGGATCATCCCACCTCAACCTCCTGAGTAGCTGGGAACACTGGCGCACACCAGCACACCCAGCTAATTTTTGTATTTTTAGTAGAGACGGGGTTTTGCCATGTTGCCCAGGCTGGTCACGAACTCCTGGCCTCAAGCAATCCACCCACCTCGGCCAACCAAATTGCTGGGATGGCAGGCATGAGCCACCGTGCCTGGCCACACTTTATAGGGTTTTAACAAAAATTAAATAAATTGATAAATGTAAAATACCTAGCCCCAGTGCTTGGCGGACCATGAATATTGGTTCCCTTTCATTCTTCCTTCTACAAATTTAATCCCTCCATTTCCTTTGTTTATTTGTTCTTATTTTTTGCTAGATTCTGTTACCTTCTGAGTTCTCAAGTTTCTCTTAGCTGTCTCTTCTTTCTATATTTGCAACCTCTCCCTATCTAGATATTTCTTATGTATTGATAAACATATTCAAGCGATTTCCTTTTTTTCTTTTTAGAGATGGGATCTTGCTCTGTCACCTAGGCTGGAGTGCAATGGTGTGATCATAGCTCACTGCAGCCTCAACCTCCTGGGCTCAAGTGATTCTCTCACTTCAGCCTCCCAAGTAGCTGAGACTGCAGGTGCATGCCACCATGCCTGGCTAACTTTTTGCATTTCTATTTTTGTAGATATGGGGTCTCACTTTGTTGCCCAGGCCAGTCTTAAACTCCCAGCCTCAAGTGACCCTCCTACCTTGGCTTCCCAAAGTGCTGGGATTACAGGTATGAGTCACTGCGCCCAGCCTGATTTCCCGCTTTTGAAAACTCATTTTTTTTCTTTCTTCCCCTGTAAGTTGTCATTCCATCTCCTTTTATTTCTTTCAAATATAAAGTGTAGGGAGCTCAAACTCTCAACTGCCTTCAAGTCCTAAACTCTGTACAATGTTTCTGTCTTGCTCCTATCCCATCTTCTTACCCTGGGACTTCATTGACACTATTTTTGCCAAGATAATGAATGAAACCCCAAATCTTCACTCCAATGGCCTCTTTCCAATCCTCATCCTGCTCAAATTTTGATTTCATTACCTTACTTTTCTTTTTTCTTTCTTTCTTTCTTTTTTTTTTTTTTTTTTTTTTTGAGACAGAGTCTCGCTGTGTCACCCAGGCTGGAGTACAGTGATGCGATCTCAGCTCACTGCAAGTTCCGCCTCCTTGGTTCAAACGATTCTCGTGCCTCAGCTTCCCAAGTAGCTGGGATTACAGGCACACACCACAACGTCCAGCTAATGTTTGTATTTTTTGTAGAGATGGGGTTTCACCATTTGGCCAGGCTGGTCTCAAACTCCTGGCCTCAAGCAATCAGCCCATCTCAGCCTCCTAAAGTGCTGGGATTACAGCTGTGAACCACTGTTCCAGCCTTAACTTATCTTTCAATCCTGACTTTTCAGTACATTTTATCTCGAGTTATGGCCATTGACCTAGTTCAGATAACATCAAGCTAGAATATTAGTGCAGTCTAGGGACCCTCCTCTTTCTTTCTTTTTTTTTTTTTTTTTTTTGTTTTAAGATGTAGTTTCGCACTGTCGCCCAGGCAGGAGTGCAATGGTGCAATCTCGGCTCACTGCAACCTCCACCTCCTGGGTTCAAATGATTCTCCTGCCTCAGCTTCCCAAGCAGCTGGGACCACAGGCATCCACCACCACGCCCAGCTAATTTTTGTATTTTTAGTAGAGACAGGGTCTCACCATGTTAGCCAGGCTGGTCTCAAACTCCTGACCTCGTGATCCACCTGCCTAGGCCTCCCAAAGTGCTGGGATTACAGGTGTGAGCCACCGTGCCCGGCCCTGGCTCCTCCTCTTTCTCCCCACAGCCTCCACCATCCACCTGCTACCGAATTTTGATGACTATTCTTTAACTCTCAGATCTGGATGATACTTTACAATCTTTCTTGCCAGAGTCCAAACTCCATCAGGTCTCTCCCGGACCACTCAGCAACCCCCTTCATGGCATCTGGACATAACTTTGGACTGTCCTTGTTTCTGTTCATCTTCCATACTGCTTCTAGAGTTATATTCCTAAAAAACTAATCTGTTCTTCTTACCCTCCTGCTAAAAAAAAAAAAGAAAAAAAAATGGTGTTGCCTCAGTTAACTACAAGCTGCATAACTGGACCTTCACAAGCAGGCTCCAACTCATCACGCCGGCCTCATTGCCTCTCTTACAGACGCCTTAGAGTCTGACTAAATGACTCTTTGCGAACACGTCAAGTACCTCACAACTCCATGTTTTTGCACATGCTATCCCATCTGCCTGAAATACAATTTCACCCTTCTCCGTCTGGATCACGCCTACTCACCTTTTAGAACCCAGCTCAAATATAACCTCTTCTGAAAAAGCCTTCTCAGATTCAACTGGGCTGTTCTGCTCACTGCTCTGGACTTGGCGTTCCTATGACACTTTGTTCTTACCTCTTCGTAGTCATTAACAAGGTGTCTGACTCTTCTGCTTTACGTTTATCTTCCTTCCTAGACCGTGAGCTATATGAAGAAAGAATTATGTCTTATTCAAGTCTGTATCCCCAAGGCGTACCTTGTTTCCAGTTTTGTTTTTGTTTTTGAGACAGGGTCTTGCTCTGTTGCCCAGGCTAGAGCACAGTGGCACAATCATGGGTCACTGCAACCTCAAACTCTTGGGCTAAAGTGATCCTCCCACCTCAGCCTCCCAAGTAGCTACGACTACAGACGCATGCCATCATGCCTGGCTAAGTTCTTTATTTTTGTAGAGAAAGGATCTCACTATGTTGCTCAGGGTGGTCTTAAAATCCTGATCTCAAGCGATCCTCCCACCTTAGCCTCCCAAATTGCTGGGATTACAGGTATAAGCCACCACACCTGGCCCATTGTTTCTTGTTTAACAAATGTTTGTTGTAATAATATAAAGTGATAATGTGGAAATAATGACAGAAATAAACAAGAACAGAATAATATTGGAGTAAGAACACATTACACCCTGTCTACAATTGGTAGAGAGAAGATACCCCAGGAGAAAAGAATAGAAGACAAGAGCACTTCACCAGTGCTCTGAAAAACCTAGATTTCAATCCATCAACGCACTTCTTTCCATTGCCCACAGAGGAATAAAATCCATAAAAAGTACAAATGTCTGTGTTCTTCTTTCTCCTATTTCATGTTTGTTTGTACCACCTTTCATCTTCTCTCAAGATCAATTGCCAAAACTTGATCACAGTCCTGTCATTTCAGTGCAGTTATACAACGTAGCCCAAAGGTTTGACACCTAAATTAAATCTGGCTGTTGCTCAGAGATATCAGGCTTCAGACAGAAAAGTCAAAACCCAGTACTAGCATTACACACCCAGGCCCATGGGGCATGCCGGTGTCCTGAGAATTATACTTTGGGAAAAAGAAAAGGAATAGATAAAATTATGTTTTAAACCTAATTTTATAAGTCCTCTAGCCTCATCACAGTTGGGCCAACACTCTAAAAAAATAGCCCTACTGTTCCTGCTAACTTGTTCCTGCTTTTCGACAAGCCAAAATATATCATTCAGCTTGGGTTGATCTAACTGCTAAATAAAGCCATCAGCACAGCCTTTTTACCTGGGTATGCACTTTCTCAGACAAATAGCAGGAAGCTCGTGCATGCAAAAGACAAGCCAGGACCAGAAATTAGCATTTTCTATTGATTGCTGCCAACTGAGTTCAAATAGAGGGAATGGCCCCAGCCAAGATGAAGAAAGACTTCAAAAAGCCAATTTATAGAGGCTTAAATCCTAAGAGATTTGCCTCTGCTTTCTTTTGAAAGTGGTGGTCCCCCTCAAATTCTCCTATAATTTATTTGCCTTATAGAAATTTATTTAAACACTGGTTCAGCTGGTGCAGGCTATGGGGCAGGAGTCACCTTTAAAGATAATCTACAAAAAAAAGGAGGGAGATCATAGTTACAAGGAGCAGGTATAATGCTAACTTTTATTCAGCATTTTCTCTGACTTAGATCACAAGAAAACTTGGCAGTGAGTAACATGTCAAAACCTAAAAGAAAGTCAGTAGGTCTCCAGAAAATTGATATAGGCTATTTCTCTGTTCTGAATTCCTTTAATTCAATTTGCACGGGTATCCATATTTTAGGGAATCCCCTTATATATCAACTGCAGCGAGATGCTTGTAGACCCCTACCTGCAGAGGTGCAGAACTAATGACAGATGATAGGAAAAGTTATGAGAAAAAGATGGCATTGAAAATGTAGGGTAGGCCAGGCATGGTGATCCATGCCTGTAATCCCAACACTTTGGGAGGCTAAGGTGGGTGGATCACCTGAGGTCAGGAGTTCGAGACCAGCCTGGCCAACATGGCGAAACCCCGTCTCTACTAAAAATACAAAAATTAGCTGGGCATGGTGGCACGTGCCTGTAATCCCAGCTCCTGGGGAGACTGAGGCAGGAGAATCTCTTGAACCCAGGAGGCAGAAATTGCAGTGAGCTGAGATTGCGCCACTGCACTCCAGCCTGGGCAACGGTGTGAGACGCTGTTAAAAAAAAAAAGAAGAAAAGAAAGAAAGAAAATGTAGGGTAGAATCTACAAGGAAAGCATGGTGTGGAAAATCATAGTTTAAAAATAGAACATTGGTTTGCCACTTATTGTCAATGTGATTTGGGGCATCCTGTCTCTAGGCCTCAATTTCTGCAACTATAACATGGGTAATAATAATTCCTTATGCAAAATATTTTTATGACAATTAAATAAAACAACAGAATAGCGCTGTAAGCAATAAGTCATGATACAAATGACATTTTAGTAGCAATAAAATAAGAATAATGAAGAGTTCAAAGGTGATTTTTTTTATCGGCCATTCTCATGACAGGGTTAACCATGCCATTCTCACTAGGAAAAATGAAAGACTTTGTATAAATTCTCTATTTCCAAACAAGTTGAGAAACTCATTTTGCAAATTTTTTTTTTGAAAAACTGGAGCCTGAAGAGGTTCAGGGCCCAAGTAGAGGAGCCTGGGGAAAACACATGCCAAAGCAGCAAAGGAGACAGTCACGTTCAGCTTGTAGGGCTGCCACTGAGAAACATTTCAACTCTGGAGCATGGCTGAGCAGAGAGACCTGAAAGATGGAGCCTTGTATCTGGGAAGCCATACTCTGAAAATGACATAGTAAAGGAAGTTCTGACCTGAGTTTATCTTATTCCTCTTCTTCCTCAACGTGCATAAAAACATTCCTTCGCTTCAAAGCTATGCCAGATGAACTGTCTTAATCAGATAGGCAAGAACAAAGAATGGTGAGAGAAAATGCACACGGATGCCTAATTAGAGGAGGAAAAGGATAGCGGCTTCTGTCTTCCCCTTAATAGACTGTCAATCCTGCCTTTCCTCAGGTCTTTGAACGCACACTCAGATGGCTCATGCCGATGCTCTCAATCGCTCCCTGCGTCAGAGACGAAGATACCTTTTTATAGTCACTGCAGGGAATAGTCTCTGGCTAGTAAGCCTGTTTCATTTCAGAGGGAAAAATCAGCCACTACAAGGCTAGCTGGTAGGAAGAAGCGCTCCTTTCCGAGTCCAACTGTTCCACCCATCGCTCCCTTTGAAGTCAGGCTGACTCAACATCACTCTTTATTGCTATCTAGTCTAGGTACTGAACTTGTAAAAACAGCATTTTAAAGGTTAATAGCTGGGGAATTATATAACCCTTCAATATATAAGGAAAAAGAGCCCATAAATACCCTGTTAAACACAAACACGTGCATGGCAGTGAGAAGCCTTCTGAACAGTCTCACATTTTTACATCCACCCAACCAACCATGTCCGATTGATTGGCCCCCTTAACATGCATTGTTGGTTTTTGTTTTTGTTTTCCTTCAAAAGGATGGTTATGTGCAAACGGGCATGCATTTAATTGCTACTAAATCTTCTGGGACTTAAGGAAGTAAGTCCGTGTCTAAGCCAATAAAATATCATCTGCTTTGTGTTCTCACCAAGTACTAGATGTGCATCATTATGCCAGCTGCCTAAGCACTGTCCCGTCAGCAAAGTACACACCAGCTTCCCTAACCAGGCCAACAAATAGAGTGAGCACCCAAATTCTAAGCAAGGCTTCCACTCAGGGCAAGTTCAGCCAAAGTGAGCCATTTTTAGCCGCCAATGAGATCTCCAAGGAGAACTGAACCATGAGGGCTCACAAAGTCTGGAACCAAACCCAGTGCCAAAAAAAAACAAACAAAAAAAAAGTATGAGAGAGAGTATGAGAGGGGAAATGCTAAGCTCCACCAGAATTCAGTTAACTGGGGTTCTTCCTACTAACAAGCCCAAAAGCCAGAGAACAAGGTTCCTTTCTGACTTCTGCCCACCCTCATCAAAACAGTTCTTTACAGGCGGTTATCAAAGCCCAGGCTTCATGTCTGCCACTCTCTTGAGGATACCTTCTTATCTGATTAAATAGAATATTATGCTAAATATTCAGCCACCCCAGCACTGGTTGTGTGGGTGTGCTGGATAAAATCTTCATGAAAACGCCATCACGGGGTCATTTGTTTAATTTCCATTCTGCAAAATATAAAAATAGAATGAGCTGCCGTGAGGGGTTGAGGCTTGACAGCTTCAATGAGAAGCCTCCAAAGCACAAAAACCACGCTGTTCTGCTGGCTCGCTTGCATTCTCCCTCTGCCAGAGGAAAACGGGGAAGAGAAAAAACCTGAAAGCAAGGTGCTGCTTTCACTTATCTTCTGCTCTTTTCCCCTCTTTGGCCTTTTCTTGCGTTTGCTCGCTGCATCTTCCTCTTGTTCCATCTGTTTCCTCTCCCTCCTCCTCTTTGGCTTGCTTCCTCTCTCCGCCACCCTACCCTCCCCTCCCTCATCATTTCTATGTGTCATTTCTCTTTCTCTCCTTCCCAGGGACTGGTTCTCCTCCCATGCTTCCAGCACCCTCACCAGGGCTGCCCTTGCCTTCCGGGGCAGCCTGTATCTCCAGGTTCGGTGGATCTCACAAACTTTTCTAGGAATTGCTCTCTTCCATCCCTGCCTCTCCCCCTATCCCCTACCCCTTCCCCAAGTCCCAGACATGGAACATATCTAGAAAGATGGGATTTCAGAGTTCAATTAGATTGGATGGCAGATGAGCTGCAAAGATGGCCTTTTTATACTTCCTCATCTAGATTAATATGTTTACTATCCATTGAGCTCAGCAACTCATGGGGTGGGAGAGTAGGTAGGTAGTACATCACTGGTCTTGTGTTTTTGTATAAATCAATTTTTATTTTTATGAAGCTTTTTTAAAAAAATAAATGCAAGTTGCACTCTCCAATTCTGACCCCTGAAGTCCATGGCCACCCCCAAATTAACCCTGTTGCAAGCTTGGCTCAGAAGGGAAAAACTTCTCTTTTACCAGAAGATCCAGAGTTGCACCAAGAGCCCATGAGGGTGCTGACAGGAGAAAGATACTTCCTGTTTTATGCCCATTAGGATCTCAAAAAGGTCTCACCATTTGACCTAGTTTCAAGCCAAAGGATTCAGAGAGTTTTAAGCCAGTTAGAATGGCTGATGAAACCAACACAGTTTAGCTCATTCTGTATGCCTGGTATATGCCTAGAATGGGTTATTCACCTGTGATGCTCATGAACAACTAGAGATATTCCTCTCCCCTACTGTGGATCACCAGCAACTTTCTGAAGACAACATTGCTGTTGGTTTAAGGAACACCTAAGAGGAAAGATGGTTAACAGACCACTATGTCACAAATTCATCAACGTCAACCCATTCCAGAAAAGTATTTAAATATCTTATAGATCTGTGTATGAGGCTGCTGCCAAGTGGTCCACCAACTAATAAATTCTATTCTCATGCCTACCAAATGAGGCTTTAATAAATTAAGGTGACCCTCATAAGACCATGTGCCTACTTACCATCCCGTTTCCTAAGATACTTTCTCTCTCTCTTTCTCTTTCTCTGCAGTAACACTGTTGCCACTCCTCCTGCCTGTTATTGGCAACGTCCATTCATTATGCAGATGTGCAATGCAGACCCACCAGGTATGAAGCAGAGCAGATACTGGAGTACACCTTGGAAGTCAGAGTCTGTATACACCACAATAAAGGGTATATGGAACTCTTACAGCTAAAATATATGTGCAGTGTTTCTGGTTTGTACATATCGGGGCACTGGATCAAATCAAGGAATGAAGGCTTTTATTACCATTTGAAGAATGACCGTGCCTAGACAGGAAAAGAAATGTGTTTCCTGATGCACCAGTCCACAGTTGCAAGACGGAGAAAGGAGAAGAAGAAAGTAAAAATCTTGATCAAGCTGAAAGATCCATGAAAAGTAAGAGTATGAAGTGCAGCAGACACCCCAGGAGAAAGTGACCTCTTCTGCAGGGCAAGCAGAATGGGTGACAATTCCTAGCAGTGTTGTAAACAGCAGCCCAAAGACACAAACACTGAAAACTACATGCCACCTGTGCAAAAGCAGCCGACAGTTGGAGCAGCACAGTGGAAACACCTCTGGAGTGCAGCTGCAGACCTAGGGCTGGTGATTTCAGTGACAAGCATACATATTACAGATGTGTGTATTGAGAGGGCCCACCAGTGAGCTAATCTGCAAGGACATCAAATGACTACTATGGTGGAAAAGCAAAGGCTGGAAGGAGATGGCAGGGACAAATGCCATCTCCTTAGAAGGATGTGATTTCAGCCAGGCGCAGTGGCTCACGCCTGTAATCCCAGCACTTTGGGAGGCTGAGGTGGGTGGATCACAAGGTCAGGAGTTCGAGACCAGCCTGGCCAACATGGTGAAACCCCATCTCTAGTAAAAATACAAAAAATTAGCTGAGCATGGTGGTGGGCGCCTGTAATCCCAGCTACTCGGGAGGCTGAGGCAGGAGAATCACTTGAAACCGGAAGGCGGAGGTTGCAGTGAGCCCAGATTGCACCACTGCACTCCAGTCTGCACAATAAGAGCGAAACTCCATGGAAGGAAGGAAGGAAGGAAGGAAGGAAGGAAGGAAGGAAGGAAGGAAGGAAGGAAGGAAGGAAGGAAAGAAGGAAGGAAGGAAGGAAAGAAGGAAGGAAAGAATGTGATTTCATTTCAGGCCTATGATCATTGAACACAGCTGATCAGGCAACCAAATAGGGCACTCACTTTTTGTGACAATGTCAAATTGGCACCCCAGCTTGGCTAGGTATTGATCAGTTGCTCATAATGGTTTCCTTCCAACACTATCACCAAAGCACAGCCCCAAATCTCCAAAACCAAACAGCTTTTGAGCACGGACGGAAAAAACTAAAACTACCACACGCCCTTTTGAGACCTGGATCTCTTGAACACCAGTGACGCCCAGCAGAACTCTTCATCCAAATTGCAAGGTGAGGATGAGATCTCCTAAGCAAGTTACAAATAAATACGCCAAAGGAAAGAGCCTTCGGGCAAACACTAGAAACCTCGCTGTACACCATCAAAGGCAACTAAAGCTCTAAGCTGCAGTGAAGGTCCCATAAATAGGAACATTCAGTACAAGCAAGAGACATGATCTTCAAGTAAGGAACAAAGGCAGGAGGCATAGTTGAATAGAGGGAATAAGAGTTACATGTCTACACTTTCCTATCTAACCTCCTAAATATTATTAAATGAAAGAGAGAAGAGAGAGAGATCGGTGTGTGTTACACTGGGAAGCAGGAGTGCCTCTCTTTGACTGTATCTGTTCCACAGTGAGATTCTATATCAGCTTAGGAGTATAGTGGGACCTTGGGGTAGTGTGTAGAAATGTAGCATTTTCAGCCTATTTCTACTATTCAGTTTCCTGAACTCCAAGAGAGAGCCCCAGCTGAGATCCGCCCCTCCCCAAAAGTTCCCAGGAGAAGGGCTCCTCATCCATAAAACACTAAAAATACTATTTGTATCTCCAAAAGGTGATGTACCCATGTAGGCGTTGGCAGAGGAGAAAGCTCAGCCCCCTGCACAAATTTCTTTGTCCTTGCCCAGAGTAGTGGGAGTTTTACATCTGCTGCTGTCATGAAACATTTTATTATTTTTTACAAGCCTTTTTAAAAATTATTATTTCCTAGGAGGAAAAAAAATCTAGAGATTTGCCAAGCGTTCGCGATATGTACAATCCTCCCACCCTACCCCTCTTCAATACTGGGCCTTGGGTGGAGTTGTCCTTCACAATTGCTCCAGGCCCACTAGAAACTAAAGCTTGGGGGCAGCAAGCAGCTGTTTGTTCATGTTACCTTGGCGCCTGCATATCCTGCTGAGGAACTTTTTGAGGAATGAAGTTTATCCAGGCATGAGGTTGGCTGATGGGTGCAAACAAGTTGTTTGGGCTCTAAAAACTTCATTCTAATGACCACACCTTCTCATTCCTTCATCTACTCCACAAGAGTAACTCTATTTCCTCTGGGATGGAACCTCTCACTTCCACCCTCAGAGGAAACGAGAAGCAGAGCCTCTTCCTCGTCTCCCTAGGTACCCCCATGATGTACACTTTGTCTTTTTGCCAAATCTCGGACTTCTACCATGCAAGCAGAATAGGCGTAAGACTGATGGGGCAGCCAGGTAGGGAGATGGCAGCACTGCCCAGAACAAGGGAAGCCAGTGCTTCCAGTTCAAACTTTTGCCAGCAAGATAGAGAGGAGGAGAGGCAATCTCCATGCTCAACCAACCCTGTCCTCTCTACCTGTTCTGTGCACGTCTCCAGTACTGAATGGAGAAGGAAGCCAGCTCCGCCACCTCCAGAAATTCATGGAGGAGATAATCTATCTATCTCAGTGGTTTCCTGGGGACACAAACTCTCAGGTGAGGGACACCTCAGCCAAACCATAATCCATGTTAATAGCTTTACCTGGCCCTCAGGTAACTTTGATGTTTCACTAAGAAAATTCCGATGTAACAGCACCCCTACCCCCCACTCCAGTGTTTCCACAGCCTCCAGTTTCACCCGGATCCCTCACCATCACTCGGCATCCATGTGTGTTCCTCCTAGGGCTCAGGAAGGTCAGGAAGTTCTTACCTGGATCTGCTGGGAGAGGCACTCATGTGGACACCCGGTTCGGGCGCGCGGCGGTCAGCGGCGTCCACGGCACACCAGCTGCTGGCTACTGCTCACCACGTCTCCCCGCGAGCCTGGCTTTGCAAAGAGGAGAGCCAGTCCCATCTGGAGGAGGGGAGGAGGAGCGCGGAGCCTGAGGACACCCAAACCCGAGCGGCGGGGTCGTGCTGGAGCCCGGCTCCACGCACTCGCGCTGCGCCCGGGCGCGCTGCACCCTCGGAGCCGGGACGGCCGGCTGCGCCCAGGCGGGGCGGGAGCCGCTGGGGCGGGAGGAAGCGGAACTCCCCCGCTCTCCGTGGGCTCGGAGCTCCCACTGTCTCCGAGGCTAGGTGTCACCGCACCGTGTTCCCTCTTTCTCTCTGTACACTAATATTGGCCCCTCCCTGTGCATCTACGTTTCTTCAGTGTCGGCCCTGACTCTACCTCTGTGGTTTCCGCTCCTGTCTCCCGCTCGCCGGTCTTGGTCCCTCTCTCTCCCCTTTCATTCCCCCTCTCTCCTCTCTCCGTCTCTCTCCTCCCCTCACCCTCCCTCTCTGGGTGAAGCCTGCAGCCTGGATTCTCCCGGTATTGCCTCGCTCCAACATTTAGCACTGCAGTGTAACTCGGGGACATACAACCAGACAGTTTCTTTAAAATCAACCTTTAAAATCAGACCATCAAGTTTAGTGCGGAAACCAACGCCAGAAGCGCCGCTGCCTTGCAGCTAGGAGGAGACATTAGCCCATCTGGAAACCAGATTACCGTGTTCCACGGGAAGGTATGGAAAGGGTGTAAGAAGGCAAATGGCAGAGATTAGCAGGAGTGCATAGGTGACCCGGAGGATCTTCACGATGGGGAAGCATCTGGAATGGACTGGACAGTGTTGAAAGCATGGCACTGCAGAACAGGAGGACACCGAGGAGTCATCAGGTTCAAAGCGCTCATTTTGCAGATGAGAAAACTGAAGCTCAGAGAGGTCCATTGGCTGCCCAGGATCACACAGCTAGCTAGGGAAGCAGAGACTTGAGTTACCCCACTGCCAGGGGGCACCCAAGTTCCCAAACCTGGAAAAGAACACGTTTACCTGGGACTGGGTGTTGGGTGGCCCGGGAGGTAGGGTTGTCAGTATAATTTATGCCAAGGGCATCCATGTCTCTGGGAGGTTTCCTGAGCCCATGATGAAAACGCGATCAGCTTATTTATAAGTTCACACCCCACTCTCAGCAGAACCACTTCTAAGCTCTCTCTTCTTCTAGGAAGACCATGAAGAATGAAAACCACCAGAGGTGCCACAGTGCTGATTTTGTTGGCGACCATTCTGAAAACTTGAAAGGGTGAAATGAGAAATCCTTCTTCATTGCTTTCTCCTAGAGACCCAGCTAACAAGATCTGCTTTATAAAACCCCCATTTTCCACTTATTATTTTCCATCCTCCTCTCCATCTTTCATGTCATTCTAACCACTCTCTGACACAGATATTTTTATATTACCCACAAAAGAGACACATTTTCCCCCATTTGCTTCTCACACCTACACTAAAATACTACCTGGTGGTGTCAGCTTATAAATCAAAAGATATTTCTCACTGGAAGACTGCCGAGGGGGTGGTAGCATTAATTTTCCTTTCCCAGAAGATGTTATTATCTCTGGCAGAGTCTTCTCCCTCCCAAATGCCCTTCCCTCGGGCATTCACTGGACTCCTCTGGAACTGCTTCTCAGGGCACCCTCTCTCCAGCTCCTTCGCACTAGGTGATTTCCAATATTTTCCATGCACTCATACACTCTTTTGGGAAGTCGTGATAACCTATTCCACAATTATGTGCACTCAGGTAACTCAGAGAATAATGAAATCTCCCTTGCAGTTATACTATTAATCAAGAAGAGTTCTTAGTCAAATTGTGGCCTTTGAGAAGCAGATTGCCGACTAAGAATTTGAACTCCGGGGCTGAAAATGAGAATGTTGGCCTGTATCATCTCCAGGCCTCCTAGCTCCCTGAATCTATGATGATGACTGAATCTACAAGACATGATGAAAAATTAAAACACATGGAAAACACGACCGGGCATGGTGACTCACACCTGTAATCCCAGCACTCAGGGAGGCCAAGGCGGGCAGATCACTTGAGGCCAGGAGTTCAAGACCTGCCTGGTCAAAATGGCGAAACCCTGTCTCAACTTAAAATACAAAAACTAGCCGGGCTTAGTGGCATGCACCTGTGGCCCAGCTACTCTGGAGGTTGAGGCACGAGAATCGCTTGAACCTGGGAGGCGAAGATTGCAGTGAGCTGAGATTGCGCCACTGCATTCCAGCCTGGGCAACAGAGTGAGACTCTGTCTTGAAAAAAAACAAAAACAAACCACATGGAGAACACATTCCTAGATTCTGGGACTTTAAAATTAAAACACCAATGGTCTATTAGTTCCAACCTCTTGATCTCCAATTACCACGAGTGTGATTCTGAGCAAGTTTTAAACTTTTTTAAGCTTCATAGGGTTGCAAAGATTAACATAACATCCATAAATTTTCTGGTACATAGTAAGTGGTGAATAAAAATGTTAAATTACTTTCCTTCTTTCTTTCTTTCTTTTTTTTTTTTTTTTTTTTTGAGACTGAGTCTTGCTCTGTTGCCCAGGCTAGAGTCCAGTGGTGCAATCTCAGCTCACTGCAGCCTCTGCCCCACGGGTTCCGGCGGTTCTCCTGCCTCAACCTCCTGGGTAGCTGGGATTACAGGTGCACACCACCACGCCTGGCTAATTTTTGTATTTTTAGTAGAGACAGGGTTTCGCTATGTTGACCGGGATGATCTTGAACTCCTGACCTCAGGTGATCCGCCTGCCTCGGCCTCCCAAAGTGCTGAGATTACAGGTGTGAACTACCACACCTGGCCTTTCCTTCTCTTTCTAAACTGCTCAAAATTGATCTCTACCTGGAAGCATTCCAACTACATCTCAATCACTCGTGGTCTCATTAATCCTTTACTTAAGATCCTTTTAAACCAGTTTGTTTCATTTAAGTGTACTTTTATCTTTTCCACATTTCCTCTTTTATTTGGCAAAAATTTATTAAACATTTATTATGTGCTGCCAGTTACTATACGCTGCTCTAACCTACATGTATTTCTTTTATCTAATTTAATATTCTAGCCAGGCACGGTGGCTCACACCCGTAATCTCAGCACTTTGGGAGGCCGAAGCAAGAGGATTGCTTGAGTCCAAGAGTTCTATGTTCACAACGCCATCTCTACAAAAAATATAAAAATTAGCCAGGCCAGGTGGTGTACACCTGTGCTCCCAGCTGCTAAAGAGCCTGAGGTAAGAGGATTGCTTGAGCCTGGACGGGTGACGCTGCAGTGAGCCATGATCATGCCACTGCACCCCAGCCTCGGATGACAGAGGGAGACCCTGTCTCAAAAAATAAAATAAAATAAAATAAAATAAAATAAAATAAAATTCCCAGAATGAGGAATGTGTTTTCTATGTTTTAATCTTTCATCATGTCATGTGGATGTAGCCATAGTCACAGACATATTGAGCTAGAAGGAGGCCTGGAGATTACACAGATCAACTTTCTCATTTTACAGCCCAAAGAGGAAAACTGATGTACACACGTCAATAAAGCTGAAATGGAGCTAGTCTTTGGCCTCCTAATCCAGTGTCCTTTGCACTATGCAAACATCTCTTGACATCTGTTCCATGGAACACTCTTTCCTTGCAATATGAATAGATGGCACTCCAATAAAGGGTTCTATGGCCAAGTGTGTTTGGGAAATAATGAGTTAAGCAAAGTAAATAAGCCATTTTTCATTGTGTTTTGTTATTTTTTTTTAATTGCAAGACTTTTCAGAGCCTTTACTGTGTTTATGGGCATCGTGAATTTCCAAGAGAGGGATATACAGTGTCTCAGCTATTAAACATTGAATCAGGAAATCCTTCCTCATAGAACATCTTGAGGAACTCATGATCTAAGACACAAATTTAGGGAACACTATTGCTACACCCTGAAAACACCAGCAACCCATGTGACTGCCCAGTCTTTGTGACCTCCACAGAGAAGACTAGTTAGTGCTAACTCATCCTAGGCATTTGGTGAGTGCTGTTTCTAGGTCTAGAAACTTACCAGGTTAATGCGTCCTTAGATCAAAGGGGAACATGTTCACCTTGGGTATGCTCTTCTCTGAGTTCTTTGCTTGGCATGAAGAAAGGGAAAGCAGTTGCTTCAGTCAATCTCCCCTGTTTGACAGACTTGGCCAAGCTGCAGAGATACAGTTCTTCTGTCCCTGCTTTTCCCTTCTGTCTCCCCAGGGCAAATTTTCAGACCACTTGGGCTGTATAGCAAGGTGGTTAAGAGCATGGGTTTTTAAGCCAAACCTTCTTAGGTATTAATCTCATCTGTATTTCTCACTAATTTTGGGATACTGGACAAGTTGCTTAACCTCTTAAGCCTCAGTTGTCTCATTTATAAAATCAGCATAATAACACTAGACAACAATATTGTCGTATATAAACCACTGGCACAGAGTTAACACCCAAAACTCTAGCAGTATTCCTAAGTGTGATAGCCGTGGTAGTAGCAGAGTAGTCACAGAGCATCATTGTCCATATGTAGCTTGGTGATACAGAGAGTTGTGCCAAACCCAAGAGCTCACAGAACCCAGAATGCAAAGTCAATCTTTCTCTTTCTTTTCTTCCTATGCAGTACTAGGCCTATTATAGTCATCCCAACAACTGCTGTGTTCCTCCAGAGCTAGGAGGAAATGAGTACTAGATACTTTGAGTAAGCTCCAAAATATCTCAGTAGTAGATACTTTTGAGCAAGCCCAGAAATGAACAAAAAAGGATATTAATTGTTCATATAATTAAAAGCTTCCTTTAATTGAGTAGCTACTAAACACCAGGCACTGTGCTAGGGGATTTACATTCATTATCTATCTATATCTATATCTACATCTATATCTAGCTATACTCCTTACAGCCACTTCAAGAGGGAGGTAACCATACCCTTATTTTGAAAATTTAGAAACAAAACCCTAAAGTTTAGAAAATTTATGAAGTGAGACATGAAATTAATCCAATGACAAAATGTAAAACTACCAGCTTCCCTGTAGTCATTTCAGCCTTAGGGGAATGTAGGCATATTGTGTACTAGAACACACTTTATGGGACATGGTGGGGGCTGGGAGTGTTTCTGTTTTTCTAGAGCAATGGTGGAACAGATGTTAATTAATGCCCAATTAAGTTAGAAATGGAACCAAGCAAATTAGTTTCTCACTTGTCTCCCCCAAGGTCCTGCTCACTGGATTCTGTGTCTGTCAGCCTAGAACATGTGAAGCTTCCAGGGCTCCCATTAGCCCACTAAAAGAAAACAGGGCATTAGGTGATCAGAGAGGACATTTTGTATCAACAGAGAAATAAAGACACAATTTTCTTCCTACCACTAGTAGGAACACGAGCATGTGGAATGAGGACAGTAAATGAATGCTTCCTATTTCCCTCTCATTCTCACCCAAAATATCCTTTTGGACCCCTCCACATGACCCTACCCTTCCTCCCCAGCAAGAAAGCCACATCTAGAGCGAAAATGTGACTCCTTCCCCGCTAAGTCACTGTAATTAGCTGCAGCTCATTCTTCCCAGTCCCTTCCCAGTGGGGTTAAGTCAAATCATCAGGTGCCCTTTGGTAGCAGCCTTAGGATTAAAAAAGGGCTGATTTTACCCACTCCAGGAGGTCAAAACCCCAACTCCTGACACAGAACACAACACTCTATTTTTGTTAAGGCGATTTGAAGAGAAACCAAGCTAGTAAGAGAGAAAAGGCAAGAGAGAAGAGCAAAAGCTTTGTTATTTCTCCCGACAAAATATAACAAGAAACATCTATAATAATAATGGCACCTGCACAGCTGAGATTGGAGAGGACAAAACCACCCAAATGTCCACATTCTCTAATCAGGGGATTCCACTGAGTTTCTCTTTCCCAGAAAGATCTGCTATGTGGGTGTGTGGATGTGTATGGATTAAGGGGTCTAGGGTTGGCAGGGGGTGGATAAAAAGCCAACATTTTAAAATAACTACTACATTTCAGATATTGTACTGAGTGCTATCAATATAAGATTTTCTATAACCCTCACAATCACCCCGTGAAGTTAGTTTAATTATCTCTACTTTATAGAAAAGACGCTGATTCTTAACAAAGGTTAAGTAACTTGCCAAAAGCCACACGATAAGTATATAATGTGATAATCGAAATCCTTTATGACATGTGAGACTCTCTACTATCTTACATTTGAATATAGCATTTCAAACACATTCTTGTTGGCTAGCAAACAATCTTTTGAGATAGATCCAACACTTTTCCCAATTTGAACAAAAGGAAGCTGAGGCTCAGAGAGGTGAAGGAAATTCATCGAGGTTAACACAGGTAGAAAATGGCAGCCCTGGTCTTGATTTCTGCCCCTCCACTGCTCTAGCAAAAGAGGTGTTTTCCAGATTTTGGAATACTGATGCCTTCATGAATCTGAAAACATAGCATTCCTTAAAGAATGCCCCTCATAAATTTCCATGACCAAGCCAGTCACCAGAAAGGGACAAAATTTAAAAAAAAAAAAAAAAAGGAAGAAAGAAAGAAAAGGCCACAGCAAGGCTAGAGAAATCCTTGAGATTTCCAGCCATTGAACAGAGCTTCCGGGAGCTAGAATCTTTCTCTCTGCCTCTCACAGACCTTCAGGCTAAATGTTCAGTTTTTCCTGTGCCAAAAAGAATAGAAAAGACATAATAATAATTATAATAATAGCATATACTTATTTAGTTCTTACAAATTTCAGACATTGTTAGAAGTGCTTTACATTTTAGTTACTCTTTTAATTGTGAGTCATGCTGTGAAGTAGGTACTATTATCATCTCCATTTTGTAGAAGAGGAAATGAAGCCCGGAGTGGTGAAGTAATTTGCCCAAGGTGAGACAGCGAGTAAGAGCAGAGTGGGGATTTAAAAGCAGTGTCTGATACCAGAGTCCAAGTGCAAAATTGCTGCTGGCTGGATGCTCTGATGAGGTCCTCTGAGTCCCAGCTTACCAGGGATCAGAGAGGCTCTGAGGTCAGCGCCCACGTCTGAGGGAGGGGTGCCCTGGGACGTCATTCTCTTCCCCAAGGCTGGCCTTTGCCTATGGACACTTGGCTACTTCACTCTGGCCCTCTCCCTGCCAGCTTCACCAGCTGCCCCTTGTCAGCCCAGCACAAAGAGAAGCCAGATTGGTTGGGGGAGGGGCGGCCATGCCTGCACTATCCCTCTTGCCAAGTAGGGGACTTCTCTTCCCCTCCTCCTTCTCCCAGGAGCTCCCATCTGGCCTGTATCACCAGCTTATTTGTGCTTCGAAAAGCCAGCTTTCAAGTGAGGGAAATGGGATTCCGTCCTATGAACCACGTCTGTTAATCCAATCAGGGGCGTTTTCCCCGATTATGGGCACCATCCAACCCTGCAGGGCCTACCGCAGGCTCTGAAAGGAGTCTCTGCCAGGAGCATGGCCACAGAGAGGGATGAGGGCACATATGATGTAGGTGTGCCCTCAAGGATTTCCAAATGGCTTCTGTCATCCTCTCTTTCCCCACTGGGTGTTGTGGCCCACTGTTGAAGAAACAGAGGCAAAAAGATACCAGCGGGGTAAGGGAGAGTGGCAGCTTGAGCTGGTGGATAAACACAAGCGAGAGCTCAGGAGATCCATGCTTTTCTTGTTCAAAGTTCACTGGAATCAAGCTGTGTGACCATGGGAAAGTTACTGCTCTTCTTTGAGTCTCACTTTTCTCATCTACAAAATAGGAGTGTTTTGTTTTGTTGTTTTGTTTTTGAGACAGAGTCTCGCTCTGTCATCCAGGTTGGAGTGCAGTGGCATGATCTCGGCTCACTGCAACCTCCACCTTCAGGGTTCAGGCAATTCTCCCGCCTCAGCCTTCTGATTAGCTGGGATTTCAGGCATGCGCCCGGCTAATTTGTGTGTGTGTGTGTTTTGTTTTTTGTTTTTTTGGAGACAGAGTCTCGCTCTGTTGCCCAGGCTGGAGTACAGTGGCATGATCTCGGCTCACTGCAACCTCCGCCTCCTGGGTTCAAGCAATTCTCCTGCCTCGGCCTCCCAAGTAGCTGGGATTACATGCACGTGCCACCATGCCCAGCTAATTTTTTGTATTTTTAGTAGAGATATGGTTTCACTGTGTTAGCCAGGATGGTCTTGATCTCCTGACCTCGTGATCCTCCCACCTCGGCTTCCCAAAGTGCTGGGATTACAGGCACGAGCCACCTTGCCCAGCCTTCTTTTTGTATTTTTAATAGAGATGGGTTTCACCATGTTGGCCAGGCTGGTCTTGAACTCCTGACCTGAAGTGATCCACCCTCCTCGGCCTCCCAAAGTGTTGGGATTATAGGTGTGAACCACCATGCCTGGCCCAATAGGAATGTTGAATTAGATGGACCCCATGAGGTTCCTTCTTTATTGTGTGAAATGGAAAGACTCCCCCAAGGTGTACTCCTCCAAGGAGGCAATTGGGACAGAGCCCAAGGTGGCAATCCATCCCCTCTGTCCCTCCCTCCAGACATTTCCTGGCATCTCTAACACACACAGGACTCCCATTCCCTAGGATTCTACCCATTGACATGACATCATGGGCACTTGTGCAGGCTGCTGTGCCAGAGTCTTTGACCCTGAAAGGGTGACTCCGACACTTCCTTTTACTCAAAACAGCAAGTGCTCAAACTCTGGGTTCTAAGAGGCATCATGTCCCAGGCTCACAGATTCTCATTCACTGCAAATCTTAGGGTTAGATCTTTCTTTTTTTTCGGACTTTGCTTTTCTCTTTTGAATAATACAAAGAAAAAAAAAACCGAATGAAACCATATGGGATGCCAGGCAATTAGCTAATAAGTTTTGCAACATGAAGTGTCTCACAAAGAAAATCTATCAGGCATCTCAACCATGTCAGACTCCATTCTTATAGGCGGTGGCTACTGAGAATAGGAGCTGGTAAGATGCTTTATTTTTAAATGGCTTTTCCAGGTCTAATTTCTCCTAGCCTGAAAGAAATGATGAGGCTAGAAAGAAATCAGGTTGGATCACGTGAAGAAAAAGTAGCATCAGGAAGCCAATATGGTGTCTTGGATTGTACCATAAATCTTCTGGGTGGGTGCTGAGTCTTGATTAGACGGCTTCATACAGCACTAAGTATAGCACCACGTGCCAACAAATAATCAATAAAGCCTTTTAGTAATGGTGGCTGATGATGAAATGCCCTGTCTTTTGTCAAAGTCCCACTGCTTATTCTCTGCCACCAGATTCTCCACCTAATGTTAGAGGCCACAGAATTGGAGCTTAGCTGCTGCAGGACATTCCAAACAAAAGATCTCAGACCCAAAAGTTAAGTCTTCTGCCGTGGATGGCGTCTATGCTTGGGGAGAGACACAGTAGCAGATAATGAGAAAGAGCCCATCCTGGCAAATGGCACATGACATCTGGAGATATTGACAGGCATTAGGAAATGATCTGAGCAGAGAGGCCCCCAAATAGAAGACCCTCTAAAGATGGAGTGCAATGACACAGGCAATGTGGGCTGTTCAGTGGGCAACAAGGAGGTCAGCAGGTGTCCAGCGTCTGGGTCCCCTCCCTGAAAGGGCAAGTGAGAACAAACAGAGATCTGGGAACTGGGTAGGTTATAAAGTCAGAACCACTTGAAGATTAGAAAGGTAAGGACCAAGGTTACATCACCAGCATGTAGCAGAGCTGAGATGCAAACTCAGGGAACCAGAGTCCATATCCTGGATACTTAACTACTTTACTCTGCTTCCTCCCAGAACTAGGCTGGGGTTACATGTTAAGGCAGTTTAGGGGCCTGAAGGGAACCCAGGAGGCCATTACAGAGTCAATCATAGACAATGTTTACTGACTGACTATAAACTATTGTGGGAAAAGCCTCTCCTGGAGGCCCTAATAGGAGATACTACAGAAACGGCAGGCAAGCAATAAGAACCAGGAAGTGGAACCCCAATTCAGTGAAGACTCCTAAGGAGAGCCTCTAGTCACTCTAAATTAGTCCAAGTGTGATGCTCAGACAATTTCATTCCAGAGTGCTGAAATTACACACCAAATGCAATCACAGACAAGTAGTCAGTAATTCTGAGAAATTATGGGCAAGTAAAGGACTGAATTCTTGAGTTCAATTGTAGTTTCCAGAAAAGCAGAGGTTGGAGAATCTCAAACAAAGCACTAGGAGAGATGATTAAATGCATAATTTAGCAAAGGAGAATCAATCCAGAGTTCCTAGGTACCAGTCACACCAACATAGATTAACTTACTCTTTGGATAGTCTTACTGTAGAAGTCAAAATACACTTTTAAAATCCTTGTGTACATCTTTCATTCACTCAACAAACATTAATGAAAAATCTGCTGTGTGGGATTGTCCTAGTCCATTTTCTATTGCTATAAGTGAATATCAGAGACTGTAATTTATAAAATAGAGAAATTGATTTCTTATGGCTCTGGAGGCTGGAAAGTCCAAGGTCAAGGGACTTCATCTGGGGAGAGTCTTCTTGCTGGTGGAGACTTTCTGCAGGGTCCTAAGGTGGCACAGGGCATCACATGGTGAGCAAGCTCATGAGAGAGAACCAAACTGGCTTTTACAACAGACCTACTCTCATGATAAGCCATTAATCCATTAATCTATGAGTAGATTAATCCATCTATGAAGGCAGAGCCATTATGACCCAATCCCTTCGTAAAGGCTCCACTTCTTAATACTGTTACATTGGGGATTAGGTCTCAATATGAGTTTTTGAGAAGATAAACCTTCCAACCATAGCAGGAATATACTAGTTGACTAGAAAATTAAAAATCTTTTCTCTCACTTAGTCTTTGGAAAAGAGTCAGAAACTCAGTATGTAAACAAAATTCCAGATAAGGTTAAGTGCTATGAAAAAAGTTAAGTATGGCAATGGGTTACAGAATGATTAAGAGTGAGGGGCTCCTTTAGCCAGGATGATAGAGAAGCTTCTTCAAAGGTATTGGAGCCAAGGCCAGGATAAGAAGAAGCCTGACATGTCGAGACCTAGGGAGAAATTGTCTCAGGAAAAAGAATGAGTAAGTGTAAAGTTCCGTATATTTGAGCAAGTTTGGCATGTTTCAGAAATTAAAAGATGGCCACCACGTCTACCCTACAGGGAGGGAAGGGGTAGAAGGGAAAGGGAGCTGGGGAAATGGGGAGCTTTGCAAGCTTTTTTGGGCTGTGGTCAGGAGTTCAGATTTTGCCCTCAGAGAAATGGGAAGTAATTGAAAAATTTAAACGGGGAATGACATGATTCAAATTCCTTTTTTAAATTTTAATTTAGCAATTTAATTTTTAAATTTTGTTTAATTTTTAATTTTCTTTAAGGGGCAAGATCTGGTTCTGTTTCCCAGGCTGGAGTGCAGTGGCACAATCATTCCTCATTGTAACCTCAAACTCCTGGGCTCAAGCTATCCTCCCAACTTAACCTCTCATGTTTTTTCATTTTTTTAACTGATAATCATAGTTATACATATTTTGGGAGTACATGGGATATTTTGATTTTGATAAAATGTGTTATAATAAAATCAGGATATCCATCACCTCAAACTCAAATTACTTTTTAAGAAGATGGCTCTGGCTGCTATGTGAACGGTTTGGAAGTAGAGCAAGGGTAGACCTAGGGAAACCAAGTGGCTTGCACAAAGGTGATCCCAGTAAAGAAGGTGCAGTGAGTCCGATTCAGGATCTATTTTGGAGAGATAGATGATACATATACTTTCTGAGTATATAATTTATTATTTGAAACAGGGTCTTGCTTTGTCACCCAGGCTAGAGTGCAGTAGCACTGTCATGGTTCACTGCAGCCTTGACTTCAGAGGCTCAAGTGATCTTCCTACCTCAGCCTCCTGAGTGGCATGCATAGGCATATGCCGCCACACTGGCTAAGTTATTTTTAATTTTTTGGAGGTGGGACGAAGTCTCACTCTGTTGGAGTGCAGTAGCGTGATCTTGGCTCACTGCAACCTCCGCCTCCTGGATTCAAGTGGTTCTCCCATATAAGCCTCCTGAGTAGCTGGGACTACAGGCACGCGCCACCACACCGGGCTAATTTTTGTATTTTTAGTACAGACGGGGTTTCACCTTGTTGACCAGGTTGGTCTCGAACTCCTGACCTCAAGAGATCTGCCTGCCTTGGCCTCCCAAAGTGCTAGGATTACAGGCATGAGCCACCACATCCAGTATATCTATACATATTTTTTTCTTTTTTTAATGAGCCCAGAGCACTCATTAAATTCCCTGGAGCTGAATTCTAAAGGAGCAATACTAGAGCTTTGTCCTTGGCCTTTTCTTATTTGTTAATATCATGCACCTCCTTTCAGGGCTTATGACTGTCTTAGTCATTTCAGAGAACATTTTGGAAGTAGAGCAAACTATTAAAGTTACTGTTGTAACAAAATACCATAAAGTAGGCATCTTACAAACAATAAAAATTTATTTCTCACAATTCTGGAGGCTAAGTCCAAGGTCAAAGCACCAGCCCATTCATTGTCTGGTGAGGGTCTGCTTCCTGGTTCAGAGATGGCACCTTTTCACTTCCTCCCGTGGTAGAAGAAACAAAAGGCAGCTCTTCGGGGCCTCTTTGATAGAGGCACTAATCTCATTCATGAGGGGTCTGCCCTTACGACCTAATCACCTCCCAAAGGCCCCACCTCCTAATTACCATCACCTTGGGGGTTAGGATTTCCATATATGAATTTTGGGGGACACAGGCATTCAGATTCATAGCGATGACTTGCACAATCCCTCCTGATATCGTGTTTTCCTAATGACCATTCCAATAACAGATCTAATACGGCTCCCATGCTTGTGAACTGCCTTCTCAGGAAGCTCTCACTGGATACACACATATTTTTTGCAGCTGACTTCTAACTAGCTCTGGTCAGAGTGGTGGGGGGCTAGGAGAGTGGGCAGGCCAGTGATCACCTAGTGTGTAATGGCTGCTTGCTGCAGATGGGATTCCAGCACCAGGTGAGGATTTATGAGCCTCTGGCCTATTTCACCATGCTTATAGTCTAATTGGGTTTCTTGATCATTCCCGTGGCTTCAAAGCCACAGATTTGGTTGCCCTACTTTTTCCTGGGCTGTGTACCATTTGCACAGTATTTTGTTTTCTGCATTACCCACAAAAGTAGCAGGAATGCATGTAGATCTTTCACTAATTGTACACAGAACATTTGGCTATTACTAGGTCCCCAGTGAGGAAAGCCAGTCACTTCAGTGAGAAAAAAGGGACTGCCCAGAGGATTCTGAGGTGCTCCTTTTCTTCTTAATATGCCTGTGAAGAAGAGAAAAGAGAGTTCTAACAGGAAAATAAAAAATAAAAACTTTCATGAAGTCCAAAGATCATAGAAATAGCCAGGCTTATGGCAAGAGACAAACTTCTAGTTTTATTGAAGCACCAATTACTGAATCCATGCTAAGAACTTATTTCTCTTGCTGAGGCTCTGGCATATTTTATAACCCTCGAAGGGGCAGTTTACTCTGGAGACATAGAGTCATATAGTATAATAATCCTTGCAGACAAATGGGAGGAGACAGCCATAATAAATATCCCTGCTAAAAGAGCATAAAGGAAGTAAAAGCTTGGATCATCTCTGGAGCACCAGCTGCTTAATAATAAAGGCAATGATTGCAAAACCTTGGCAAGGTTGCAAAAACATCTTTTAGTTACAGGTGTCAAAGCCTGAGTGTCTGGCCCTTGCTTTATTACTGTCATTTAGTATGCTGTTGGTGTCTGCTCTCAGCACAGACGTTTTTTCTCTGACATCAGAAATGCAATGCTTTCTCTCTTTGAATTCCCAAAGTCTCCCAATCCCAAGGTCCATTTCCTACTCTATTTTCTCCTACCCAAGACTGCCTGGTACCTTTGCTACAGAGAGACAGGAAACTTGATTTCTAGGGAGGCTGAATAATTGTATCTGTGTTCATCGAATTATTAAGCCCTGTCCTGTATGAGGGAAATGATTATACAAATGGTAATGAAAGTAAAAATACTATCTTCTTTTTAATTCAATTGCATTTCTTGATCACAAGCCTAAAGAGTTACAAGAAGAAATGAGCTAAGTCCCTCAAGGAATTTGCTGTCTAATGAGAAGGTTGAGAAAACACAGGATTATAGAAATATGAAAGAAATATAATGGAAACAAGGGATCCTATGGGCTGCTAGGATCATGAGGCAGGAACAAATCCATCCAGCTGAGAAGAGAAAGATCACAGATGCCTTCCTGAATGAGGTGGCATTTGAGGTGAGTCTTGAGGGGTGGGGTTGAGATAAGGAGCAGTAGCAGAAGCTGGGGCCTGGATGAGACTGGAGAAATGTCTTAGTTAAAGAGACTGAGCTGGGCTGGGCACAGTGGCTCACGTCTGTAATCCCAGCACTTTGGAAGGCTTAGGCGGGTGGATCACCTGAGGTCAGGAGTTCAAGACCAGCCTGGCCAACATGGTGAAACCCTGTCTCCACTAAAAATACAAAAAATTAGCCAGGTGTGGTGGCAGGAGCCTGTAATCCCAGCTACTCGGGAGGCTGAGGCAGGAGAATCGCTTGAACCTGGGAGGCGGAGGTTGCAGTGAGTTGAGATCACGCCATTGCACTCCAGCTAGGGCAAGAAAAGCGAAACTCCATCTCACACACACACACACACAAAAAGAGAGAGAGAGACTGAGCTGTTAGGGACACCTCAGATGTCTTAGGCTCATGTCTTCCAGTGGCTATGGATGAGGAAAAAATTAATGTAATCATAAACATATTGAAATCAGGAAGGTCCTTTCTATTGGGTGAAGCTAGAAGTGTGAAATTCCAGGTGGTTGGATGAGACTGTTAAGGAAAAGAAAGCCGTGTTGTGATTCCAAGAGATCTGTTCATTTCCAGGGCTTATAGGGATTAGAATCCCATCTAGCAGGGGAGGGAGTTGGCCAGCACTAACCGCGATAAGAATCTCTGCCAGGTAGGCGAGATTTGGGACCGACACTCTAATCCTGAGGTAATTATGAGGCATTATGCAGGGTACCAGACAGACTGGAAAACTGTAAGGCCTAAGGTAAGAGTCCCATTCTGGAGCCTGAAACAAAGTGAAGAGTCCAAAGGGCTATGCCTCAGAGATATGACCCTGTCTTTTTTATTTATTTATTTTTATTTTTAAGAGATAAGGTTTTGCTATGTTGCTCAGGCTAGTCTTAAACTCTTGGCCTCAAGCAATCCTCCCACCTTGGCCTCCCAAAATACTGGGATTACATGCATAAGTCACCATGCCTGGCCTCACCTGACTTAGTTTGTTTTCTGTTGCTATAACTGAATACCTGAAATGGGATTATTTATAAAGGAAAGAAATGTATTTCTTACAGTTCTGGAGGCTAGGAAGTCCAACGTCTAGGGGCCACATCTGGTGAGAGCCTTCTTGCTGGCAGAGACTTTCTGCAGAGTCCTGAGGTAGTACAAGTCATCACAGGTCAGGCAAGCTAAGCATGTATATTAGTCCGTTCTCACATTGCTGTGAAGAGCTACCAGAGACTGGGTAATTTATAAAGAAAAGAGGTTTAATTGGCTCACAGTTCTGCAGGCTATACAAGAAGCATGGCTGGGAGGCCTCAGGAAACTTACAATTATGGCAGAAGGCAAAGGGGAAGCAAGCATATCTTTACATGGCCAGCAGGAGAGAGAGCAAAGGGGGAAGTGCTACACACTTTTAAATAACCAGATCTCATGAGAACTCACTCACTACCGTGAGAACAGCAAGCAGAAAATCCACCCCCATGACCCAATAACCTCCCCACTAGGTCCCTCCTCCAACACTGGAGATTACAATTCAACATGAGATTTAGACACAGAGCCAAACCCAATCAGCACGCTAGCTCAGGTGTCTCTTTCTTTTCTTATAAAGCTACTAATGCCCCACTCTCATGATCCCATCTAATCCTAATTACCTCCCAATGTCCCACCTCTCAAATACCATAGTTGGATTTCCCATCCTCTTAATACTGTTACAGTGGGGATTTAGTTTCAACATGAGTTTCAGAGGGGACAAATATTCAAACCACAGCACACCCCTTCCAAACTCAGCTAAATGACATCAGATACTCAAGCTGGGCATGGGGGCTCATGCCTGTAAATCCAAACATTTAGGGAAGCTAAGGTGGGAGGATAGCTTGAGGTCAAGAGTTTGAGATCAAACCTGGACAACAGAGTGAGACTCCATCTGTACAAAAATACAAAAAATAGCCAGATGTGGTGGTGTGCACCTGTATTCCCAGCTAATTAGGAAGTTTAGGCACAAGGATTGCTTAAGCCTAAGGATTTGAGGCTGTAGTGAGCTATGATCATGCCACTGTACTCCAGCCTGGGCAACAGAGCAAGACCCTAACTCAAAAGCAAAACAACAAATCAGATAGTCATGATAGTCATTTCTGTCTAGCAATATATCTTTTTTTTTCTGAAACAGTCTTGCTCTGTTGACAAGGCTGGAGTGCAGTGGTGCGATAATGGCTCACTGCAGCCTCAACCTCCTGGCCTCAAGCAATCCTACCACCTCAGCCTTCTGAGTAGCTAGGATTACAGGCACATGTCACCACACCCAGCTAATTTCTTTTTTTAGAGTCGGGGTCTCACTATGTTGCCCAGGTTGGTATCAAACTTCTGGACTCAAGTGATCCTTTTGCCTTGGCCTCCCAAAATACTGGAATTACAGATGCAAGCCACCGTGCTTGGCACAGCAATATATCTTAATGCCAAGTCTCGCCAGATGCTAAGGCTGAGCTACTGATATTTTGTCTGCCCTGAGCAAGCACTAGGCCTGCATACCTATAGGCAGTGCCTTGTGTCTGTAGCGTCAAAGATGAAAAAAGCAGGGGAAAGGGAGACAAGGTGAACCTCTTCCTCTTCTGGCAATGTCTGAGGGTGTGCTCCAAGGTGATCCAGCTACAGACAGCAAAGCCTGGTAGAATACATTATTTGAGATGTCATCAGTCTTACAAGAGGAAAGAGATATGCTGCAAAATTAAACAAAAAAGAAAAAGATAAAGAGAAAATGAGAGGTCAATCCTGATCTACCAGAGGATGAATGTTGGTTGCAGCAGTGCCGCCAGAACACTGAGTTTGGGGCCAATCTCAAGGTAAGAGAGATTTGGGATTCCACCATGAACTGAGACCCTCAAAGGAGAGCAGGGAGAATATAAAGGTGGGGACAAGGTCAATGATGCATTGACATAGTCCTAGATTGGTGGCACCTCCTCCTTACTATCAAAAGCAGGAGCAAATCTCTGCAGGAAAACTTCTCCAATCCTTAATTTAAACGCTCAGATTTTTCACCTGCTATGGCAAACAATGAGCTCACAACATCACTAAACATAAAATGAAAGCTACTATTACTGAGAACTGGCAAAAATAATGGACAATGAATTTAGAATCCTGTGGATTACAGATATGAGATCTGTCAGATATAGAATATAGAACAGCTGTGCCAACACAGGATTATCTAATCCATAAATGACTTTGGGGAGTGAAAAGATAAATTTGTGGGAAAAAATGGAACAATAAGAACTAAAAATTTTAATTATTGATATAAAAATATTGAGTTAATTAACAGGTTAGACACAGCTGAAGACAGAATTAATGATTTGGCAGACATCCCTGAAGAAATGACCAAAAGTGCAATACTGAGAAAAGAATGGAAAATATGAAACAAACATTAATAGATTTGGAAGGTCTAATATACACCTATTCAGAGTATCAGAAAGAGAGAGTAGAGGAAATGGAGAAGTAACACTTAAAGTGATATTGGCTGCAAATTTTTCCAACTTATGAAAAATATGGATCACAGGTCCAGGAAGAATAGCATATCCCCAGTGGGTAAATATTTTAAAGTCCATGCAGAATATCAAAGACAAAAGGAAGTTCTTAGCATCATCCAGAGAATGAATGGAGCTGGGGGATCCATGCAGAAGTCAGCATGAAGGCAGGTACAAATGGGCCAAGAGATGAGGTCCAGCAAACTAACATGGCTGCCAAAGTGCTTAAGTGTATTGGCAAGTTTAGCCTGGCCTTAGAATTTGGCAGAAATAGCAAATGTGAATGCTCTGTCTTTAAAGCCCAGGATATTGTAGTAGGCATTTTCTTACCTCTTGGGTACAGAAAACAATGATCTTTGACTGCTAGATGGCATGAGATTCATCGCTGGAAATAAAAATGTATAGATTGTCAATGTCCTATGTTGCATCCTTTTCCATCCAGTTGTCAGACTACTTCCCCATATCTTCATCGGCAACAGAGAGGACTGTGACAAGCGTGGGCTGCCATTCATCGCTATGGAGATCCTCAAGTGAGTAATGGCTCACTTTGACATCAGAGATAGAGAGCTGGTCTCCAGACAGGTGAGCAATGCCCTATCCAACATGTCCTTGACACGTCTGACCTTTGGGGAGGAGTTCTTGGAAGCAGTAAAATCCAAACAAAGCTCAGCAGGAAGCAGGGAAGGCCAGATTTGTGATAGAAAAGTCACAGCAACAAAACAAGGCAGGCATCACATCTAGCAAGGGCAAAGCACACACAAAAAAAGTGAATGTATCTATCATCGTCAAAAGTTTTCTTGAGACTTTTTGTAATCTTTTCTCCCCACCCTTCTCCACTCTCCCTCCAAAACCATCCTCAGGCATCCACTGATCTGCTTATGTTGCTATAGGTTAACTTTCATTTTCTAGAAATTTGTATAAAAATAATAGCATAGTATAGTATTCACTGTTATTTTGGTCTGGCTTCTTTTTTTTTTTTTTGGTCTGACAAAAAAATGTCTTTACGTTTCTTTTTTTACAACTTATTTTAGAATCGGGGATACACATGCAGGTTTGTTACCTAGGTATATTGCATAATGCTGAAATTTGGGGTACAAATGATCTCATCATGTGGGTATTGAGCGTAGTACCCAATAGCTAGTTTTTCAAACTTTACCCTCCTCCCTCCTCCCTCTAGTAGTTCCCAGTTTCTATTGTTACCACTTTTACGCCGTGAATACCCAATGTTTAGCTCCCACTTATAAACGAAAACATGCAATATTTGGTTTTCTGTTCTTGAGTTAATTTGCTTAGGGTAATGACCTTCAGCTGCATCCATGTTGATGCAAAGAGCATGATTTTGTTCTTTTTCATAGGTGCATAGTATTCCATGGTGTATATGTACCACATTTTCTTTATCAAATCAACAATTGATAGGTACCTGGGTTAATTCCATGTCTTTGCTATTGTAAATAGTGCTGTGATTAACATGCATGTGTCTTTTTGGTGGAATAATTTGTTTTCTTTTGGATATTTATCTAGTAATCAGATTGCTGGGTCAAATAGTAGTTCTGTTTTAAGTTCCTTGAGAAATCTCCAAACTGCTTCCCAGAAGGGGTGAACTAATTTGCATTCCCACCAACAGTGTATAAAGGTTCCCTTTCCTCCATAGCCTTGTAAGCATCTGTTGTTTTCTGACTTTTTAGTAATAGCCATTCTGACTGGTGTGAGATGGTATCTCATGGTGGTTTCGATTTGCGTATCTCTGATGAATACTGGTGTGGAGCATTTGTTCGTATGTTTGTTGGTCACTTGTATGCCTTCTTTTGAGAATTGTCTGTTTATCGGCCGACTTCTTTCATTTAGCGTAATTGTTTTGAGATTCAGCCATGTTTTGTGTGTACTCATAGCTCAATATTTCTATTGCTAAGTGGTATCTCATTGTATAAATATATCATACTTTATTACCTAATATTCACCTATTGATAGACATTTGGGATTATTTCCAGTTTGGAGCTATTAAAATAAAGCTACTATGAATAGTCATACAAACTGTCTTAGAGAAATTTTCCAGTTTCTCCTAGGTAAATACTTAGGAATGAATGCCTGCCTGAGGCATGATGAGTGTTTGTTAACTTCTTCAGACACTGCTAAATTATTTTTCAAAACTGTTTTCCAAAATGGTGAGAATCCTAGTTTCTTCATATCTTTATCAGTACTTGGTATAAGTCTTTTTAATTTTAGCTATCCTTAAAGATAGGTAGTAATTTCTTATTGTGGTTTTGATTTGCATTTTCCTAATGACTCATGTTTTGGGGCATTTTTTTTTTCTTGAGACAGCATCTCGCTCTGTCATCCAGGCTGAAGTGCAGTGTTACCATCTTGTCTCACTGCAACCTCCACCTTCCAGGCTCAAGTGATCCTTCCACCTCAGCCTCCTGAATAGCTGGGACTACAGGCACGCACCAGCATGCCCAGCTAATTTTTGCATTGTTTGTAGAGACCGTCTCACTATGTTGCCCAGGCTGGTTTGGAACTTCTGAGCTCAAGCTATAGACCTGCCTCAGCCTCTCAAAATGCCAGGATTACCGCCCTGTGTCGTGGCGTCTGGTCTGGGGCTTTTTTTTATGTTTCATTTGTCAGGTATATTCTTTGATGAAGTGTCTGTTCAAATCTTATTGCTATGGACTGAATTGTGCCCTTCCAAAGTGTATATGTTGAAGACTTATCTTCTAATCTGATTGTATTTTAAAAAGAAGCTTTTAGGAGGTAATTAAGGTTCAATGAGAACTAAGAGTGGGGTTCTAATCTGATAGAATTAGAAGCCATATAAGAAGTGAAAGAGAGAGAGATTTTTCTCTCTCCCTTAATAATATAAAGAGAGAGATTTTTATCTCTCTCCATGCATTGCAACCAAGGAAAGGCAACGTGAGCACAAAATGAGAAGGCAGCTGTCTACAAACCAGGAAGACAGCCTTCACCAGAACCCAATCATACTGGTACCCTGACCTCAGACTTCCAGACTCCAGAATTGGGAGAAAATAAGTTTCTATTATTTAACCCACCCAGTCAAGAGTATTTTATATGGCAGCCTTAGAAGACTAAGATGGATACAGCTACATATATATATATAAAGTCCTTTATCAGATATATGCTTTGCAGATATTTTCTCCCAGTCTAGGGTTTGTCTTTCCATTCTCTTAACAGTGTCTTTAGAAGACCAGGTGTTTTAATTTTGATGAAGTTCAATTTACCAATGTTTTTCTTTTATAGATCATGCTTTTAGTCAAATGTAAGAAGTCTTTGCTTAATCCAAGGTCACAAAGATTTTCTTATATGCTTTTCTTTTGAAAAAAAAAAATATTTTAAGACCAGGTCTCACTCTGTTGCCCAGGCTGGAGTGCAGTGGCATAATCATGGCTCACTGTAGCCTTGACTTCCCCAGCTCAAGAGATCCACATTAGCCTCCTGAGAAGCTGGAACTGCAGGTGTGTACCACCACATCTGGCTAATATTTTATTTTTTTGTAGACGAGCTCTTGCTATGTTGACCAGGCTGGTCTCAAACTTCTGGGCTCAAGTGATCCTCCCACCTCAGCCTCCCAAAGTGCTGGGATTACAGACATAAGCTACGGCATCCAGTCGAAGTTTTGTAGTTTTATGTTTTACATTTAGGCCTACCATCCATTTTGAGTTTCTGCAAAGCATGGATTGAAGGTTTTTTTTTTGCATATGGATATTCAATTACTACACTGTTTTCATTATTGTATTCTACAATAAATCTTGAAATCATGTAATGTTAAGCTTCCAAATTCGTTTCTCTTTTTGCAAAAGTGTTTTGGCTATTCTAGGTCCTTGGCATTTCTAAGTGAAATTTGGAACCATCTTGTCCATTTCTGTTAAAAAGTCAGGTGGGATTTTAATTGGGACTGTACTGAATCTATACATCAGTTGGGGGGAATTAACGGTAGCATGTCTTCCGATCCTTGAATACAGTATGTCTCTCATTTATTTGGGTATTCTTTTAGGTTCTCTCACCAAAGTTTTGGAGTTTTCAGTGTACGGGTTTTGCACATTTTTTTGGTCAGATTTATCCCTTTCTATTTCATTTTTAAATGTAATTGTAAATGGTAATTTTTATTGTTTCAGTTTTCAATTGTTGATTGCTAGTAAATGGAAATAAAATTGTTACTATATATTAATCCTTTTTCCTGAAAACCTGCTTAATTCACTTACTAATTATAATAGCTTTTTAATAAATCTCATCAGATTTTCTACATAGATAATCATGTCATCTGTGAATAAAGAGAGTACTATTTCTTCCTTTCCAATCTGAATGCTTCTTATTTTTGTCTTGCACTTCAAGAAACTTTTTATCTTAGTATAACTTATAATTTTACAGATGCAACTAAAGTTCAGAGAAGTGATATTTCAAGTCTCCTGTGTTGAGTAAAACATCTCAACACGGTGTTCCTGAAACAAATAGGAAAAATAAATAATAAAAGAGCAAAACAGAGATTCTACACAGCTGACAGAATCTGCCAGATGTAGCACTTCTAGGCTGGTATATCAGTTATGATGTTACACATCATAATAATGGTGTGTAACAAACAATCTCAGAAACTCAGTAGCATATAATAAATATTTATGTAGCTTATAAGCCTGTGGGTTTACCTGATTTGGGGTGGGTTTACCTGATCCGGGCTGGGTTTACTCATGCATCAACAGTCAGCTACAGGTTGACTAGGTCACTCTACTTATCTTGTCTGGACTCACTCTAATGCATGATGTTGGCTGGCTGATGGCTGATCAAGGGCTTAGCTGAAATGAGCCCTGAATAAACTTTGTTCTACGGGTCTGCTGCCTTCTGGCATCCTAGCCAGGTCATAGTAATAGTAGAAATCAAGAACAATAAAGAGAAATGTGCAAGCCTTTGAGTCACATTTGTTAACATCCTATTGATCAAAACCATAGCCAAATCCAGAATCAGTAGGAGGATGCTATAAAGTTAATGACATAGGGCATGGATACAGAGAGACATGAAGAATTAGAGCCATCAACGTAATCCTGAATGGTTAGAGCTAAGGGGTTAGTTAATATAGATGATAGCAAGGAAATGCCATAAATCTCAGCCCCAAGACAATTACATGTGCATTTTACTTTCTCTGGTAGAATGACCGGTAAAGTTTACCAGCAGTTCTTTCTAAATTGCTGTGGCAAGATCTGAGAAGTTCATGAGTATAGGGTGGATATGTGTAGACAGTTACATACGTCTAATTTTCAATAAATCTTCAAAGGCAGAGAAGACGAGGCAATAATTAGGGATCCATTAAATTAGTGGATTCCAGTGTCCAGAATATCATATATTAATTGGAACATTTTTGGTTGCAACTGATAGAAATCCAAGTGAAACTGGTTTAAGCAGATGAGGAATTTTATAGCTCCCATAAGTAAAAAGTCTAGAAATAGATTAGATTTCAGACACAGCAGATCCAAGTCCTCAAATAATGACATTTTGACTCAGTCTTTCTCCATTTTTTGGCTCAGAATTCCTCTTATGTCTTCTTTCTCAAGCAAACTCTCAACATGAGGGCTGCCAACACCCTCACCAACACCAGTCAGGCCAAAGGATATGCTTCTCACATATTTTGCCTTTTGTCTTCATAACAAAAGACAAGCTATATCCAAATGCTATGTTTTTTTTGGGAGCTGAAAAGGCCAAAGGGTTCGTGACCAACTCAGCATTCCACTGGAGGCTATATGATCAAACAGCAAACTGTTTATCATGAATACAAAATGCAGGCAAACTCGCTTCTGTGCCTGCCCCAGGAGGTTTGCTGAGGGCCATCACTCCCTGGTGTAGGCTCCTTGAGGTTATCTACTGGGACATCTAGAGCCTATTGTTCGAGGAATGCAGTCTTGCAAGCCTACTGGGGACAGAGCAGCTGACCTCTTCTTCCAACCCCCCTTCTCGCTATCTCTTTTGCCTAATATATATGGAGGGCTGTGTAAAGCTCAGGGCCCTTGTCCACTAGAGGCAAGGTGTCCCCTGACCCCTTCTTCCAAACATATTCTCTTGTCTCTTGTCTTTATTCCCACATTTGTCCCCCTTTTTTCAGTCCCCCAAGGTCCGTGCAGGTTACACGTTTTGTGGTTTATGCTACCCCAAGCATTGGAGATTAATCCCACTTTCGAGTAAGCAGAGGATTTCAGTGGCAGGAGCACTTAGGTAATTTTACTTATTTTTTTATTTTATTAATGTGCCATGTCCTTCCCCTCAGATGGCATAAATGTTATAGATTCTGGCCTAATGCAACATTTTTCTCTGCCAGGCGCAGTGGTTCACACCTGTAATCCCAGCACTTTGGGAGGCCAAGGTGGGAGATTACTTGAGCCAAGGAGCTCAAGAGCAGTCTGGGCAACATGGCAAAAACCTATCTCTACAAAAAATACAAAAATTAGCCAGACCTGGTGGCCTGCACCTGTAGTCCCAGCTACTCAGTAGGCTGAGGTGAGAGGATTGATTGCTTGAGCCTGGGAGGTCGAAGCTGCACTGAACCTAGATTGCATCAGTGCGCCCCAGCCTGAGTGATAGAGCGAGACCCTGTCTCAAAAAAAACCCCAAATATATATATCCCATTAGTGCTAATTGCTCACTTTCTTCTCTTCATGTTTCATTTTACAGTCCCATAAATCCTCACAAATTAGCTCCATAATCACAAGCTGGTGGTTGAGATACATTTTATAATATTAAATGATTCATATTACTCTTAAATATTCATATATACATGAGTATAGATATAAATATAAATACAGCATGTATAATATACAATGGTGGTTTTTACATAGGCAACTGGATGATCATTGAACACAAGAATTGTAAATATTTTTATTTTTTGTAAAAAAAAGTGCTAATAAGATACCTGTACATTCCCCCCTAAAAAATTAAAGTTTCAACTGTTTAAATAATTTTTATTTAAAATTAGAGTTTATGTTTGGCCTTTTGATTTTAAGATAATTTTAATTATTTCAAAAGAAAAATTAACATTTTTGAAAAGCTATATTAAAATAATTTTATATTTTTATACGTTTTATTTATATTTTATGAATATACAAATAAACTTTATCACTTTATTGCAATTATATTTTATTTTTAATTCCTTTAGATCAGGAAGTTGGCAAATTATGCAAACTACAGCCTACAGGCTGGCTGCCTGTTTTTTAAATAAAGTTTTATTGGCATATAGCCATGCCCATCATTTATGTATTGTCTAAAGCTGTTGTCACACTACAATAGCAGAATACAGTAGCTGGGGCAGAGACCGAAGGCAATGCTAAAATATTTTCTATCTTGTCCTTTAGGAGAAAGTTTGCTCAACCCCATTTAAAAGTGGGCAAAGGACATGAACAGACACTTCTCAAAAGAAAACACAGGTGGCCAATAAACATATGAAAAAACATTCAACATCACTATCATCAGAGAGATGCAAATCGAAACCATGAGATATCATCTCACACCAGTCGGCTAATATTAAAAAGTCAAAAAATAGGCTGGGCACAGTGGTTCATGCCTGTAATCCCAGCATTTTGGGAGGCCGAGGCAGGTGGATCATTTGAGGTCAGAAGTTCAAGACCAGTCTGCCAACATGGTGAAACCCCATCTCTACTAACAATACAAAAAAATTAGCTGGGCATGGTGGTACACACCTGTAATCCCAGCTACTAGGGAGGCTGAGCAGGAGAATCGCTTGAACCTGGGAGGCAGGGGTTGCAGTGAGCCAAGATGGTGCCACTGCACTCCAGCCTGGGTGACAGAGTGAGACTCTGTCTCAAAAAAAAAAGTCAAAAAATAACATGTTGGTGAGTTTATGGAGAAAAAGGGACATTTATACATTGTTGGTGGGAATACAAATTAGTTCAGCCCCTGTGGAAAGCAGTTTGGAGATTTCTCAATGAACTAAAAATGGAACTACCATTTGACCCAGCAATTGCATTACTGGGTATATACCCAAAGGAAAATAAATTGTTCTGCTGAAAAGACACATGCATTTACATGTTCATCACAGCACTATTCACAATAGCAAAGATATGGAATCAATCCAGGTGCCCATCAAGTGTGGACTGAATAAAGAAAATGCAGTACATATACACCGTGGAGTATTATGCAGCCATGAAAAAGAATGAAATCATGTCTTTTGCAGCAACATGGATGTGACTGGCAACTGTTATTCTAAGCTAACTAATGCAAGAACAGAAAACCAAATATTGCATGTTCTCACTTGTAAGTGGGAGCTAAATCTTGAGTTCACTTGGGCATACAGACACTGGTAATTCCAAAAGAAGGGAGAGAGGGAGGGAGAGAGGAAGCAGGGCAAGGGCTGAAAAACTTCCTATTAGATACTGTGTTCACGGTATAGGGTGATGAGAGTGATCGAAGCCCAAACCTCAGCACTATGCAATATACTCTTGTAACAAACCTGCAAGTGTGGCCGGGCACG
This sequence comes from Homo sapiens, assembly GCF_000001405.40. Lineage (NCBI taxonomy): Eukaryota > Metazoa > Chordata > Mammalia > Primates > Hominidae > Homo > Homo sapiens. The sequence goes on along the minus strand of NC_000011.10, from coordinate 123,332,447 downwards.
GTGGCTCATGCCTGTAATCCCAGCACTTTGGGAGGCCGAGTTGGACAGATCACTTGAGGTCAGGAGTTTGAGACCAGCCTGGCCAACATGGTGAAACCCCATCTCTACTAAAAATACAAAAATTAACCAGACGTGGTGGTGGGCGCCTGTAAGCCCAGCTACTCGGGAAGCTGAGGCAGGAGAATTGCTTGAACCCAGGAGGCAGAGGTTACAGTGAGCTGAGATCGCACCACTGTACTCCAGCCTGGGCAACAGAGCAAGACTGTCTCAAAAAGAAAAAGAGAAAAAAAAAACCTACACATGTACCTCTGGAATCCAAAATAAAGATGAAAATTTCAAAAAAGAAAAATAAAAAGTTTGCTGGCCTCTGTTTTAGAGTACTGTCAAAAGAACCCAAATTATATGAAAATGTGAATTTTAATAACATTAATTATTGTGCTAGAAAGAAAAGGAGACAAGTATTTTGTGGAATGGATAGATAATAATTTATAAAATATGTATTTTATTGTGCAGCAAAACACTGCCAGTCCATCAACAACACACTTAGACATGTGTACAAGTAATTAAATTGTACAATATCTGTTATTTTTGCTGACTTTTGGTCATATAAAAACCATAGATTTACACATATTTTTCAATTTTGAGATTCTGAAAGTAAAAGCCTAGAGCATATTTCACATAACAATTTGTTTGCCAAACATAACTTTAAAATATTTACGTATATGGTATGGGGTCTCCATTTTAACTCTCTTCCTGGGCCCTGCAATAGACAGAAACAGGACTTGGGAGGAGGAGTCAGTTTTCCCAAGGGGGCTAGCTATTGTTATAGACAGAAGGGAGAAGGGAGACTGACAGATTATAAACAACCAGTGTCCATTAGAGCTTACAGTTTGCCAACAGGAGCAATTCTGTCAATTGCTACTGTTCTCTGATTCCAAACCTGAGATTAATGGGGACAGGGAGGAAACTATTAGACCCATGGAAGAACAAGCACGCTATCTCATGACGTTCCTTGTCAATATTTGATCAGAAACCGAATAGCCATTCAAAGGTCCTGCAGAAGGGATTCCTGCATTAGGGAGGAGCCTGTACTAGGTCAGCTTAGTCAACAAACATTTGTTGAGACCTGTTGTGTGCCAGGCTCTGCACTAGGTTTCATGGTTTGGACAATTTTATGATGCCAATGACCAGCTGAAAATTATGAGAATGAACAGACCAGTTCCCACTTTGCTCAATATGCACAGTTCAGAATGAGCCCAGCAGGCAGTCCAGCTCTGCTATTAAGAAAGCTCTGGGTCTATTTATATATCAGAGACACACAAACTCAGAAGCTGTCACTAGAGGAGGCAATCTGAGAAGTTACCCGAGGACAGTCTATGGCCTTGACAGTTCATCTTCTGATGGAAGGATTAAGCAATTGTTGTAACGTAGATACCCCAGATATAATTTTATTTCATTTAATCAGTCCACCAAAGGCAAAAGGTGAAATTCTAGCAAATTAAATTAAAACGCAATATAGGCCACTCTGAAAAGCAAATTTCAAAACCTATTTTTCACTTATTTCCTCTTTGAACCTGGAAGTTAAGAGGTCTGTGGGAGGGAAAGGATACAGCCTCTTTGATCAATCTTAGCAAATCAATTTATTCTGTTTCTAAAGGAATTAATGGAAAAAGAAGAGTCATCAACGTTTAATCTCATCATTAAAAGAACAGGGATGTTTTTATTTCTCAGAAAAACTCCGCAGGCAGATTTAGGCCAATGACAATGAACAGCATTGTCTGTAGGGCTGGAATGTGTTTCCTCCCTCCTTTCCAGCCATTTCCTCCCTTCCTTAAAATCATACTTTTTGCCTTTTATTAGTCTCAGCCTAAAGTTACTGAAGGCTATTGCTAACAGAAATCATTACAATAGATTTAGTTCCCCTAAGCCAGTCATACCATAGCTGCCCTCTGGTTAAAGATTTTTAAAGCTGGAAAGTGCCTTGAAGATCACTTTGAAAAGCTGTTCAAGGCCCAGGAAAGTTAAATAACTGGCCCCCAATTATCCAAAATTTCTGTTAGCAGATAAAAGTCTATAACCCAGATATCTCAACTTTAATTTGAGTTCTTTCAACTGAACCACTCAATATGGTGGTAATACGGAAGATTGGAGATATTTTCTTGATAATCCACAGATAAAATCCACTTTGAATTCCATTGTCTCTGGAACATTGGCTCAGTGCCCAGATCGTCACAGAGTTCTTTTGAGAAATCTTGGCTTCGGGTTCCGACTGTGACACTTCTTGAGTGTGGATCCCTTATCTTTTCAAACCTCAGTGTAATCATCTGTACAGTAGGGATAAGGACAAAACCACCTTGCAGGGATGTTTTAAGAATTATATGAGATAAAATATGTAGAGTGCCTCACAGATGGAAACAAAGCATATAAATGTCAGGTGTTGTTGTTGTTAGACACAATGCTTCTCCAAGAAACTTCCTAGAGTCCACATTCCATAATCTATGCCCTTGGCTCTCATTCATTCAATGTTCACTCGTCTTTATCAGGTATCTGTTGTGTATTGGGCACCATTCCATGTGAGGGAGCTTCAAAAATGAATGAGATAAAATTCAGATAATCAAGAATTCCCACACTAGTAGCAGGTATATAAATAATTACAATCTAAAATGCTTCTGTGGATACAAAGTGCTGTGGAAGAACACAGGGAGAATTCCCTAGGAAGGCTAGAGCGTCAAGGTGACATTTGGATAGTTTTGAATTAAAAGTAGTTCTCCAGACAGGAGAGATAAGAGAAAAAAAAAAAGTAGAAATCAGTGCCTTCCAGGCAGTTGTGATGGATTTGCATGTTTACACAAATCCAAGTGGCCTAGAAGTGGCTGATACCTAAGATATAACAATGACAACTACCGCTATCTTTTAAATGACTTCTAAGCTCCACATTTTTAACCCATACTTATAATCTGTATAATGACCCTTCGAGGTAGGTAGCATTACCTAAAGATTATAAGTAAGAAAACTAAGGCTCAAAGAAGTCAAGTAACTTGCTTAAGAACACATAGCTGGTATACAGAGAAGTGTGGTTTTCAGCTGAAGTCCTTGTAACTTGAAAGTGTATGTTTTTACTTAATGTGCCACACTGCTACTCATGAAACGGGGAATGTCAGAAGAAGACTGGAAATGTAGGTAAGGGTCAGAGTTTGCAGAACTTGGAATACTAAAGCCAAGGAGGTTAAATTTTATTCTACAGATTGTGAAACTCACTGGAGGATTTTTAAGCAGATGCTTTAGAAAAATCAGTCTGGGGAGCAGTGTGTAGAATAAATGGAACAAAGAAGAGATTAAAAACAGGAGGATCAGTTACAAAATTATTACAATTCCAGTGTCTCACAGGATTAGGGTAAAATTTAAAAAAAGAAAAAAAGAAATTTACAAAAACCCAAGTCAGAGAACGTAAGAACTTCTGAAACTCCATGTTTATTTGCTCATTCATGCATGCATGTGGGCACAGATCATTGTTTCATTAAATAAAAACACTTATTATCTCACATAACAGAAAGAGCAGCGGTAGAGCAGGCCCCAGGACTGGTTGACCGGTGGTTTATTCACAGTCTTGGTCTCTTTCCACCTCTCTGTTTTACAGTCTTCTGTTATCCTAATGTAGACAAACCCAGGATGGCTAACAGTGACAGTTAGAAAGCCACATGTTTTTTAGTCACATTCCATCAGAGAGAGGAGGCTCTCCCCACAAACAGGAGTACCATTTGTCTTGACTTCAGTCTGCTTAGCTCACTTGGGCAACATGAGTAAATAACTGTAGCCATGGAACCCTGTGTTGATTGGCTTGGATGGGTCAGGAGTCTCCTCTGGATCTGGGCTGGGGAAGTCTTTTGTTGCCTTGTGTGGTAATGTAACGTTTAATACCTGAACTAAATTAAAGCTTTATTAGGAAAGAGGAAGTGAGGAGTTGATGGCAAACGGGCAACAAACAGCATACACGGTTGTCACCAAGCTGTAGGCATGGATAATTTAAGGGAATGAATTTCCATGTTTATCTTTCCTAAACCTTATCTGCCCGAGTAGCTCCTCTCCAGCTTTCCCTTCCAAATCATCCTTCTCCCACTTCACAAAAGCAAAGCATGCTTCTCACCCAGCCTAAATATTCCTATAGCATGTTGCCTCGGGATAAAATTTTTTGATGTGCCAAAAACAGGGGGGATATTTAAAATATTATGATCAACGTTGAGAAAGTACATTAGTATAATGACTAGGTAACAAATACTTTTGCATATAAGATGGTTCCCAATTCTTTAAATTCAAAGAAGCTCTAATGGAGTTGTCATCTGATAAATCAGTAAATCTACTTTTAAAATGATAGATCAAGTTGGGTGCAATGGCTCACAACTATAATCCCAACACTTTGGGAGACCTAGGTGGGAGAATTGCTTGAGCCCAGGAGCTCAAGACCATCCCGGGCAACATAGTGAGACCCCATTTCTCTAAAAAAATTGAAAAATTAGCCAGGTATGGTGGCACACACCTGTAGCCCCAGCTACTTGGGAGGCTAAGGTGGGAGGATCGCTTGAGCCCAGGAAGTAAAGACTGAGCCATTGGGCTCCAGCCTGAGCAACAGAGTGAGATCCCATCTCAAAAAAAAAAAAAAACCAGGTCACAAAGTTATTTTTGACTTATAAATTAGAAAAATAAAATGGAATAAAATTAGTGCTGAATCCTGTTTTATTCTAATAATATGTTATATCAACTACAGATACATAAACTGATTGGGAAAAAATTAAAGTCCCATCTATCTTATTAAGTGATACATTTCCAGTAAAATTTACTTCTTATGTTCAAAATCATAAACAGTCAATTATTTATGTTTTAATTGCTTGTGTACTGATAGTAATTCTCATAATAGCTTATTTTGGATGCATGTATTTATGCCACCAAAATAAATATTTTTCTACCTTAATTTATATTTTTGTTGCAAAGAAGTATACAGGGTGATCAATAAAATCCTTCCAACCACTAAATTGGTGAAAGTTAAGTGGAAATAATAAGTTCAAGGAAAAAAATGTATAAACTTTTTTTTTTTTTTTTTTGAGACAGAGTTTTGCTTTTCTTGACCAGGCTGGAGTGAAATGGTACGATCTCGGCCCACCACAACCTCCACCTCCTGAGTTCAAGTGATTCTCTTGCCTCAGCCTCCCGAGTAGCTGGGATTACAGGCATGCACCACCATGCCCGGCTAATTTTGTATTTTTAGTAGAGACAGGGTTTCTCCACGTTGGTCAGGCTGGTCTCGAACTTCTGACCTCAGGTGATCTGCCCGCCTCAGCCTCCCAAAGTGCTGGGATTACAGGCATGAGGCACCGGGGCCCAGCCAAAAATATATAAACTTTTTAACCCTTAACAAAGAGCTTGCTAGAGATCTAAGGTACAGCAGGAGGGTTATAGTTAGTAATATTGTATCGCATACTAGAAATTTGCCAGGAGAACATGTTTTAGGTACTCTTACCATAAACCAAAAAAGAAAGAAAGATAACTACATAAGATGATTTCTTTGACTATAGTAATCACTTCAATATCGAAGTGTATATCAAAATAGCATGTTATACACCTTAAAATTTATACAATAATATAAAAGAGCTTAAGGTATTTTTAAATGAATGATTTTGAGTATGAAATTAATAATAAAAATTTATCTGGATACTGTTTAAAAATTCTATAATAGTTTTATTTTTGAATTGTTAATATTTAAAATATGTTAACTACACCTTTTGAAATAGATAACAGAAAACTTAAAAATGTGAAAGAGGGCCTGGTGCAGTGGCTCATGCCTGTAATCCCAGCACTTTGGGAGGCCGAGGCAGGTGGATCGCAAGGTCAGGAGCTAGAGACCGTCCTGGCTAACACGGGGAAACCCCGTCTCTACTAAAAATACAAAAAATTAGCCAGGCATGGTGGCGGGCGCCTATAGTCCCAGCTACTCGGGAGGCTGAGGCAGGCGAATGGCATGAATCCAGGAGTCAGAGCTTGCAGTGAGCCGAGATTGCACCACTGCACTCCAGCCTGGGCGACAGAGTGAGACTCCATCTCAAAAAAAAAAAAATGTGAAAGAGGTATATAGTTTTTCCAAATTATTTTGTGAGTGCAAAAATGTTGACCTGCTGCTGATTTAAAAAAGCCAACCAAGCAGGATCAAAAGGAGCAGATTTGCTCCAGTGCAGGGGTAGGTGACATATGGAGTTCCATGCTAGTGCTGCCAATTTTGAGACTCCTGTGAAACATCTGAGTCAAGATGTCTTTCAGGAAATTGGAGTCCACCAGAGGGGTCTGGAGTAGAGAAATGTAATCATACACATGCAGAAGCTAGTCAAATCAAGGAGATATTTGTGACCACGGAGAGAGTGTGATAAATGGAGAAGAGCAGCAGAATCATATTTTGGGAAATAACAATGGCAAAGGAAACAGAAGAGAGATCAGAAAAGTAGGAAGCAAGTAAGAAGAGCAAAACCAAAAGAAAAGTTCTGAGAAGGAAGTAGTGGACAGTAGTGATTAAAAAAAAAAAAAAGTCCAATAAGACAAAAACTAGAACCAATCCATTGGGTTTAGCAATTAGGAAGTCAACAGTGACCTCAGTGACATCAATTTCAGTGGCATGGTAGGACAGAAACTCAATAACTTGTCCTAAGGGATATTATACCTTTGACTTTAAGACCCAACAAAGAAAGATCACTGAAGCGTGACACTCTGGAAATTTTTCAGAGTATCATGCTGTGATCTCACCACTTTTTCCAGTCCAGTGGGTCTTCCAATCTCACATCAATAACCTGGCAAGTCAGGACATAATCTCCTGGCTTTTGGAATTAGAACCTGCCGACTAGTAATACTCGAGAAAATGGATAACTGTTTTCATCTAGTGTATTTGCAGGGTAACATGCTAATCTTTTTGGGGTGACTCAAAGATTTAAAAGTCTTAATCCCTGCCTAGAAAGAGTTTATAACTCAAGAAAACAGTATTCACACGAAATTTTTTAAAAAGACAAAGCAAGGCAAAGTATGTTAATATTTCAAGAGATCGTCTGAAAGAGACATTGTTGTTAGTTGAAAAGCCTTCCCAGGAGTGGAAAGACTAGAATACTAGATACTAGATTCTAGGATACTAGATAACTAGAAAGGTATTCTAGGGTAGGGACACTGGAACTACAGGGATACTAGGATAAAAGAAAGTATTTCAAAGACAGGGGACAGGAAGAACAATGATATGTCCAAAGTATTGAAGGGGGGTGATGACAAGATAGCCCTGGCTTGAGGGGAGGTCCAGAAATGTGTAATGGGAAGTAAACTGAAAGCTAGACACTGGTTGCTCAGAATACTAGCCAAGGTGTTTGCACTGGGTTCTGCTGGCAATGTGAACCATTAAAAATCTTAGGGAATTTGGACTGATAAATGACCAAAAAAAGTGTTTTAGGAATATTAATCTGGCAATGGCAAGCAGGATAGAGTGAAGCTCAGGAGAAACTCTTCTTCATTTAATTATGCTTCTAAGTAGAATACCTCTTAGAAAACTAGTAATTATCATTCCAGCCTGATAAAGTCTTGAATTAGGGCAGTGATAAACAGCAAGGGAAGAATAGAAAAGAAGGAAAAGGAGTTAGAGGAAAATCTATAGACCTAGGACATTGGCTATAGGTGCCAGGGGTGGGACTGGGGTAGTGTCAAGTTAGTCAAACATGAATTAAGGCTCCGAGTATGGATAAAAGAAATAAGCAAGTCAGAAAAGGAGACACATGATTTTTCTCCTTGCTGGAAAGTAACTACAAGACAGTTAAATGTATTAAATGTGATTCATTTGAGTATAGAAATTTGGGGGTTGGAAAGATCCAGGTTCAAATGAGCAATGAGAGTTGGAGGTCTGAAATAAAGAGAAATTCATGTTGCGTATGTGGACATGGGAATTCATTACGTCTTTTGGCACCAACTATATATGAGGTATGCATTAGGATGCAAAGGGGCCAGAAACAAAGAAGACACTCGTTAACTCAGGAATCATCTACACAGGTGTGTTGGCTGACGTACACAGTGAATGAGATCTGAGCTGAATAAAGAGCTGAATAAAGAACAGGGGATAATGGTGGGATGTAGTAGTTTCGTCTTTACAACGTGTAGAGAAGAGAAGTAGTGGGAACTTCAGAAGCATGAAACAACCCCAGAGCCAAATAAACATGCGGTTTTAAGAAGATGGTGCTATAGAATGCTACTGAGATCAGACAAATGGAAAAGTTGCTGGATTTAGCGATTAGAAAGTAATTGGTAACCTTTGAGAAGGGAATTTTAGTCCAGCTGCAGAGAGTTAAGAAACAAGTGGATGGTGAAAAAGTGGGAGATATTGGTAGGCGTTGTTCACCCAGAGTGGCTTCTTGACAACTTTTCTACACAGTGAGTCCTTCTGCTGCATTGTGTTTTGGCTGGTATGGGAATGGCAGTGTGGAGATATTACACATTTGGTAATAGGCACTCAAGAATTTAATGTCTTTGAAAATGAGAAGTGTTAGGCAAGCCACAGTCGTATTACAGTTGTAGACTCTGAAATAGTGTGAATTTTCCCATAATAATGGCACTTATCACACCACTTAAGTCAAAGAGGATACTTTCCAGCTCAGATATGCTTTCTAATCAGTAGTTAAGGAGTCTCCTTTCTGCGTGTTCACCTTCTTAAATTATTCAATTAAACGTTTATCTTTCCCCTAGGGACCTAATCAAATATGTGGTAAAACCACTTAGAACCACATTATAAGTTTCCTTTCTTCCTTACTTTTCTCTCATTGGCTATAAAAAAAAATTGGTCCCTATCAAAAAAACAATAAAACAAAATCCCAAACACACTTCATTAGCGAGAACAAGGGCTCTATTTTCATTATGAACCTGATATCCCTACACTCAGAGCATCCACCTTGTGGGGAGAGCCCAGTACAGTCCTGATATGGTTCTTCCTATTTCTGATTTGAGGATTTGAATGTGAGTTGAGAAACACAGACTCTCAAGCTTGAATGACTTAAAACTATAGCTAATATCTGTGCTCTCCACAACATCTCCTGTGCATTCAATGTCTTCCTCTCTGTTACTGAATCACATCTAAGTACCCTTGCTTGATTTTAGGACTTTTTCTCATCTTTTCCTACTGGATTCATTCAACCTCATTTTATATTCCACTCTAATGTACACTCATCACTGAGTCAGTCTGGTTTTACCAATATATCTCAAACATATGCCCATGGATCACCAATTCTGTGCATGCCATTATGCTGTTCTCCTTTCTGAAATGCTCTTCCCCTTGCCCACCTTAATTCCTTTTATCTTCTTTTTATTTATTTATTTATTTATTTTTTTTTTTGAGACGGAGTCTCGCTCTGTCGCCCAGGCTGGAGTGCAATGGCGCGATCTCGGCTCACTGCAAGCTCCACCTCCCGGGTTCACGCCATTCTCCCACCTCAGCCTCCCGAGTAGCTGGGACTACAGGCACCTGCCACCACACCCGGCTAATTTTTTGTATTTTTTATTAGAGAAGGAGTTTCACCGTGTTAGCCAGGATGGTCTTGATATTCTGACCTCATGATCTGCCTGCCTCGGCCTCCCAAAGTGCTGGGATTACAGGCATGAGCCACCACGCCCGGCAATTCCTTTTATCTTCTAAGAACCTGACTTAAACACCTCCTCCCTTTGGAGCCCTCCCATGTTATTGCAGTCTATAATTATCTCCTATTTTTTCCAATGTTTTTAGTCTTTAGAAGCTAACTGAGCATTTTTACATCCCATGAGAACAAAAACATCTTGGTCACTTGTCTTGTATTATTCACTCTAATCTATATGTGTAGATATCACGCTCCTAAGGAAGCATGTGCCACAACTTACAGTTCACTTTATTTTGTTCACTGGTATATTGCCCACCCCTGGAGCTGTGCCTGGAACATAGTAGACATTCAATAAATATTTGTTGAATAAGTGAAAAGTGCTTAAGAAATGTTTGTTGATTGATTCATTGGCCTGGATTGAACAAACGATTAAGCAGAGCAGAAATCAAATAGCAGAGGAGAATCTGGGCACAGTGGCTCACGCCTGTGATCCCAGCACTTTAGTAGACCGAGGCAGACAGATCACCTGAGGTGAGGAATTCAAGACCAGCCTGGCCAACATGACAAAATCCTGTCTCTACCAAAAATACAAAAATTAGCCAGGAGTGGTGGCGGCGCCTGTAATCTCAGCTACTCAGGAGGCTGGGGCAAGAGAATCGCTTGAACCTGGGAGGCGGAGGTTGCAGTGAGCAGAGATTGTGCCACTGCACTCCAGTCTGGGTGACAGCGAGAATGTCTCAAAGAAAAACAAAAACAAAAACAAATAGCAGAGGACAGGATATCATTCTTAAAAATCAAACAGTACTCCACATCCTTGGGTCTGATCCAGATTTGTGGAAGGAGAGGGAAGAAGTGGAGGAAGAGGTAGGCTGTCAGCTAAGACGGTCTCCAAGTTCTCAGGGGAATGAGATGATGATGTAGGGAGTTCTGACTCATCTTGGGAAATCATCAGCACACTTCAATACTCCCTAAAAACAGCAGCCCCCGGATGAAGCTTTGAGGCAGTTTTGGATCCTCTCTTGTCTTTCCCCCTTTGATAGGAGGCAGCTCATTTTGCAGAATGATTTGTTCAGCCTCCCAGCTGCTGTAGTTACTTAGTATTCAGGATACGTTGGGGAGTGCCTGCTGGATCAATCACCTTCACAGTCACATTTCTTCTGAGCCCTAAGCTTTAGTCCATGCCCTCACCAAGTCCTGTTGATTTTTTACATATGGGATGGCTTCAACCTTCTTCATCTTCATTGCCACCGCCCTGATTAAAGTCACCATCATCTGGCACCTGACTCCACTCAGCAGCCTGCTAACTGGTCTCCTCCTTTCTCTCTTGCATGCTCCCCACATTCTAGTCCATTCCCCACAGACAAGCCAGACTATTTTTCCAGACTATTTGTATGCTTACATTACACCTTGGCTCAAAACCTTGAGTGATTTCCCACTGTAGAAGGATAAAGACAAAACCTTTTATGTTGGCCTACTTGGCCCTTGGATGGTCTGGCTCCTGCATAAACATTCAAGCCTCAGAGAGAAACACCTCCTGCATCTTCTCTGGGCTCCGGCCAGATGTTGTAGGTCCTTGGTTTCTGGAATGCACTGGTGTTCCCATCACAAACCTTGGTGTGTGCTGGCCCCCCCGCAATCTCCACCCTCTCTACCTGTTTAATTCTCACTTCTCCTTCAGTTCTCATTACTGTTTTGTTTTTATTTGTTTGTTTGTTTATCAAGACAGGGTCTCACTCTGTCACCCAGGCTGGAGTGCAGTGGCATGATTTTGGCTCACTGCAACCTCCACCATCCGGGTTCAAGGGATTCTCATGCCTCAGCCTCTTGAGTAGCTGGGATTACAGGTGTGCGTCACCACATTCAGCTAATTGTTTTGTATTTTTAGTAGAGACTGGGTTTCACCATGTTGGCCAGGCTGGTCTTAAACTCCTGACTTCGGGTGATCCACCTGCCTTGGCCTCCCCAAGTGTTGGGAATACAGGCGTGAGCCACCGCACCTGGCTAACACTGTTCAATTAAACTAAATTTGGCCCCAGGATGCCTCCTTACATCATCAACTGCAACCCAACTTAGTATATAAACTAACTAAAATCCTAAATTAGGAGTATAATTTTCTAACAAATAATTGAGTTTCAGCCAATCACAGCAAATGAGCTTCAGTCAATCACAGGTGGTCAACTGATCTGATCACATTCAAATGAGGCAAACACCAAGGTGTAACCAATGGAACTGTCCTGTCCGTAAAGGTTGCCTGCCCCTGCTGCAGAGTGAAGAGCTCTCTAAACCTCTTCTGGTTCTGAGACCTGCCCGATTCACGATTTGTCCTTTGCTCGATTAAACCCTGTTAAATTTAATTTGTCCAAAGTTTTTATTTTAACAACTGTCATTTCTTCAGTAAAATCCTTCTTGACCTCTCCCCACACCCTTCCTAGGCTAGATCAGTCCTCTCTGCAATAAGCGCTCGTGGATCAGTGTTCCTTTCCTTTAGGACCCTGCCCTCAGCTGGCCAGCACACATTCCTTACGTGTGGACTGACTATTGGATTTATGACAATTCCCTGCACTGGACAGACTGTAAGCTCCATAAGATGCCTTGTTTGCTTTTGCCCATCATTGAATCGCCAATGCCCAGCAAGATGCCTGGCACATAATAGTTGCTCAGTAAGCATGTGTGGAAGGAAGTAAGGGAAAAAACAAAGGAAAAGAAAGAAGGAAAACAATAAGGCCCCAGCCTCACATTTTAGAAAACCACATAGCAACATATTCACACAGCACCAATATTCATTTTACATAATAGCTGAAATTCAGCAGGCAGGTTTCCAAGTTTTATCTTGGTTTTATGGGCTTGGTGAAATCGCCAAAGTTCTCTAATGTGGGGTTTCTTTTATTTATTTTCACATACAGTTGTAGAATGCCTACTAAATGCAAGGTATGTGTTAGAAGAATGCTTCTCAACTGCCAGGCGTGGTGGCTCACGCATGTAATCCCAGCACTTTGGGAGGCTGAGGTGGGCAGATCATGAGGTCAGGAGATCGAGACCATGCTGGCCAACATGGCGAAACCTCCTCTCTACTAAAAATACAAAAATTAGCTGGATATGGTGGTGCATGCCCAGCTACTTGGGAGGCTGAGACATGAGAATCACTTGAACTCAGGAGGCAGAGGTTGCAGTGAGCCAAGATCCCACCACTGCACTCCAGCCTGGGCAAAAGAGCGAGACTCTGTCTCAAAAAAAAAAAAAAAAAAAAAAAGTAGTCATCTCTTTCAGATGATGCCTACTATAGAGGGATATATCAAAATTTCAAGGGGGATCTTATTCAGAATACGAATAAACCCGCAACCAACATGATGAGCACATGTTGGGTGTGTGTGAGAGGCAGGCAGAAAATGACATAGAGATGAATAGACACTTCATGACATCAAATAATTGTCCCTATGATGTCAGAAAGACATGGAGCTACAACTACACAAGGAAATTTGCTGGAATAGAGAAAAAAGTGTGATGCAGAGTACAGAGTATAGAGGAGAAGTAGTTAATTTCAATTTGGAAAGGAAGGAAGAGGCTTGTTGGTAACTGAGATGGGTTCTAAAGGATAGATAAGAAGACTTTATGGGCAGCCAAGAGGGACAGTCACAAGGACCTTTTTCCAAGAAACATGGTGAAGGCTAACTAGTTAATGGGCAGAAAGTCCTCTGAAGCCTTTTACAAGAGGCTCTGTGAATATCAAGTACTGTCTCTGGATAGCAGATAATTCCAATACATTCAACTACATAACAATTGTGCTTGTCTCACCAATGATATTACTCCTGAGAACTGAATATATCTAAGGTTTTTTCTTCATTGCCCAAGAAGGTCTTGATTTACCAGCATAATCAGTTTATGGGAGAAATTATTCTAGCCATCAACAGGGGAGGATTAGCTAGGGAAGGGCTGGCTCACGTTTAGGACTCACTGATGATTATTTCTGTTCTTACTGAGCAGCCAGATGTCTGGCACTCTCTGAGATTTTATCAATTTAATTTGACCCCTGGAGAGACACATAAACAAGGACAAGTCTTTCCAGGATATGATGTGGAAAAACAGAGACAAGAGATGGTACTACACAAAACTGTGTCATCGGCTACACTTGTGTGGGAATGCTTGGTCTCTCTGACTGTGGTAGAGCCTACTACTAGTAATTATTAGCTCTTACAGGGTCCTGAGCATTATTCTAAAGGCTTCAGATGTACAGCATTATTTAATCCTCACCACCACCTATGAGACAGGCAAAGTCAATGCCATTGACATTTTAGAGGACAGAGCTGGGGCACAGAGGAGCTAAGTAACTTGTTCAAGGTAACACAAAGGTAGGATTTGAACTCAGGTGGTCTTGTTTCACAGCCTGTGCTCTTACCCATCATATGAGACTGTCTCTCACCCATAGAATTGAAAAAGGCTTTTCCATTTTCCCTCTTCCTCTTCCTCTTCCCCTTCCTCTTCTTCTTCTTCTTCTCTTCTTCCTCTTCCTCTTCCTCTTCTTCTTCTTCTTCTTCTACTTCTTCTTCTTCTTCTTCTTCTTCTTCTTCTTCTTCTTCTTCCTCTTCTTCCTCTTCTTCCTCCTCCTCCTCCTCTTCTTCTTCTTCTTCTTCTTCTTCTTCTTCTTCTTCTTCTTCTTCTTCTTCTTCTTCTTCCTCTTCTTCTTCTGTTCTTCTTCTTTGACGGAGTCTCACTCTGTCACCCAGGCTGGAGTGCAAATGGCACGATCTCAGCTCACTGCAAGCTTCACCTCGTGGGTTCATGCTATTGTCCTGCCTCAGCCTCCCGAATAGCTAGGACTACAGGCACCCACCACCACGTCCAGCTAATTTTTGTATTTTTAGTAGAGAAGGGGTTTTGCCATATTGGTCAGGCTGGTCCTTCTTCTTCTTCTTTTTTTTTCCCCCTTTTCTTTTATTTATTTATTTTTTGAGACAAAGTCTTGCTCTGTCACCCAGGCTGGAGTGCAGTGGCACAATCTCAGCTCACTGCAACCTCCGCCTCCCAGGCTCAAGTGATCCTCCCGTCTCCCGAGTAGCTGGAAGTACAGATGTGCACCACCATGTCTAGCTAATTTTTTGTTTTTTGTTTTTTGAGATAGGGTTTCATCATGTTACCCAGGCTGGTCTTGAACTCCTGGGCTCAAGTGATTCGCCCACCTTGGCCTCCAAAGAACCGGGATTACAAGCATAGACCATCGTGTCCGGCTGCTGTTTCATTCTCTACCTGTGTGATTTGGGGCCTGTTACTTAACTTTTCAGTGGCATTTGCATTGTAATAGATTACAAAGCTTTACAGTGGGAAAAATTGGAGGTCTCAGCCTGCTACCCTCCCCATATCCTCAACCCCTAGCCCCAGCTGAGGCATTAGTTTCATTTCCTATATGCTCAGCTCCAAAAATCTTGACCAACTCTGAGTAAGAATGTGCTGGAGCAGGCTCAGCTATACCAGTCCATGGAGGCCAAGTCCTAGAATGCTCAGCCTTAGTGTAATACTGGCCTCAGTGAGTCCCTGCGGGCCCTGAGCTCCCTTGTGCCTGCACCCACTTGTCCCTGGTGTGGCTCCTCTGTCCTGTAAATGCAGCTCCAGGCCTCACCTTCCTTACCCAGATTCCCCCCACAATTCACTCTGTTGATATGACTAAGCCTCTGCTTTGACACCTCCTCCTAGCTCTAGTTTAGGAAGCCTATCTAATGCCCAGTTCTGGTATATGGGTTGGGCCCTGCCTTGCAATTTCCAGTTCCTTTCCCCATTTTAAACGAGCATGGCCGCTTAAGACAGCTCTCCCTCAGAGCTGGGCCTCTGCTCCCGGCAGCCTCTCAGTTCACTACTTACCTGACCACTTGCAACACCTGTGTTCCCCAGAGCGCTCTATCAACAAGCTGATGATCTGACTCCCCCTCCCTCCCTCCCCTCCCTCTCCCCGCCTTCCTCCCTGCTTCCTCCCTCCCTCCCTTCCCCTCTCCCTCCCTTCCCCCCTTCCTCCCTTCCTTCCTTCCTTTCTTTTTTCCTTCCTTTTTTCTTTCTTTCTTTCAGATATGATTCACATAAATAAAATTCATCACTTTAACCATTGTAAAGTATATAGTTCAATGGCTTTTAGCATATTTTTGAGGCTGTGCAACCAATACCATTATCTAATTCCAGAATGTTTCCATCACCCCAAAAAGAAACCCCATATCCAGGAGTAGTCACTCTCCATTTCTCCTCCCTCAGCCCCTGACAATCATCATTCTACTTTCTGTCACTATAGATTTGTGCCTATTCTAGACACTTCATACAAATGGAATCATACAATATTTGTCCGGGTTTTCTGGCTTCTTTCACTGAGCATAATGTTTTTAAGGTAGTGCATGTTGTAGCTTGAATCAGTACTTTGTTTCTTTTTATGGCTGAATAATATTCCATTGTGTGGATAGACCACACTTTGTTTATCCATTCATCACTTGATGGACATTTGGGTTGTTTCTAGTTTGGGGCTGTTATGAACAATGTTGCTATGCACATTTGTGTACAAGTGTTTCAGCCGTCTTGGCTATTATAATTAGGAATGGAATCGCCGGGTCATATGGTATGTTTAACTTTTTCAGGAATTCCCAAACCGCTTACCAAGGAATCTGAGTCATTTTACATTTCCCAGCTGTGCATAGGGGTTTCAGTTTCTTCACATTTACCGCAACCCTCCTTATGGTCCTACTCTGGTATTTCTTCAGTCTCCTGCCACTGGGTATTTTCATGCAGTTTCTGATTCTTTGAACAAAGTAAACGCATTTGATTTTGATGGTAGAGTCCTGAGATTTGGTCAGCTTCGCCATGCGGGATATTAAGGCAGCTATATTTTAGGGGGCATATTAAAAAAGAATTCTAATCTTCAGTTTTCTCATTTGCTAAATGGGAATAATAATAAGGATTTTGGGCTGATTAAATGAGATAGTGCATGTAAAACCCTCAGCATGATGCTTATAAACCCTTACCTCAAAAAATGCTAGCTCTCATTATCACTGTCTTTCTTTGTCCACATGTCTGGACCTCTGGCCTGTCAGTCATTCCATCAGCCATTTGGTTAGTTAGCAGGTATGGACAGAGAGCCCCCGCCACATGCCTGCCACTGTTTTAGGAACTAGTAATACAGCACTAGACAAGAAAGAGCTATACCTTTAGGATCTAACATTCTACTGGGGCAAGAGGCACAACAAACATGCAAGTGAAGAAATGAAAATAATTTTAGAAACTGGAAGTACCTGAGAAAATAAAATAGGGTAATGTAGTTGTGGATAGGGTGAGGGGCTGCCCAGATGGTGTGGCCAGGGGAAGCCTCTTGGAGGAGGAACATCGGAGTTAAGACCTGGAGGCACTCACACAAGGTCTGGGGAAGAAAACTCCACACAGAGCAAACCCCAGGCACATAATTCCCGGGACAGGAAAGCCTTGGAGGGGCTGAGGGGCTGAAAGGAGGGAGGGGAGGAGGGAGGGGAATGGCAGGAACTCCAAACAAGCCAGGGATCATGGAGAAGAGACAGCAGAAGCCAAAGGGGCTGCTGCAGCGCAGTGCTGGGGACAGCAGCAAGAAACAAGAGTGTCCGTGGGGCCCCGGAGAAGGACGTCCGTGAAACTGGGCTAAACCCCAAGTGTGA
The DNA here is from genome assembly GCF_000001405.40 of Homo sapiens. Taxonomy (NCBI): domain Eukaryota; kingdom Metazoa; phylum Chordata; class Mammalia; order Primates; family Hominidae; genus Homo; species Homo sapiens. The sequence goes on along the minus strand of NC_000011.10, from coordinate 123,315,169 downwards.
AATTTGGCAGGGGTTCTGGGTACTGAATGTTCTCCATTGTTGGCCACAGTCAAAAGAAGCCTCGCCGGAAATCTACAGCATGGCACAGCTCGTCCCTGAACGACACTGTCACTCGCTCTTGGGAAGTCCTGTCCTCATTCAGATTGCTTTATTTCTGAGACCAATCACCTGATCACACATCTGCTGCTAGCATTCGAGCCCTAACACAAGAGTGTGCGTGAATATAGGTGATTGTGTTTCAAAAAGGAGGGAGAAGGAGGCCTGAATGCCTCTCAGAGTGCATTGTGTCTGGGGCTAGTAGGGTTGCCCCTTGTTCTGTGATGTCACAATGCCCAAACACACGCACCAAGAAGTCATCAAAGACAGCCCAACTCACAGCCCATGAGGGACCCTGAGTACTGCCTCTGACCTCTCTATGGCAAGCCAAATGGCCATGGGAAGACCCCATGGAGTGTCAGAATGATGCCGTTGAGGGCAAGGATTTTAGACCGGTCATGGATTCTGCCTGTGCACTGGGCTCTACCACTTTCTAGCTATCTGGCTACTAGCAAGTTACCTTAACAATCTAAGTTTCAACCTCCCCATTCGTGAAATGGAGATGATGTCTTAGTCATAGAAGTAGCAAGTCTACTGCATATCAACAGTGTAGCACTGAGCCTGGCTCTTTGTAAGTGTTCAGTAAGTGTTACTCATTATAATGTATTATTATTATTACTACTACTACTACTTTTTTCTTTTTTTTTTGAGATGAACTCTCGCTCTGTTACCCAGGCTGGAGCGCAGTGGGATGATCTCTGCTCACTGCAGCCTCTGCCTTCTGGGTTCAAGTGATTCTCCTGCCTCAGCCGCGTGAGTAGCTGGGGTTATAGGCATGAGCTACCACGCCCAGCTTATTTTTGTATTGTTAGTAGAGGCCGCATTTCACCATGTTGGCTGGGCTGGTCTTAAACTCCTAACATCAAATGATCCACCCACCTTGGCCTCCCAAAGTGCTAGGATCACAGGCGTGAACCACCGTGCCCAACCTACTACTACCATTTTAAAAGCCTCTACCTATAAAGGATCACAATGCTTTGAAAAGGAAGTGCAGAGGTTGAAGGGTGTCTCAAGGAGGGCAGTGATCAAAACCATACTAAGTATTTGAAAATCAGAAGAAAAGGTTGGGTGAGGGTAGATCCTGGATGAAATAATATTATTAAATAGCTTTTCAAGTATAGACATTGAAGAGCTACAAGCTGGAAAGGGGGCCAAAACTAACTCGTTTTTTGGTATACCTTACCATATGCCAAATACCAGACTGCAGAGTTTACATTTGTTATTGCATTCAATCCCCATTGCAACCCTCTGAGGTTGTTATTATCATTCCCACTTCACAGATAAGGAAACAGGCCGAGAGACGCAAGTCAAACAGCAAAGGATGGTCTGCTGTCTGTCTGACTCCAATGCCAATGGTCTTTCCTCTATAACCTAAAGCAATAAAACCCCTGCAACATCTATCTTATTATTACATAAATTATAAGGTTCAATATACCCCCCCACCACAACCACTAATATTGCAGCTGCACAACGGCAGTCCTCACCGAGGAATTAATCCATCCCAGGGAGACAGACATGTGAGCGGCTAAGTATAATGTTTGAATGATAAAGGCTCTTTGTGTAGCAAGAACAAAACTCTGGCAGAGAACAGAGGAAGAGTGATTCTTTCTGCTGGAATCAGGGAAGGAGTAAAAAAAGCCCGGGGCCTTCTACAGAGGAGGAGAGCCAGGTGCGGCTCTGTAGGGTTAGCTGGTGGAAAGGTCTGGGAAGAGCATTCATGTTGGATGTTGGCTGGGGCAAAGGAAGCCAAGGTATGGAGGTAAGGAGGCAAGTAACCTGATCACATGAATATTTCAGGGTATTACATCTGACGACAGTGTAGAGGATGCAGCAGGGAGAGAATGAAGGCAAAAAGTGAGGTTCTTCCAACTCATGTTACAGTAAGACTGCCTTTGGAATCTGCAGGGCCGTTTTAGTAGGCAGTAAAGGAGGTATTTCAAGGAATCCACTAGGTCTGGTCCTTCAAAGAGCTCACAGTACATGCCCATCTTTCCTGACCTTCCTCCAAGGTCCCTGATGAGGAAACCTGCCGGGGGAAGAGCAAGACCCATCAACCTTCATTCCCACTGCACTGAAAGGCCAGGATGGCTTTGTTAGTACAAGTGCTTTAGAAACAGACTTGTTGGCTGAGACACCAGCATTTCCAGGGCATACAGAAGGGGTTGCATCTAATACTTGAGAAGGCCTCAAAAGAGAGCAACAGTCCAGGACCTCCCTCAGGATAGGCTGGGAGAACAAGATGGTCTGGCGCAGGAGAGGAGGCTTAGATCTCTGCCCATTTTCATTCATTTGCAAGTGCACATTGAATGCTTGCTGTGTACCATGCCTTATGTTGGGTGCTGGGCATGCCAAGGTGAAGGAGGTAACGTTGCTACTCTCAAGGTCACAGTCTAGTGTAGAAGATGGAAAAGTAAACAGAAAACATTTACAGAATGGGAAAGGCATAACAATAGAGATTCTCAAGGATCACATAGGAGCAACAACACTCAGGAGATAGAAGAAATATCAGGGACCTTTTTGTAAAGATCCTATGTACTGAGCATGTATTAAGATGCCATATTCTGGGCTGGACATCAATTGTGTTTTGAAGAGTGAGTAGCTAGAAAATGAAGAGGTAAATGTTTCAGGCAGAGGAAATAGTATCTGCAGCAAAGGAAAAGAACGTGACATACTGTGGAATCCACAAGTGGCTTATATATTTTTTTTCTTTCTTTTTTTTTTTTTTTTTTTTGAGGCAGGATCTTGCTCTGTCACCCAGGCTGGAGTGCAGTGGCATGATCACTGCTCACTGCAGCCGCGAACTACTGGGCTCAAGCAATCCTGCCGCCTCAGCTTCATGAGTAGCTGGGACCACAGGTGCGTGCCACCATGCCTGGCTAATTTTTTAATTTTTTGTAGAGACAGAGGTCTCTCTATGTTGCCCAAGCTAGTCTCAAACTCCTAGGCTCAAGTGATCCTCCTGCCTAGCCTCCCAAAGTGCTGGGATTACAGGTGTGAGCCACTGTGCCCAGTCAAGTTTAATAAAGCTTAGGATAGAATGAAGGAACAAAGGAGGTAAAGTTTAGAATACAATAGGGAGTGTGGGGGCTGGAGAGGTGGACAGGGGTCCAATCACAATGTATCTTATATGTGATGCTGAAGAGCCTGGAGAGCCATTAAAATATTTTAATAAGAGAGTGACATGATGACATTTTTATTTTTTTTTTGAAACAGAGTCTCACTCTGTTGCCCAGGCTGGAGTGCATTGGTGCCATCTCAGCTCACTGCAGCCTCCACCTCTCAGATTCAAGCAATTTTCCTGCCTCAGCCTCCCAAGTAGCTAGGATTACAGGCATGTGTCACCACAGCCAGCTAATTTTTGTATTTTCAGTAGAGATGGATTTCACCAAGTTGGCCAGGTTCTCGAACTCCTGACCTCAGGTGATCCCCCCACCTCAGCCTCCCAAAGTGCTGGGATTACAGGCATGAGCCACCGCACACAGCCTGACATTTGTATTTTTAAGATCACTCCGGATACAGTGATATGATCAGATCATATGATATGATATCGAGATATGATGAGAGTATAGTTCAGAAAACAGTCTTGAATTTCAGTTCCAAAACTGTAGTAGTCAGATCAACTAAGTGGAATTAATATAGATGAAAACTATTGAGACCCTGAACTAAGAGAGGGGCAGTAGGGATAGAGAGGAGGGAACCTGCTGGAGAGGTATTTGGGAAGGAGAATGAGAATTGGTAGGGCACGGTGACTGTTTGGGGTCAAGAGGAAACAGCAAGAGTCGAGAGGGAACGTCAGAATTTGGGCCTGAGCCAGGTATAAAGGAAGGCAGGAGATGGCTGGATTGGTCTAGGGATTGGGGTTTTGCTGAAGAAGAGCAAAAGATGAGGGTGAATGAGAAACAAAGATAATCAAACAATAATGATGGCCGGCGTGGTGGCTCACACCTGTAATCTCAGCACTTTGAGAAGCTGAGGTGGCAGGATCGCTTGAGCCCAGGAGTTCGAGACCAGCCTGGGCAGCATAGTGAGACCTCATCTCTGCAAATAATATTTAAAAAAAATTTTTTTAATATAATGATGAAGTAATATATTTTGTTTTCTAGACTGATTGGAGAAGGAAATTGAGAAAGAAGTAGATTGAGAGATGACTACAAATGGAGAGGCAACATGGCCAGAGATCTTATTAAAATTAGGGAATAGGCACAGTAAAAGCAAAGAGGTTGGAGACATGGAAGGATAAGACACTGTGGTCAGAGCGTGCATATTGAGTTAAAGGTTCTGGAGATGAAACCATTTCAGATGAGGACAAAATCAGGGTGTGGCCATAGGTGTGAGTAGCTGAAGTAGAATGGCTGTGAGTGTCACTCTGAAGCTTGACTGTTGGACACGTCATCCTCATAGACACAGAAGTCAGGATGACGGTAGGTCTTGGGGTGAAGGGGAGGACCTGGAGCCAGGCCCTAAACTCTTCCATGAGCCAGGAAAATGACACTTATAAGAAAGAATATGGCAGGAGAATGTGGGTTTCAAAGGAGCAATGTTTATATTAGGACTGGAACAGTGTACGGCTTGGAAGCAGAACTGGGAAACTTTAAAGTTGTTTGTCGGGGCTACTTCTTTGGCTGGCACTGGGGATGGGAGAATGAGCATCCCTCAGAAGAGACAAAGCAGGTGAAGCCGTGCCCTCATGTAAGAGTGAGTTTCCATTCAAATCAGGAAGAGAGTGCGGGATTCCAGGATGCCCTTGTGTAAGAGTGAGTTTCCATTCAAATCAGGAAGAGGGTGCGGGATTCCAGGATGCCCTTGTGTAAGAGTGAGTTTCCATTCAAATCAGGAAGAGGGTGCGGGATTCCAGGATGCCCTTGTGTAAGAGTGAGTTTCCATTCAAATCAGGAAGAGGGTGCGGGATTCCAGGAAGAACTGGAGGATGCAAGGGCATTTATTTACTCTGGTGTAGTGTTTCAGAGGTCCTGCAGGAGACAAAGAATGAGTTAGGGAAGAGGCAGCCCAGGGAGAATGAAGACAAGAGTACTGCTTGGTGGTGCTTGCGACCCTTGCCACTGCCACCTTCACAATCATCCTCATCTCCCCTCCCTTGCTCCACATCCAATTGGCAACCAAGCCCTGTTGACTTTGAAATCAAAGTAAGTAGCTTTCTAGGCTCTTCCTGTCCTTTCCCCACTGCCCGTGCCTGAAAGCTCCCATGGTCTCCTATGTGAAGCACTGCAAAGACATCTTGTTTGGCCTCTGTCTCCTGCCTCAGTTATCCTTCCCCAGGCTGCCTCCACCCTACTCCCACCTTCCTCCATGCAGCTGATAGAAGGTTCTTTTTCATCCACAAACCTGATCCCATCATTCCACCACTCAGCATTCCTTGATGGCCCCTCAGTCTTCATCATGATGCAATCTGTTCTATTGGCATGGCATCCACAGTCCATCAAAATTAGGGACAGATAGTTGGGGAAAGATAATCTGATGTTAGACAGATAATGGCTGCTCTGTCTAATGGCATCTTCTCCTACTCCCCCTTCAGAATGTTATGCCCTGGTAGTACTCAGTTATTCCCAGCTCTCAGAACATGTTACTAAGTCCTCTCATGCATCCAGATTTTGCACATTCCAGTCCACCTGCCTACATGTTATTCCCACTTACCACACCTTGCCCCTGACAGAATCCACTCAAATGCTTCTTCCTCTGTGGGCTCGGCCTTCACTCCTCTGGACAGCTTAGGTGATCTTTTTCTTGAGCTCTGCCCACACATTGCACGACATGCCATGAGAACAAGTATATACTGCACTAAATATATGACTATTTCTCTACCACTTGACAGTAAGCTCTTTTGATTTTATTTATTTATTTTTGAGAGAGAGTTTTGCTCTTGTCGCCCCAGCTGGAGTGCAATGGCGGGATCTCGGCTCACTGCAACCTCCACCTCCTGGGTTCAAGCGATTCTCGAACCTGCCTCGGCCTCCCCAGTAGTTGGGATTACAGGTGCCAGCCACCATGCCCAGCTAATTTTTGTATTTTTAGTAGAGATAGGGTTTCACCCTGTTGACCAGGCTAGTCTCGAACTCCTGACCTTAGGTGATCCTCCTGCCTCGGCCTCCCAAAGTGCTGGGATTACATGTGTGAGCCACTGCACCCAGCCAACAATAAGCTCTTTTTAGAAGAAAACACTGTTTTTCATGCTTATCTTGACCACCTATCACATTATCTAGCACATAGTAGGTGCAAACTATTTACAGAATTTATGATTGACTTAGTAGATGTGTATTTAGGGAAAGGATATTCAGTCATCTAAGGCATGATGTACAGAATTAAGCTCCAGGTTTCAAAGGAAGCTCTTGTATGAGACATTTGGAAGCTCATAGACTATGTCTGTTGCATCTCCAGACCTCTCATTTTCAGGGCCAGCACAATATTTTTTTGTATGGTGAGGGCTTAATAAATATGGAAGAAAGACAAAGTCCCTGCCCTCAGAAAGGAGCCAGTAGACCAAGGAATATTTCTACAACCATGCCATTCCCACTCCCTTGCTTCCTCAGTTATCCCTAAGAAGTCCTAGGACTCCAATCACTTGTTCTTTCATCCATTTATTTAGCAAAGCTGTCGTAGGTCAAGCGCTATGTTCTGCTTTTTAATTGGAAACTTCTGGAAGGGCAAGACTGTGGTTAGTTTGAGTTGTGTGTATTACGCAAGCAGAGCATTCCATAGGAATAGACTCTTTTCCTCAAAGCATGTGACACCCAAGACCTTGGGGTCCCTGTGAGTTTTTCCTACCCCTGCCTGGCAGATTATTCCAGCTCGCCAGGCTTCCTCCACTCTCTGGAGTCCCGTTGTACTTGAGTCAGAACCAGACAGTTGGCATTAATTGCTCTCTAATTGTTTCAAGTGTGCTATTTTTATCTCCCCAGTACTCTGCACTCTCCTTGCAAAGGGGCCTGGTCTTTTGGTTTCACATTGCCATCGTGTTCCAGTGCTCAGTAAAAGCTTGCCGATTGATTTTTCTATGCACTGTAATTATTTCCAAGGCTGCCATGAGATAGAGGTTTCTGTTTGTTTGGTTGTTTTTTTTTGTTTGTTTGTTTTTTGTTTGTTTTTTTTTTGAGATAGGGTCTCACTCTGTCACACAGGCTGGAGTGAAGCAGCCTGATCATAGCTCACTGCAGTGACTTCCCGGGCTTCAAGGGATTCTCCTACCTCAGCCTCCCAAGGAGCTGGGGAGTCAAGGAGTGATTCTAGCTAATTTTAAAAATTTTTTATTGTAGAGACTGGGTCTTGCATGTTGCTCAGGCCAGTCTCAAACTCCTGGGCTCCAGGGATCCTCCCCTTGGCCTCCCAGAGTGCTGGGATTACAGGCATTCATCTCCTGGCCTGATGGAACTCTGTTGCTACTTCTACGCCTGCAATCCCCCTCCCCACTTTCAGAACTCACTGTTTTTTCTGTTGGTATCCAGCATGCTCTCATCTCAAAACTTCTCTGTTCTCTTTTCTCCAAAAGCAAATCTTATTTCTTGTACTGTCAATGCTCCTGAGCTTCTCTCTCTCGCTTTTTTTTTTTTTTTTTTTTTTTTTTTTTGCTAGTCCTCCTGCATAAGGGCTCTCTTGGCAAGAAATGTTATTCTTATCAACCGCTTCATGATCTATTTTTACATCTCCACGCAACTTATTAAATGCTTGTAGGACCTGCTGGGGTAAAGGAAGCCTTCACTTTGATTGAATTTCCCTGTTTTCAGCTTAATATTGAGGGAAAGACTGAGCTGAGGCAAGATCAACCAGGAAGAGAGAGACTTCTTTATGGAACGGTGAGCATAGAGTGCTCAGAAGTGAATGGTGAAGAAAGGGCCTGGGGAGGAATGCACCGGCCTGGCTCCCAGCTCCTTTCGACTTGGTCTCAGAGAAAAAGGCCATAAGATGGTAGAGACAGCTTAGAGGTTTGCTTAAGAAGTGCTTCTTAGAGTTCAGAGAGCTACCAAAGATTTTCTAAGAATTGCCATTATGCTTCTCCAGATGGTCTGAAATGACCCTGTTTACCCTGAAAGTTGACTGGATCAAAAGATCTGATAGATCTGGTGGGGCTGCTGAGATGGTTTTGTCCAACCTCCCCCAGGGTGTGATCTCTCAGGCTCTAAGTGAGCCATTCTGGTGACTGGGAGCCCACACATTCACAAGGCCCTATTATTATTAGGGAAAGCGTGGTGGTGGTGATAATTAATCTCCAAATCAATTCAGCCACATTTATTGGTTGCCTAGAATGGTGGGTAGCAGAGCATCGAGGTTGAGAGGCTTAGCTTTAAATTGGGTTTGAATCACAGCGGCAGCATTTCCGGACAGACTCCAGGCAGGTTACTCAAACTAAGTCTCAGTTTTTGCATAGATAAACGGATATAACTGTTCCCACTTCATGATGTTATGATGAGGATTATGTGAGACATAGGCAGCACTTAGCATAATGCCTGGTTCATGATAAGTGCTCAGCAACTGGTAACTCATAATAATATGATTATCCTGGGCGCATCCTCCTTCTTTACCAGGACCCCGTCCCAACGCTCAGCCCGCTCCTTTGAGGACCCCGGACAAAGTAATCTAGCAAACCCCCTTTCAAAGAGTGCCACCCTTTAGTTTTCCATTTCCCTCTCATCCCTTTCCATCCTTCTCCTCCATCCCTCATCAAAAAATACTCTCTTCAATCGCTTGAACCTGGGAGGCAGAGGTTGCTGTGAGCCGGGATCGTGCCAATGCACTCCAGCCTGGGTGAGAGAGTAAGACTCCGTCTCAAAAATAAATAAATAAATAAAAATAAAATACTCTCTTTCTTGAAGCTTCCCTTCCTAGACCAGGACTTCTACTTAATCTGGTGGAATATTCTTTGCCAGGCTGCCAGCCTGCCAGCTGAAGTGCTGCCATTCTCCTCTCTCCACCCAGATAATGTAATTATTTTAATGGGGGCTTTTTAGAAAAACATGTGATACTCTCAAACCCCACTGGGGATCTTGTGAATTTTTCCAGGGATTTAAAAAGGAGGGCACAGTGTGACCCCAGCCCTTGCAATCCTGTCTTGGTGCAGTAGAACTGACCTGGCCTTTTTTGTGGAGATAGGCCAACCCTGTCCAACAAAATACCCGCACCATAAGATATTTCCCCCTCTCTTGCCAATCCATATTGTGATCTGGGTCATTTGTCAGATCAGTTTGGTGACAGACAATGTAGTGCAGGTGTAAGAAGCAAATGATCTGAAGATAGAAATCCTGAGATTCAAATGATGCCTCCGTATTTTCTATTACATACCTTAGACGAGTTATTCAACCTTGCTAAGAGAGCTTTTGCTTCCTCATCTGCAATTCCGAGTGACATAAATGGTTTCTTATAGGGTTGCTGTGACGATTCAAAGAGATCATATAAGAAAAACACCCAGCACGGTGCCTGACACATAGTAATTGTTCCATAGACGGTGTGTTCATTGTACTAAAAGAGTGGTAGTCAGTGATGTTGCTCCCTTACTGGGACACACTTTGCTTTTTTGTCCCTGCCTTGTGAGTACCTGGTACTCTTTTTCGTACCCATCACTCAAAGCTCAGTTCATGCCAACTTAGTCTTGAACCTGAATTAATCTGCACACAGCCTCATCAAAGCACTTCAGGTTACTGTATCTTTATCAGCAAAGCTGGGCCCAGAAGCCCTTAAGAACCTGGCAAAGTTCCTTCTGGCTGGCTTGGCACAGCAGGAAAACAGCAGTGTCAACTGCCTATTTCCTGCAAAGGCGGCAGACTCTGCCTTTCACAGTGCACAGCAGACAGACACCACACACTCAGACAAGTTCCCAATTAACCACACACAATCAATGTCTCTCAAAAGTGCATACGTTATGCTCTGCCCAACTAATTAACTGCACTAAACATGCCAGGGTTAAAGGTAGGGCATGGGTTATCAAAAAGCGTTTGAGAACCAGACCAGGTTCAGGGCTGAAAAGACCCGAAAGTTCTGCTCTAGTTCACCACCAAGCTGAATGGGATCTTAATGCCGCTTTCTACAAGCAGGGGCGCTGCTGGAGACTCTCTACCTCTTGAGCTTGTTAGAACTTGGGCAATCGTAATGACCTATAGGAAAGTGCTCTGAGAGGTATAACAACTACACAAATGCACACTATGATTTCTCCTGGCCTTTGCTGTGGCTGTTGTTTTTCCTTCCTGTGGCAGGAAAAGTGGTCAATCTTAAGCAAACGTGATGTATGCATGGGCCTTCTAAGGTGTGACCTTTACACAAATAATCTCATGAGATCCTAATGACCTCCTGTACCCATGAGGAAAATAAACCTCCTGAGATGGGCCCCCAAGGGGGTCACACAGATGATGGCTGAGCCACAATTTGAATCCATGTTAATCTCACTTTAAAAATCTCAAGATTCATTCTCCTCCGTATCTCATGCAAAATATCATTCTTCTTGCATAGCCCCTTTCAGAGAGTGGCACCCTTTAGTTTCCCATTTCCCTCTCATCCCTCTCCATCCTTCTCCTCCATCCCTCATCTTGCCCTCATTAAAAAATACTCTCTTCAATGGCTTGAACCCAGGAGGCAGAGGTTGAAGTGAGCCGGGATCGTGCCAGTGCACTCCAGCCTGGGTGACAGAGTAAGGCTCCATCTCAAAAAAAAAAAAAACAAAAAACAACAACAACAAAAAACTCTCTTCCCTGAAGCTTCCCTTCCTAGACCAGTGACTTCTATTCAATCTGATGGAATATTCCTTGCCAGTCTGCCAGCTGAATGCTGCGATTCTCCTCTCCCTGCCAGGTAATATATTTATTTTAATGGGAGCTTTTTGGAAAAACATGTGATACTCTCGAACCCCACTGGGGATTATCCACTTGCTTCATCTCCACTGGGAGTTGCCCAGAGCAACCATGCTGATGTACATGAGGGTGCTCGCAAGAGTGACACCAGGAGGTTCCACTAGGTGACGTTTCTTCAAGGAGGTTACCGCAGAACAGGGTTAGAAGGTAGAGGGTACAGTAAGGAGTGGTTGGGAGATCCTGTGGGCAAAAACAGGATCAAATAAATTATCACGTGCAGTAGCTAGAGAACTAGCTTTACTTGGATACAACAGAGGAACCAGGGAAAACACAAGTCCCTTCTCTTGGAAAGCCTACACTCTCTCCCTTCCCGGTTCTCTATGCAAAGGCTTCCTGGTCAGAGAGGCAGCTGTTGGGGCTACGAGTCACAGGTGGCTACTAAGAGGTGATGTTTGATCTACCTCTAGGTTCCAGGCAGGGAAGGGGTGGTGGACAGGGCATGATCTGAGAGTTTTGTCATGGAATCACTTGCAAGAGGAGCTTGATGCCACATTATCACCCTCAGGAGTTATCTTCTAAGACAGCAGCAGAGATAATGACTAGGAGGTGCTGTGTCGCAGCACATGAAGTATGCCTGGCACCGAAGCTGCACCTCGCTTTGCATACACACACACACACACACACACACACACACACACACCCCTACAGAAATTGGGAGCAGGTGGACAGTGGTTCATTATTGCTAGACACCACAGAGAGAGACAAAAGTCCAGAAAAAATGATGCTACGCTTTATAAATTTAGCAAGACACCGGTGCCTCTGCTTCCTGTCTGCCTGCTGCAGCATTGCCCAAGCCCTCCTGGCCTCCTTTCTCACTCACACCTGCAGTCTGCAGTGAGGCCCTTCAAGAGATGCCTGCTCTGTGAGGTTATTTAAGTCAGGAAGCATTAATCTGAAGAAATGCTTTGAAGCAAAGACCTGGATGTTCAAGTCCTCCCACTTGCTGGAGCTGCTGTTACCTTTAAGATTTAATTAAAAGTGGTTCAAAAATCTCTATCCCCTCTGCAGCGGAAAAGGCGTCCTCCTGACAATATCACCGCAGTCTCTCAGTCCCTAGATCCTACCTGTGCTGAATTCTTTCTCTCTCTCCTGTTCCCTCCAGAATTTGCTCTCACCTTTCGTGAACGAATCACCCCCACTGGACACCCCCACATCTTGTCATCTCGTCACTCCCTAATTGCTGCCACCTCCAGGCTCTGTGTTAAGCAGACATTTCTGAAGGGACGGGCAACAGACAGAAGTAACATCATTCTGCTGCTCAGTAAACGACTTCAGACTGAATATTACGCATTCCAGTTTTTAAATTCCCCTTGAGTCATTTCTGCCACCAGAGGGGTTTTACTGACTTCCTTTCTGATTGGCTTAGTCACTAACTCCTCGCAATGCCTCTGGCCCTTTCCCCCCAACCTCTCTTCCATTCCTTGCTAGTCAGATTGCCCCATCCCCTAAAATTCCTATATCTTTTTAGGCAGAGAGATTTAACTACCTCTTATCCGTTGCCAGCCATGCCCTAAGGCTTAAGGGACATCTTTTCACAATTCAGCAAGGCGTTTTGCTAAACCTGTGCGGTTTAATACTTTAAATTTAATGAAAATTAAATACAATTTAAAATTCAATTCTCTGATCACCCTTGCCATATTTCACGTGCTCAATGGTCACCTATGGCTAGGGACCACTGTGCTGGATAGTGTAGACAGCAGAGTTCTACTGGACAGCTAAACCCAAATTCATTTCTTCCCTAAGGGACTGTCACTGGCTATTCACTGACACTTTTTCCTGCCTAATTCCTTAATGTGGATTGAGCCCTTACGCTGTGTAAGGCACTTTTCCCGCGTTGTCGCCCGGCAGCCGCCTAACAGTTCTCTAAAGCGGGCAGCGCTCTCCGCCTGGCTCAGGGGAGGAGCCCGAAGTCCGCAGCCGGAGCCGCGGTGGTGTCCCCTCCACCAAGCCAGAAGCCCGGGCCGTGACAGTGTATCACACAAGGCAAGTAGCAAGGAGGGAATGGCTTCGTCAACCACGTGTCATGTGATCGTTCCATTAAACTTGAGGAGGGGTTTTCTTAGTCGCAACGGTTCAGTCCCCAAAGTAAGGTCACTGTAAAGGAAGCTCAAAGACTTTTTTTCCAGAGGATGGAATGCACGCTTTGCTGGGATGGATGCCGCCGCTTCCGGCGGCTGGTAAGGCCCAAAGGCGTGTGGAGGGAGAGGGCTCCTTTGAGGGCAACCAGCAGTAAAAGGAGGCAGGCGGCGAAAGTGCTCCGAATTCCTCCCACGCCGCTCCTGCTCTCCGCTCTGCAGCGCAGCCAGCCAGGCCGCCGCCGCCCCTGCTGCCTGGGAGAGCCGGCGCTTGGGCAGGTGGGGACGCCCCTGACCCGCTTCCCTCGGCGCCCGGGGGGCGGCCGGGTTGGGCGACCGCGCCACCTGCTGGCCTCTTCCCGTGCTGCCGCCTGCCCCTGGGCGCCTCCGTCCCTGCCCGCTGCGCCACAGCACACCGGGAAGTCGTTAGATGCAGGTTCTTGGGCCTCACCCCAGGCTTCCTGAACCAAAAACTCTCTAGGTGGGTCTTGGCAGTCGAGTCTGAACAAGACCCTCGGGTGATCCTGATGCACGCTAAAGCTTGGACATCAATGATGTGGAAATCACCCAACTCCACCATTTATTCATTAAGTCAAGTTTTTCTTTTGTTTTGTTTTGTTCAGAAAGAATCAGATAGGAGCAATCAGGGTGTTGCAAGTCCTGATTACACAGAGACATTAGTCACATTTCATGCATCTCCAGTCATCATGTTCTATCTGCCCTCCAAACGGAGGAACAGGGAAGGGTTATCCCACCTGACAGTTCATTAAGTCAAGTATTAATGAGCATCTTCCAAACAATATGGAAATAAAGGAAGCAAAACAGACATGATCCCTCCCCCCTCCCTCCCCAACACACACATAGTTAGAATGTAGAATGGCTTACGTTATCGTCACATTTCTGTGCAATAGGAAAGGGAAGCATTACAATTACCCTTATTTTACAGACAGGAAGCTAGCCTGGAATCACACATGTGGTAAACAACTAGGTCAAGTTCAAAGCTTAGGGATTTTTGTTTGTTTGTTTTTAAGACTGACAGGAGCACCAATCTCAGGTCATCTGCATGTCAAATCAATCAATCAATGTCAAACCAGGTTAATCTTCATGTCAAAGGCTGAACTTATTTACCAAACTACACACCACCAACTTTTCTAGATTGACTTGTGGTTTTAGAGTGAAGAAGAAGGGAGAGGAGAAATCTCTCCAAATCAAGACAACTCCCTCTCCCTCATATCAGACTGAAACTTCTTATACTGCCTTAAAATTGCTGGCATCATTCCTGAAAGCTAGCATTTAGGCTTCCTTTCCAATTATTATCCTACTGTAACAGTTGCCTAGCTGTTCCCTCTCCATCCTTTTCAATGACGATATAGGACATTATGGTGCAGGCTGTGATGGGGCAGGCAGGGAAGTGTTAAACATACGGTGTGGGTGCTGCTCGAGCGGCACAGATTTAGGGACTCTCAGGAAGGTAGGAATTTAACTCGAACTGCCTACTTGGGTATTAAGAGGGGAAGACAATGGATCCAAATAGAAGCAGGAAAATGCTGAAGAGGAGAGATAGGAACAGAAGACAGACTTGGTCTCCTCTTTCATAATTTAGCAGCTTTGAGCACCAGATAGGCTGTTTATTAACAGCACCCAGTGGGAGCACCTGTATGTGCAGGGCATTGGGTCAGGTCCCTGCCTTCAAGGGACATGCTACTTTGCAGGTATGTAGAGATGAATGGCTTAAACATACGTGGTATTTCTGTGTTTAAAATTCCCTTGGCCATAAATATATATATATATTTTTAGACAGAGTCTTACTCCGTCACCCAGGCTGGAATTCAGTGGTGCAGTCTTGGCTGACTGCAACCTCTGCTTCCCAAGATCAAGCAGTTCTTGTGCCTCAGTCTCCCAAGTAGCTGGGATTAGAGGCACATACAACCACACACAGTGAATTTTTGTATTTTTAGTGGACAGGGTTTCACCACGTTGGCCAGGCTGGTCTCGAACTCCTGGCCTCAAGTGATCCGCCTGCCTCAGCCTCCCAAAGTACTGGTGTCACAGGATCCTTAGGGTGTCGCTTTTCCAACCGGAAACCTCTGTGGCCGGGGGCATCTTAGCCCGAGTTTTGCTTGGGCCCACTGGGCTCGTTTCAGCCACTCAGCCCTGCAAGCTGTGCTTGGATCACATTACCAGCTTGGATCCCATGCCTGCCAAGGGCAAGTCAGGTGCAGAACAGCAAGGGGTGTGTGAGCAAGCACAGGGTCTGGCCACTGCGCACAGCCAGGCATGCCAGCTGCAGCAGGGTGAACAGCTCCAGGAGCCAGCACAGGCACCAGCTCCACACAAGGCTGCAGCTGGACCAGGCGTACCACAAGCAGCTTCCACTGTGGGTACCAGGGAACATGGTGGCACCCAGAAGCTTGGAGATGCCAGGAACCACGAAGCCCCAAAGATGGTGTCATAGCCTTTGCTCAGGGAGCCCCTAGGTCCAGGCTCCCCAAAGAATGGCAGCTCTTCTCTCCTTCTCATCACCTGCAACGTGGTTAACTGGGGTGGGGGAGAAGGAGGAGTGTGTTTCGGCCCTCTTTGTGTTACAGCTCTTTCAGTCCTGAAGCGTCCTGAGTTCTTGTCTTGCATCCAGGAAGAATGAGAAACATACAACTAGAGGGTGAGCAAGGTGGAGAGGAGCTTCACTGAGCGACAGAACAGCTCTCAGAAGACCTGAAGTGGGTAGCTCCTTTCCACAGGCAGGTCATCCTGACCAGTCCAGGAGAACTTAAGTTGGTAGCTCCTTCCTACAGCTGGTAGTCCCGATGTCTCTGTGAGTCTGGCTGAGTCTGGGGGTTTTTATGGGCTTCAGAAGGGAGGAAGTGCCTGCTGATTGGTCCAAGAACAGCCATGGGCGGGCCAGAAAAAGCACCATAAATTCTCACTCTGTGCCATGGACTCCACCCAGACCTGACACTCCCACCCCCAGGCTTCAGGCCATCTGGGGCTTGAGGGTGGGTCTTCACTGGGGGCCGGCCCCTTTCCGCCCAGGAGCCTGTCTGCCTCCTGCTGCTGTCTACATGTCATCCGCAGCACCCAGGTTGTTCATGCCAAGGGGTGCTTGCAGGCCTGTGCTGAGCCACCCTCGGCCCCTTCTTGGCCTCCCTCCTGTGCTCATCAGTGCCCAAAGTCTGGAGGGGGCTGAGGCAGCTGGGGGCTGGTGTGTCAGTGCCACCCTGAGTGTGCACACACCCAGACAGGTCACAGCAGCGCCTGGGCTCAGCCACAACTTTGCTCCACCCCAGAGCAGGCCCTGAAAGTGGGCAGAGACCAGACAGCCAGAGCAGGTACTTCTGAGCCTGCGGGGGAAGGGGGGCTTCCCAGGTCCCTGAGAGCGCAGCGATCCCTGGGTCTGCAGCCACAGAGGGAGGGGTTCCCACCCTGCCAACTCGGAAGGAGGCAGGGCTCCCTCCCACCTGTTCCCAGCTCCACCTGCTCCATGGAGGGCGCAGTTCCGGCTGTGCCTCCCACTTTGCAGTAGGTGTCTTTGCAGCAGCTGCTCCAGACGGGCCACTGCTGCCATCACTAGGATTACAGGCATGAGCCACCGTGCCTGGCCCGTAAAAATAAACTAACAAACAAATAGGAATATTTTTGTAGTAATAATGGTAACATTTATTGAGCACCTAACTAAATGTTAGACAGCACTCCAGATAATAGAACTAGGGTGGCCAAGAAAATTACAACTACCTTGGAAAGTCCCATTTCTGGTCTTCAGCTTTGCAGGCCTGAAAATTGGATTTTACTAGTTCCCTTCCTGGTTATCTGATGCATACCTATCAGGTTCACAAGAAAATATATTAACCAGGGATGACATGTCAAGTAACAGTCAGATTTATTACTGCTGAGTGGTTATTGGTCATATTTGTGAGACAGCACCTCCTCTTTCCTATGAAAATCTATAGGATAAACCAATTTCAGTGGCTTGGTGGGATGGGATCAAAGCAAGGTGCATTGGATGAGGGTATTGGAGCATGTTAAAAGGTTATATCACAGATGTCTGCTCATTTTCAGCACAGGAAACTCACCTGAAATGGGTCAGAATGCTGGCACATGGAGGGCTCCTGTAAGGGAAGGGCTCAGGACACCCTCTGCCTGGGTCAGGGCTGGGTCACACGACTGGACGCACACTCCCTTCCTGCCTCCTTGCATGATTTCAGACAGGCTGCAATGCAGGTCGTCTGGTTTGAGCTTTAGCCTCAAGGTTCTCTGGTCCCCTTGGTTGTAGTTCTCCTGCTCTCCACTCCTCAGGATTATACTCACAACTACCTCTCAAGGTAGTTTCATCAGTAGATAGCTCATTCTCATCTATTCTGGGCTGACTTCAGGGCTGGGCACAGTGGCACATGCCTGTGGATAACCCCACTGGGTAATCCCAGTGGATGCCTATAAACCACTTAGGGAGGCCAAGGCAGGAGGGCCCCTTGAGACCAGGAGTTCAAGACCAGCCTGGACAACATAGCAACACTCTGTCTATACACACACAAACACACACACACAGGCACACACAAATGTGCCAGGTGTGGTGGCACACACCTGTACACCTAGCTACTTGGGAGGCTCTGGTAGAAAGATTACTTGAGCCCAGGAATTCAAGGCTGCAGTGAGCTCTGATTGTACCACCGCACTCCAGCCTGGGCAACAGAAAGAGAGACCCTGTCTCAGAAAAAGCAGGTTACTCTATCAGGAAAATGGCCTTTTCCTAACCACATCTCCCAGGGCCCATGCTGCCCTAGGTGCTGACTGCTACACAAGGCAGCCCAGGCATCTGCTCTCAACCCTGTTTTTAGCCTTTCAGTTCCCCCCATCCTTACCTTCCACTAACACAGAGACTGAGAGAAGTGGAACAAAACCCTCACGGAAGGAGCCTTTGAACCTTTTGTTTACTTCTCTGCCTCTCCTAAGAGCTGTGTCTTTCATATCCATCTTTGCACCCCCAGATGGTAGAATAGTTCCTAATAATCACTAAAAATTAATAAATCAATATGTGTCTTTTGGATGAATGGAAAGAGTTCTGGTCTGCAGATCAATACAGTTAAAGTGTAAAATTATTTTAATATCATCATTAACATACTTTGGGAACTTTGACTAACAACTCGATTGCTTTGTTCTCCGTTTTGTCAAATAAGAGAATCGCCTCTCCTCCCTTCCAGCCTCAAAAGAATGTTTTGAGGAAGGTGTACGTGATCACTGCCAGGGATTGTAATTCCATGAAGCAAGGTATATGTCACTGTTTCTCACCTTTTCTATCTGAAGGAAAGTAATAAAGCATAGACGCTTCTAGGCATTGAAAAATACGTTTTCAGTTCCATCATGTCAGTCTGTGTTTCACAACACAGGAAGAAGCATCTTGTCGCACCAAACTCCTGAGAATAGTGAGATAGCGTCTAAGTATTTGATAGCTCCTAAAAGTGCTATTGATAAAGTTGCACCATTATTCTGGCTAGTGATTGACTGCATGTGTGTGGTTTTAATACAGAGAAGACATTATTTTTAAAATTTAGGAATTAGGACGGAAAAACAGATATGCAATGGAATGGTTGTTTCTCGTCTAGAATTTAGTGATTCACAGCTCTTGGTCAAGGAAGACTTGGGACTCAAGGAGATTATGGGTTTTCTAGTGAAGACTGAGTCAGACCTCATGATATCAGGCCCCGGATGAAGAGTGTGGGGACCCTGGCCACTGCCCTTCTTTCCCAGTGGTCAAGTCACCCGCAGGGCATTGCGTCCTGTGGGAGGTGGACTCTGCTCAACATTGTATTTTGCAGAAAATAATCCTGGCTCTTCTTGGTTTTCATTTAAGGCTCTGTGTGTGCTCTGCCCTTGGCCAGCGGCACATGTACACTTTCTTCCTTCACACTAGAAGTCTGGGTTCCTAAAGGCTAACGATACAATCAGCTATCCTGATTTTCAAAGGACAGACATAATAGGCAAAAATCCATTTCGAAGCCTGGGGCGCAAGTGAATAGCAGCAGTAGAATAAGGATAGTTTATCATCACTAATCTTCTGCTCAAAATATTTCTTCCTGTCTCCCCTGCTCATCTTCTCCCTTTCCACCTCTCTCCCCTGCCTTCATTTTTCCTGCTCCTCTTATCCTCCTTGACTAAAATACATAATTGAAATGGTTTTTGTGTTAATACATTTTTTTGAATAAGATTGTAAAATCTGGCTGGGCATGGTGACTCATGCCTGCAAGCCCAGCACTTGGGGAGGCTGAGGCGGGTGGATCACCTGAGGTCAAGGGTTCTAGACCAGCCTGGACAACATGATGAAACCTCATCTCTACCAAAAATACAAAAAATTAGCCGGGCATGGTGATGGGCACCTGTAATCTCAGCTACTCAGGAGGCTGAGGCAGGAGAATCGCTTGAACCTGGGTGATAGAGGTTTCGGTGAGCCGAAATCACGCCACTGCACTCCAGCCTGGGCAACAAGAGTGAAACTCCATCTCAAAAAAAAAAAAAGATTGTAAAATCTCATTTCTTAATTTTAAAAGCAGTAGAGTTGAACATTTTGCACTGCCTAAAGAAAAAAAATTGTTTCTATATTTCTTCGTATGTGGGAAGGGTGAAGTGTGGGGCAAGGGGCAATAGTGTGGAAAGAAAAATAATCTACCTTTGACACTAGTCTAACCTTTTCTTTGTGACTTCTGAGCTTTTTCCTAATTTGATGCCACTATGTAAGCAACCATATTTCCAACTCCTCCAGCATGGACCCCGGTCTGTAGCCAGGACAGTCTCCCTAAGGCCCTTGCTCCTGCCTCTGTGGCCTAAGGATAGACATGAGTTCTAACACCAGCGTGGCCTCTTAGTACCTGTGACAGATCATTCGGTCTCATAACTTCAGTTTTCTCATTCACAGCTTCATGCCTGACATGCCTAACTCACAGGCAACAAGAGAACACAATGATAAAGCTGTGGAATGGGAAACTGTTCTGAGAAATATGAAGTTTTGTATGAATGGTCAGTGCTCCATTTCTGATCTCCAAAATGAGTTTCCTCGTTTTCCTGGTCAACCAGGTCCAATTTATCTTTCAATGATTACTGTCAATCCCTACTTGTTTTCTTTTCTTTTGAGACAGAGTCTCGTCCAGTCACCCAGGCTGGAGTGCAATGGCTCGATCTCGGCTCACTGCAAACTCCGCCTCCCAGGCTCAAGCAATTCCCCTGCCTCAGCCTCCTGAGTAGCTGGGACTACAGGCACCCACCACCACACCCGGCTAATTTTTGTATTTTTAGTAAAGACAAGGTTTCACCATGTTGTTCAGGCTGGTCTTGAACTCCTGACCTCAGGTGATCCACCCGCCTCAGCCTCCCAAAGTGCTGGGATTACAGGCGTGAACCACCATGCCCAGCAAAGTGAAACACATACAAAAGCAGAGAGAGTAGCATAATGAACGTCCAGATACCCATCACCCAGCTTCAGTGATTATCAACATGTGGACAACCCTTTTCATTTATACTCCCACTTGCCCCCTGATTATTTGGAAGAAAACCCTAATTCCTAGATTTTTAAAAATTCTTCAAAATATTTAAAATAAAAAAGTAAATAATGACCGCAATAGTATAGCATGCCTTTAAAAATAAACAGTGACTCAATATCAAATAACTGATCAGAAATCAAGTTTATTTGCCGGGCGCGGTGGCTCACACCTGTAATCCCAGCACTTTGGGAGGCCAAGGAGGGTGGATCACCTGAGGTCAGGAGTTCAAGACCAGCCTGGCCAACATGGCAAAACCCTGTCTCTATTAAAAATGCAAAAATTTAGCCGTGCGTAGTGGCGGGTGCCTGTAATCCCAGCTACTTGGGAGGCTGAAGCAGGAGAATTGCCTGAATCCAGGAGGCGGAGGTTGCTGTGAGCCGAGATCACGCCATTGCACTCCAGCCTGGGCGACAGAGCGAGACACTGTCTCAAAGAAAAAAAAATCAAATTTAGTCTCTTGATATCACACACACACACACGCACACAGAGTCATGTGCCGCATAAAATGATGGACCACATAAACAAACAAAGGTGGTCCCCTAAGATTATAGTGAAACTGAAAATGTTCTATTGCGTAGTGGCATCACAGCCATCATAACATCATAGCACAACGCAGTCCTCACGTGTTCGTGGTGCTGCTGGTGTAGACCTACTGTACTGCCAGTCGTATAAAAGTATAGCCATGCAATTATGCACAGTACATAATACTTGAAAATGATAATAAATGACTGTGTTACTAGTTTATGTATTTACTATGCTATACTTTTTTCATTATTTTAGAGTACACTACTTCTACTTAAAAAAAAAAAAAGTTAACTATGAAACAGCCTCAGGCAGGGCCTTGAGGAGGTTTCCAAAAGAAGGCATTGTCATCCTAGGACAGGACAGCTCCATGCATGTTATTGCCCCTAAAGACCTTCCAGTGGGACGCGACGTGGAAGTGGAAGACAGCGATATTGATGATCTAGGCTCTGAGTAGGCCTAGGCTAATGTGTGTGTTTGCGTCTTAGTTTTTAACAAAAGAGTTTAAAAAGAAAAAAATTTGAATTGAAAAAAGCTTATAGAATAAAGACATAGAGAAAAATATTTTTGTACAGTTGTACAATAGGTTTGTAATTTAAACTAGTCTTATAAAAGAGTTGAAATGTTTTTTAAGTTTCCTTTTTTTTTTTTTTTTTGAGACAGAGTTTCGCTCTTGTCGCCCAGGCTGGAGTGCAGTGGCGCAATCTCGGCTCACCGCAACCTCTGCCTCCCAGGTTCAAGCAATTCTCCTGCCTCAGCCTCCCAAGTAGCTGAGATTACAGTAAAAATTAAAAAGTAAAAATGTTACAGTAATGGACTGGCATACTGGCTCACACCTGTAATCCCAACACTTTGAGAGACTGAGGTGGGAGAATTGCTTGAGGCTTGAAGTTGGAGACCAGCCTGGGCAACACCGTGAGACTCCATCTCTACCAAAAAAAAAAAAGTTAGCTGGGCATGGTGGTGTGCACCTGTAGTCCTAGCTACTTGGGAGGCTGAGATAAAAGAATTGCTTGAGCCTGGGATGTTGAGACTGTAGTGAACCATGATTGTGCCCCTGCACTCCAGCATGGATGACAGAGTGAGATCCTGTTTCAAAAAAAAAAAAAGTTACAGTAAGCTAAGGCTGATTTATTATTAAAGCAAAAAAAGTGGTTTTTTAAACATAAATTTAGTGTGGTCTATGTGGACATCGTTCATCAAGTCTATGATGGTGTGTGGTAATGTCCCAGGCCTTCACATTCATTCATCACCTGCTCACTGACTCACCCAGAGCAACTTCCAGTTCTGCAAGCTCCAATCAGGTGGAGCTATACAGGTGTTCCTTATTAAAAATCTTCTATACCTTATTTTTACTATACCTTTTGTGTTTATTAATATTAACAGGTACACAATTTAGATACATATTTGTGTTTAGATATACAAATGCTTACCATCGTGTTAGAATTGCATACAATGTTCAGTACGGTAACATGCTCTACAGGTTGATAGCCCAGGAGCAATAAGCTATATCATATAGCCTAGGTATGTAGGAGGTTGTGAGATCTAGGTTTGTGTAAGTACACACTATGACATTCACACAAGGACAAAATCGCCTAACCATGTACTTCTCAGAACGTATCCCTGTTGTTAAGCCATGCATGACTTTTATTCATTATATATGTGTGTATACCTATACATATATATAAACACATATGTGTGTATATCTTTATACTGCATATATATATATATGTTGTGTGTATTTATATATTTAAGTTGGTTTATATGAATTGAGTCAAACAAGTTTCAACCATTGTTTTTGGTGGATATGTCTTTCTAGTATCTTTTCTTTCTTTCACTTTTTTTTTTTTTAAGACGAAGTCTCACTTTGTTGCCTAGGCTGGAGTGCAGTGGTAGGATCTTGGCTCACCGCAATTCTGCCTCCCAGGGTCAAGCGATTCTTATACCTCAGCCTCCTGAGTAGCTGGAACTACAGGCATGCACCACCCTGCCTGGCTAATTTTTATATTTTTAGTAAAGAGAGAGTCTCACCATATTGGCAGGGCTAGTCTCGAACTCTTGGCCTCAAGTGACCCGCCCGCCTTGGCCTCCCAAAGTGCTGGGATTACAGGCGTGAGCCACTGCGACTGGCCTCTAATATCTTTTTATTTATGTCATCTGTATCTCTATTGTTTTCTTGCAGCTTATTTGTTGAAGAAGTTGACGCTAAGGGTTCTGTATAATCTATCACATTTCAGAGTGTGCTGACTATATGCCTGTGCTGTTCTTTAATATTTTTCTCCTTCCCCTGTATTTCCTATGAACTGCAGTTGGAGTCTGAGGCTAGATCCCATTCAAGTTGGATTTTTTGGTGAGGCTATTTTGCGGAGTAGTTGAGTACTTCCTGTCACTTCACAGGCGGAGATATAAGACACAAGCCATTTCTATTTGTGTGACATGACTTCCATCAGTGGATTCAGAATGTGCCAGTGAAATCCTTTACATGTAGAACTCCCCGCAGCCTCTTGCCTAATGGCTTTAGCAGCCATCCACGACTATGGTGGGTTTTTTTTAACACGTCTACCTGGCTAGATCAGACCGTATTTCCCAGAGTTCCCTTTTCCCATATGTTTCTGGCTAAGATGAGCTGTGGGGGGATTCTTGGGAGCTTTGGAAGATGGAAGTGAGGCAGTAGCCATTTGGTAGGTCACACATGCGGGGCACATCTGCTGGCCCCTCTGGTGGGCATGAGGCACAGCTGGCCTGCAGCTCCCTCACCTTCCCCTGCATACTCCTTCAGCTTCTCCCCAACTTGGGCTAGTGTGTGTGCTTAGCCCAGGACAAAGAGCCCTGGCTTCTGCAGGACACCCAGACCATCAACATCAGAGAACTGACATAGCTCTCAGTCCAAATTCATGAATTCCTGCTTGTTTTGCTCTCCACAATTTACATCCATCCCCCCGTTCCAGCTGCCTGCCCTGTAGACTTCAAGCTCTAGCCTGAAATTGGATGTTTTTTTATTACGGGTTGCAAAATGGTAATATTCTAGTTGTCATATTCCTTTTGCATTAATTAGCTGACATTTCTGAGTTACAGTCCAAACAGGAAAAGCAAAACGAATACTTACTTCTTTGCCTTCAGTTTTCTTCTTTACCAGTTTTCACAATGCGTGGGTTCCTTAGCATTTTACAAAGGTGTTCATTTAGTTGTATTTATTTGCACATTTTTTAGCATTATGAACTTGTAGATTTTAATATATTTGGTGTGGCATCGCAGTTATTACTATTATCATTATTGTTGCCATTATGTTAAAATTGTCCCATCTTTGACCAGTGGGAGAACACTGAAGTGGGCACCTGGATCTTTTTGATGGCAATGCTTGTGGTCAGTGATAGCTCCATGCTTTCCAGTACAATAGAATGTTCCAGGCCCCCTTCAATGTTTCCTGTCCCAGCCTTGAAATAATCATTTATCCAAGGAGGCATGGCTTTCTTGAGTTAGAAATTCTATTTAGAGAACACAATCTGAGGATAAGGTTATTATTTTGGGGTTAGTCATGGCTTGCAGGCGTTTTCAGTGAGCAGAGCAAGGAAATATGTTTATTTTTAAAGAAAATACATCCTAAGTACTTATTAATTTTTTAAATCCAATTTAAGATTACAGGATTTTCCACTTGACTCATTCAATTTTATATTTATATCTCTCCTCTTCTACTGAAAGACTTGGTTCCTAAATATGTTACCATAATTATTTATTTGAGGTACATATACACATGTATATGTGTGTATGTATATATACATATGTATATATGTACTTAGTTTCAGAATAATACCAATATAGTAATATATATTAATACACATATGTAATATGTGTACTGTAGTACTAATATAGTATTACTGTATAGAACACAATATATATATATTCTGAAACATATATACATGCTATGGTTTCGATATAGTTTGTTTGTCCCCACCAAATCTCATGCTGAAATTTGATTCCAATGTGGGAATGTTGGAGGTGGGGCCTGGTGGGAGGTGTGTGGGTCATGGAGGTGGGCCCCTCATGAATAGATTAATGCCTTCCCTCAGGGATGAGTGAGTTCTCTCTCTATTAGTTCTACTAAGAGCTGATTGTTAAAAAGAGCCTTGCTGGGTGCCAGGGCTCACACCTGTAATACCAGGACTTTGGGAGGCTGAGGCAGGCAGATCACCTGAGGTCGGGAGTTCGAGACCAGCCTGGCCAACATGGTGAAACCTCACCTCCACTAAAAACACAAAAATTAGCAGGGCGTGGTGGCATGCACCTGTAATCCCAGCTACTCGGGAGGCTGAGGCAGGAGAATGGCTTGAACCCAGGAGATGGAGGTTGCAGTGAGCTGAGATTGTGCCACTGCACTCCAGCTGGGGAGACAGAATGAGATTCTGTCTCAAAAAAATTAAAAAATAAAAATAAATAAAAAGAGCCTGGTACCTCCCCCACCCCTTGCTTCCTCCTGCCTTGCATGTGAACTCTGCACACGCCAACTCCCCTTCACCTTCCGCCATGACTGGAAGCAGCTTGAAGCCAGGCCAACTCCCCTTCACCTTCTGCCATGACTGGCAGCAGCCTGAGGCCACGCCAACTCCCCTTCACCTTCCGCCATGACTGGAAGCAGCCTGAGGCCCTCACCTCATGCAGCTGCCAAGTCATGAGATTTTCAACCATAAGAATTGTCAGCCAAATAAAACTTTTTTTCTTCATAAATTATCCAGCCTCAGGTATTCCTTTACAGCAACTCAAAATGGGCTAAGAGAAATATACTTAATAGTTTCAGAATAATAATACTAATATTATTAGTAATATTATAACTACTGAAAACAGTTTAAGATTTATTTACAATCCTATTTATCCTTTGGATAAATTCCTCTAAGATTGTACAGTCCAATTCCTCTGTTTTAAAGCAATTAAAGTTCACCTCATTCCTGTCAAGATGGCTACCATTAAAAAAAAAACAAACGCAAGTGTTGGCAGGATACGTAGAAATCAGGATCCTTGCATAGTGCTTGTGGGAATTTAGGGAGTGCAAAGTGGTGCAGTCTCTATGGAAAACAGTGTGGAGGTTTCTCAAACAATTAAAAATAGAACTACCTTATCATTCAGCAATCTCACTTCTGGATATTTCTCAAAAAAAATGAAATCAGGATCTCGAAGAGATATCAGCACTTCCATGTTCATTGCAACACTATTCACAATAGCCAAGATGTGGAAACAACCTAAATATCCATTGACAGATGAATGGGAAGCCAAAATGTGGTCTATACATGCAATGAAATAATATTCAGCCTTAAGAAAGAAGGAAACCCAGGGCCGGGTGCGGTGGCTCACGCCTGTAATCCCAGCACTTTGGGAGGCCTGGGCAACATGGTGAAACCACGCATCTACTAAAAATACAAAAATTAGCTGGGTGTGGTGGTGCACGCCTGTAGTCTCAACTACTCGGGAGGCTGAGGCACAAGGATCGTTTGAACCTGGGAGGCGGAGGATGCAGTGAGCAGAGATCACCCCACTGCACTCCAGCCTGGACAACAGAGGGAGACTCCATCTCAAAAAAACAAAACCAAAGCAAAAAACAAAAAACAACGGAAGGAAATCCTGCAATGGGTGACAACACTAATGATCCTTGAGAACACTATGCTGAATGAAGTAAGCCGGTCACAGAAGGACACATACTGCATGATTCCACTTACATAAGATATCTAAAACAGTGAAATTCATAGAATCCAAGAATGGAATTGTGGCCACTAGAGGCTGAGGAAAGGGGAAAATGGGGGTTAACTAATCAACTGGCATGAAGTTTCAGTCAAGCAAAATGAATAAACTCCAGAGAGCTGCTGTGTACAGCATTGTACATACAACCAGCAATGATGTGTTACACATTAAAAATTTGTTCAGCATGCAGATCTCATGTTAAGAATTCTTACCATAATAAAATAAATGAAAATAAAGTCATTGAAAGTATTTATTTCTCTATATTTAAACAATCAACCTGATATATGCTTAGGTTTATTGCTTTCGTTTTGTTTTCACTGTTTAGGGACTGCAGTTTCTTGTTCAATTTTATTTAACTTGCTTTTATAATTATATAAATCATTAGTATGGTTCCAAACTCAATATATAAAAGTAGGTTTTATAGGGGTGTAAAATATGTCCACAAATTATTTAATACACCCTTAAAAAGGCAAAGCCTGATTCCCCTCCCTTTGAGTGTGGGCTGGACTCAGTATCTTTTTGGTTTTGTTTTCTTTTTTAAATAGAGGCAAGGTCTTGCCATGTTGCCCAAGCTGGTCTTGAACTCCTGGGCTCACGCAATCCTCCTGCCTCAGCCTCCCACAGTGCCGGAATTACAACCACCCCATGTTCAGTATCTTGCTTCTAACAAATAAGATGCAAGTGACAGTATGTGACTTCCAAGACTAGGTCATAAAAGGCGTTTCAGCTTTCCCTGCTTTTTTTGGATAACTTGTTATAGAAGCAGCCATCTGCCATGTCATGAGGATGCTCAAGCAGCTCTATGGGGTCTGAGAGGTCCATGTGGTGAGGAACTGAGGCCTCCTGCCAACAAGGAAGCAACTCAGTTGAGTGACCCACTATGCAAGTGGGTTCTTTAGCCCCAGTCAAACCTTTAGATGACTGAGACTCAGACCAATGTCCTGACCACAATCTCATGAAATGCCCTGAGACAAAACCACCCAGCTAAGCAGCTCCTGGAGTCCTGACCCTCAAAATTTGTGTGAGATGCTACTATTGTTATTCTAAGCCACTAAATTTTTTGACTAATCTATTTTGTGGCAATAGTTAACAAATACAAGTACATTCAGACAAGTCTAGCCTATGTTCCTGCCTCCTCCATCCCCCCAAAGGTAACCAATTTTTTACTTGCAAGTTTGTCCTTCCCCTGATTTTTACTTTAAATATAAACAAATATGTAAATATTTCTATTATCCACCCTTTCTTAGAGAAAAGAGTATCTTATGTTCGCTCTTCTGAGACTTGCAGTTTTCAATTAATAATATTTACTGGAAATCATTTCCAAGCAAAATATAGAGATGGTCTGCATTCCTTTCAACAGCTGCTTAGTATTCCATTCTGTGGATGAGCCACAGATTATCCAACCAATCCCCTATTGGTGTTGTGCAATCCTAGGCTTTAGCATTGCAAATAGTGCTGCAATGCATTTGTCTTTTCATGGTTTTCCCAGTCTATCTTCAGAATAGGTTCTTACGTACACTCCTTTTTGAATTTTTTCCTATTGCCGAGGCTGTCATGAATCTCATTTCCCCTTTCTTACTTCAGAGTCTATTTCATAGAATTTAGCACTTATTTGCCTTTATTTTGTATTATTCTGAGTTTCCCATGTGTACCTTAGTTCTGTACTTATGAGGTTGTGCCGTGGTAGCCCATTTAAAGCAGCTATAGCTCTGACCTACTGCTGTCAGGATATTGGATTTAATGCTGAGCTTGCGGGGATTAAAAAATATCTAAACTAGAAAAGGAGGGGGTGGCAAGCAGAGGGGATAATAATAAGCCAAAATTTTTCAGCAGGTATGCCAAACACGAAACAACTCTTCTTGCAAAAGAGAGAAAAATGTAATTCTCCCCATCCCTATCAGGATGACAAGAAAGATAATGCTGATGTCAGCCAAAATCTAAGATACGGAATGAAGGGTACTCAGGTTAGAGAGAGAATTCGTTCCTAGGTTAGCCAGCAAAGCAGGCAGCAAACATCTTGCCAAGCACCCTGGCTGGAAGTATAGCCTTTGCAGAAAAAGATTATATTTAAAGCAGTGTTGCTATGAGGTCGCTACATATTATGCTACTGGTAAAGAATACTGACAAGCACATGGTAGTAATAGATCCTCAAAAAACCCCTGCTCACTGATCAGATTCTTAGCTTCAAATTTTCATCACAATTATATTCTTATCCTGGCCTTTCTCTTCTGTTTTCAGGTGAATTAAATGTCAGTGCATATGAGCCTTTATTTTTACAATAGATGAAATCCTTATAAAGTTGCACATAAATCTACTTTTTATTATCAATGATACAGTTTTTTTTTTTTTCTCTGAAACATGGTCTCGCTCTGTCACCCAGGCTGGAGTGCAGTGGTGTTATCATAGCTCACTGCAGCCTCAACTTCCTGGGCTCAAGCGATCCTCCCAAGAACCTGGACTACAGGTGTGCACCGCCACACCCAGCTAATTTTTCTAGTTTTTGTAGAGACGCGGTCTCACTGTGTTGCAAGGGCTGGTCTCAAACTCCTGGCCTCAAGCAGTCCTTCCACCTTGGCCTCCCAAAGTGCTGAAATAACAGGCATAAGCCTCTGCTCCTGGCCAACAATATGCTTTTATACACACAACGTGCAATTCACTGAAGATGCAAGTGCATGCCCATAATAGACAAAATTTCTAAATTTTAGAAATTGATTATTTAGTTGGGGAAATCAGGTACAAACCCAAACATGAAAGAAATCACTTCTAAAGGATTTGAGTAAGGAGTTCACTTGGGATACCACCTGCTGGAAATACCATTCAGAGGCTGGAAGAGCAAGTTGAACCCAGGGTTTTGATGATAGATAAATGGAGAAAAGGAAGGAAGGTTTTTGGCAGGAGTGGTGTGAGCTAAATTGGGAAACTGGTAATTTGCCATATTGTTAGATTAGCTGTGATGAGAGAGGGGAGTACATCCCATCTGAAAAGAGCATTTTTCAGCTGGAGAGGAAGAGGGTGGCATGGGAGGAAGAGGGATCGGCAGGAGTGTGTAGGGTTGGAGGCAGGCAAGCTGATTCAATGTCTGTAAACAGAATGGCATTTTTCACACTTCAGATTGGGAGTCCAATGACAACTGATCATTTCAGAGCAGTTTCATCTTCATTTCTTTTTTTTTTTTTGAGACGGAGTCTCGCTCTGTCGCCCAGGCTGGAGTGCAGTGGCGGGATCTCGGCTCACTGCAAGCTCCGCCTCCCGGGTTCACGCCATTCTCCTGCCTCAGCCTCCCAAGTAGCTGGGACTACAGGCGCCCGCCACTACGCCCGGCTAATTTTTTGTATTTTTAGTAGAGACGGGGTTTCACCGTTTTAGCCGGGATGGTCTCGATCTCCTGACCTCGTGATCCGCCCGCCTCGGCCTCCCAAAGTGCTGGGATTACAGGCGTGAGCCACCGCGCCCGGCCTCATCTTCATTTCTAATTGAAGTTTAATTCTACTTCAGCCCCAAGTGTCTGTCACCATTCAACTTCAGTACCTACGTATAAATACTGACAAAGAGTTGCCTTTCTATTCCTGTTAATCCTTTTTAGAAAAGTGAGGAAATGCTAAAAAGATAAACTAATGGCTGGTTAATTTGTTTCTGGCAAATTTCAGTCTTGCATTAGTAGGATTGCTCGAAGTGGGTCATGCCTGTATTTCCTCTGTATTTCCTCTGTGTGTGTGTAGAAGATAACCTACTCTAATGAGCTCCAGGCTTTTTTTTTTTTTTTTTAACCTTCCTTCACAATCAGGAAACATCCCCAGCCCCAAGACACTGGAGAATAACTGTAACTGTGATGCATCTCTCTGTGATAGACTGCAAAAGATAGCTCCCTTTTGCCCCAGGTTGCTTTTTATTTCTTTTCAGGAATGTGGGAGGGATGGAAACATCAGGGAGAAAAAACTTTTCCTCTACCCTTATGTTCAGTAACTAGAGGCCTGCAAATTGAACAACAGATTAACAGGAGAAAAAGCACGCAATGTTTACTAATATTTACATGAATGGGAGTTACTAGAAAAGAAATGAAGCTCAAAGAAGTAGTTAGAAGCCAGGCGCTATGGCTTGTGCCTGTAGTCCCAGCTACTTTGTAGGTTGAAGTGGAAGGATCTCTTGAATCCAGGAGTTCAAGTCCAGGAGGAAAGGAAAGAGAGAGAGAGAGAAGGAAGGAAGGAAGGAAGGAAGGAAGGAAGGAAGGAAGGAAGGAAGGAAGGAAGGAAGGAGAAAGAGAGAGAGAAAGATAAAGAAAGAAAGTAAGTAAGAAGGAAGGAAGGAAGGAAAGAAAGAAAGAGAAAGAAAGAAAGAAAGAGAAAGAAAGAAAGAAGGAAAGAAAGAGGGAGAGAGAGAAAGAAAGGAAAGCGGGAGGGAGGGAAAGAGTGGTTAGATTCTGGGGCTTACATACCATTTTAAACGAAGAAAAGGAAGTTTGAGTTTCAAGGGATGTGAAAGCAGGAGTAAGTGACTAAGAATATGTGGGAGAACTAATGGAAGATTAGAGTTATTTTAGTAAAGTTTTTGTATGCAGACTTCTCTCAGTGCCGACTCTCCATCTCTCTGATAAGAGTCACTCTCCTCTTCCTGGTGCCAGGAGAAGGGGACACCATCATTAGGGAAATTTATGCCACCTTCTCAAAGATAAATTTACGCCCTGCTTTTAGATGGATAAGTGAAGGGCAGGAAACTCTTGCTACATCTGTTGATCCTCAATTGCCTTTGGCTCAAAATAACCCTCCAAAAGTGGCATATTTGGGGGTGGCATATCCTGATCCTCTTCAGAAACTAACATGTATTGCATGCCTTTTTTAAGAGCTGTTTTTTTTCATGCGCCACCTCATTTTATTATTACAGCAATCCAAGGAGTTGTATTAGTCCCAATTCACAGGTAAGAAAACGGAGACCCACAGAAGTGAAATAGCTTGCTTAAGATTACAAGTGAAGGCCAGGCACGGTGGTTCACATCTATAATCCCAGCATTTTGGGACGCCAAGGTGGGCGGATCACAAGTTCAGGAGTTTGAGACCAGCCTGGCCAACATGCTGAAACCCTGTCTCTACTAAAAATACAAAAATTAGCCAGGCGTGGTGGTGCAAGCCTGTAATCCCAGCTACTTGGGAGTCTGGGGCAGGAGAATTGCTTGAACCCAGGAGCTGGAGGTTGTGGTGAGCCGAGATCACGCCATAGCTCTCCAGCCTGGGCAACAGAGCAAGACTCCATTTT
This sequence comes from Homo sapiens, assembly GCF_000001405.40. NCBI lineage: Eukaryota > Metazoa > Chordata > Mammalia > Primates > Hominidae > Homo > Homo sapiens. Next base: position 123,283,132 of record NC_000011.10, on the reverse strand, counting down.
TGTGGGGGGGGGGGGGTTGGGGAGAAAGATTACAAGTGAATAGGAGGCAAGGCCAGCAGCAAACACACTTCGGTCTGATTTTAAAACCGAAGTTCTTTCCTCCATCCCACAGCACCATTCTTCCCTTGGAGGGGGAGTTGTAGATTTGCAGGCAGGAAGGGAAAGACTACAATGTTTGAAGAGAGAGGGAGCGATAAATAAACGTTACTTACTAGTAAGGGGAAGAATTATGAAATAGTGCTGCTACAGCTTGGCTCTGCACTGCCCTTAAGTTGCAAAGGTTGGTTGTTGCTGGGAGATGAGGCTTTTTCCCGCATGGGGTTATTTGTTGTAGAGAATCTTTGAACCATATCACTAAATCACAATTACTGCTCATGCTATGAAGCTTTGCTTCCTGGAATGAGCCCGTGCCCTCAACTCATTCTTCAAGACTCTGCACAGACATCCACACTCCTCTGAATCCTCTCTTAGTGCTTTTCACGTGGAGTCTCCTCGGTCTACCTGCAACATTTGGGAAAGGATTTAGGTGTCAATTCTAAAAAATAAGCCATCTTGCCATTAGACAGTCAGAAACCTGTGTAGCCTCCCGAGTCCTCTGTTAAAGATTCCTGACCTTTTCTTGGTGGTTTACTTTTCGACAAACTGGAGTAAGTCCGACATGGATGAATGTCTGGAAGTCCTTCCCTTCTCTATTCTTTTCTCTATTTCTCTTCTTTATGCCCCTACATTCTTCTCTGTCTTGACCATCTGTCTGTCTTCTCTGCCAAGACCCCAACTCTATCCTAGAAGCCAAAAGCGAGCTTCATGAAGTCGATTGTCCTTGCCTTGCTGGGGTGGTAGCAGTGTGGTTGTGGTGGTCTCTGTGCCTGCTCTCGGTAGGGCAGCCTCTACAATGGTGCCTGCCCAGCTGGAGGCCCTTGGTAAGGATGCGCTGAGTGATATAAACACAGGGACTATCCCTGGGGCCATTCAGATTCTTTAGATTGGAAAATGCGCTAGACTTATAAAGGTCTCTTACTGTTTTGTGTTTGGGTTTTTTTGTTGTTGTTCTTCTTGTTATTCACAATAGTTCTGACCTCTTAAGACACCTTTCAAATGTCACTGCAGAGGGCATGTGTAGTTTTGCTCACACAGTGGCATTTACTGCCCCTTTGTCTTTTCACAATGTTCAGGTTTTCTTCAGGGAACAGGAAACCTACCGTACTCCAGTCTCAGCCCATGGACTTTGGCTAGAGCTTTGTTAGAGAACAACGTTCCTTTGGCTGGAGCCCTTACCACGTACTGCTCACCCACGTGTCAGCCTAGAAGCCCTCTTCCATGCCAGCTCTTTCTTTTTTTTTCTTTCTTTTTTTAACTTTAAGTTTTGGGATACATGTGGAGAATGTGCAGGTTTGTTATATAGGTATACACGTACCGTGGTGGTTTGCTGCCCCTATCAGCCCGTCATCTAGGTTTTAAGCCCTGCATGCATCAGGTGTTTGTCCTAATGCTCTCCCTCCCCTTGTCCCCTACCCCCCGACAGGCCCTGATGTTTAATGTTCCCCTCCCTGTGTCCATGTGTTCTCATGGTTCAACTCCCACTTATGAGTGAGAAGATGCTGTGTTTGGTTTTCTGTTCCTGTGTTAGTTTTCTGAGAATGATGCCTTCCAGCTTCATCCATGTCCCTGCAAAGGACATGAACTCATTCTTTTTTATGGCTGTATAGTATTCCATTGTGTATACGTGCCACATTTTCTTTATCCAGTCTATCATTGATGGGCATTTGGGTTGGTTCCAAGTCTTTGCTATTGTAAATAGTGCTGCAGTAAACATACATGTGCATGTGTCTGTATAGTAGAATGATTTATAATCTTTTGGATATATACCCAGTAATGGGATTGCTGGTCAAATGGTATTTCTGGTTCTAGATCCTTGAGGAAGTCTTCAACAATGGTTGAACTAACTTACACTCCCACCAACAGTGTAAAAGTGTTCCTATTTCTCCACAGCCTCGCCAGCATCTGTTGTTTCCTGACTTTTTAATAATAGCCATTCTAACTCACGCCAGCTCTTTCATAAAGCTTTTCTGATCCCCCTACCACAATGCCCACTGTTGGGAGTCAACTTTTCTTCCTCTGCACTTAGAGAAAATATTTACATCTTTCTTATGCCACCTGTATTTTTATGTTCATTGTATCATATCAATTGTTATCATGTCTGATCTCCTAGAAGGCTGAGATTGTAGACTTTAACAGTTAATGTCCCATTCATCTCTGCAACCCTATTATATGCTAGGGCACAATGGCATAATAATAGGTGCTATGTAAATATTGGTTGAGTAAATGATGCTGTGAGAAAACGTATGGATGAACAGATTATTATAAAAATAAATGAGATTTGGCCAGGCGCGGTGGCTCATACCTGTAATCCCAGCACTTTGGGTGAAGGGGCGGCCTGCCCCTCCATACATGTGGGTATTTCTAGTCGGGTGGGACGAGAGACTGAGAAAAGAAATAAGACACAGAGACAAAGTATAGAGAAACAATAGTGGGCCCAGGGGAACGGCGCTCAGCATACCAAGGACCTGCACTGGCACCGGTCTCTGAGTTCTCTCAGTTTTTATTGATTATTATCTTCATTATTTCAGCAAAAAGGAATGTAGTAGGAGAGCAGGGTGATAATAAGGAGAAGGTCAGCAACAAACATGTGAGCAACAGAATCTATGTCATAATGAAGTTCGAGGGAAGGTACTACGACTGGACGTGCACGTAAGCCAGATTTATGTTTCTCTCCACCCAAACACCTCAGTGGAGTAAAGAATAACAAGGCAGCATTGCTGCAAACATGTCTCGCCTCCCACCACAGGGCGGTTTTTCTCTCATCTCAGAATTGAACAAATGTACAATCGGGTTTTAAACCGAGACATTCAGTTCCCAGGGACAGGCAGGAGACAGTGGCCTGTGTTTATCTCAACTGCAAGAGGCTTTCCTCTTTTACTAAGCCACCTCAGCACAGACCCTTTATGGGTGTCGGGCCGGGGGACGGTCAGGTCTTTCTCATCCCACGAGGCCATATTTCAGGCTATCATATGGGGAGAAACCTTGGACAATACCCAGTTTTCAAGGGCAGAGGTCCCTGCGGATTTCCGCGGTGCATCGTGCCCCTGGTTTATTGAGACTAGAGAATGGCGAAGATTTTTACCAAGTATACTGCTTTTGTTAACAAGGCACGTCCTGCACAGCCCTAGATCTCTTAAACCTTGATTTCATACAACACATGTTTTTGTGAGCTCCAGGTTGGGTCAAAGTGGCTGGGACAAAGCTACGAATTAACAACATCTCAGCAAAGCAATTGTTTAAAAGTACAGGCCTTTTTCAAAATGGAGTCTCTTATGTCTTCCCTTTCTACATAGACACAGTAACAGTCTGATCTCTCTTTCTTTTCCCTACACTGGGACACCAAGGCGGATGGATCATGAGGTCAGGAGATCGAGACCATCCTGGCTAACATGGTGAAATCCCGTCTTTACTAAAAATACAAAAAAAAAAAAAAAAATTAGCCGGGTGTGGTGGCGGGCGCCTATAGTCCCAGCTACTCGGGAGGCTGAGGCAGAAGAATGTTGTGAACCCGGGAGGCAGAGCTTGCAGTGAGCCAAGATCACCCCTCTGCACCCGAGCCTGGGCGACAGAGCGAGACTCGGTCTCAGATAAATAAATAAATAAATAAATAAATAAATAAATAAATAAATAAATAAATTAAATAAATAAATAAAATAAAAATAAAATAAAATAAATAAATAAATGAGATTTATGTTCCTATTTCCTTCTTCTTGAATGATGGCATTTTCCATTACCTTCAATAGGTCCCTCTTAAGTAAGCTTTCTGGGATTCTAACATTTATTAGTAAGTTTATGAACAATGACCTCAAGGAAAATTCCAAATCATCAAAATGGAGCATTTCTATTCTATTAGCAGAGCAGTATTATACAACTGTAATGTTAAGGCATTTCACAATCTGAATTCATTATTCATTCATTCATTCAACAAAATACATGGAGAAAGATAAAATAAGTATAATATATGCTTCCTGCCCTTTCAATCCATTTAGGAAAACAACAGACACACTAATTAAAAGTTTACTAAGACAAGGCATCTGAGGACAGATCTCTGTGAAGGCAGGGATCAAGGAAAACTTTACGTAAGAGGGATTGACCAAAACATTTCAAGCAAATTATGATTTGAAGGTTTATGATTATTTCAAGTACTGCCATGGGACTCCATGCTCATTTGAAATTTTCTGAATTTGACAACAGCCTTCTCTAGCCTAATAGGAGATTGAGAATAATTTAAATGTCAGTAGAACTATTTTTATATTTATATCAAATTTATACCCTATAGTTCTGGCTTGGTGTAGCGGCTGATGCCTATAATCCCAATACTTTGGGAGGCTGAGGTGAGAGGATCACTGGAGGCTAGGAGTTTGAGACCAGGCTGGACAATATAACAAGACCCTATCCCTACCAAAATAAAAATAAAAATAATTTTTTAATTTAAAAAATATCTGTAGTTCTACATTTTCCTTGCCAACTTGCCCAGATAAATCTGAGAAACCATTAAAAAATGATTCATTGTCTAACAATGCAGTTGTCATCAGATCACAAGCACATGGTCATTAAGGTGAGGGGCTCTGCTCCCAAGAGGAAAGCAAACTCTTTGGATCCATCTCAGATGCTGGGTTCTGATGCTGTGTTGTCTGTTTCCATCTCTTTCACTTCTCCATCATCTAGAGGTTTCCAGTTACCAACTCCAAGCTGGAAAGACACTTGGAAAATGATTTCATGTCATATGCTGCAACATGGATAAACCTTGAAGACATTAGGCTAAGTGAAATAAGCCAGTCATGGAAGAACAAATACTGTATGATTCCACTTATATGAGGTATCTAAAGTACTTCAATTCACAAACACAGAAAGTAGAACGGTAGTTGCCAGTAGCTGGAGAGAACGGGGAAGGGAGATGATGTGGTTTGGATGTTTGTCCCTTCCAAACCTCATGTTGACATTTGATGTCCAATATCAGAGGTGGGGTCTGGTGGGAAGTGTTTGGGTCATGGGAGTGGATCCCTCATGAATGTCTTGGTGCTGTCCTTGTGATAATCTGTGAGTTCTCTCTCAATTAGTTTTCTTGAGAACTGATGTTGAAATGAGCCTGGCGCCTTTCTCCCCTCTGTTTCCTTCTCTCTTGCCAAGTGATGCCTGCTCCCCTTCGCCTTCCACCATGAGTGGAAGCTCCCTGAAGCCCTCACCAGAAGCTGAGCAGATGCCAGTGTCATACTTCTTGTACAGCCTACAGAACCACGAGCCAAATAAAGCTCTTTTCTTTATAAATTGTCCAGTCTCAGGTATTCCCTTATAGCAACACAAATGGACTAAGGCAGGGGAGTTGTGTAAAGTTTAATAGATACACAGTTTCAGTTTTACAAGATGAAAAAGTCCTGGAGATTGGTTGTACAATGATGTAAATACACTGAACACTTCTGAACTATACATTTGAAAATGGTAACATGGTAAATTTTACATTATGTGAATTTTTTAAAAAACCATAATTTAACAAAAAATCGTTCCATCTCATCCTCTGCCTTCAAACTGGACAAAAGTTTGATGTGTCCCAAACAGATGGGACCCTTTTGTGTGCTTAATGATCTTGAGAAAATACTGCACCATCTACTTCCTGCCACCGTACATACAAGTGCTCTCACCCCTCTCTATGGGGTTTCCTATTTGGATACACCAGAATGCCTTTTGGGCAGTGTAGTCTCTTTCCAAACATTGAAAAGAAAAAAAAAAAAAAACTAACTAACTAAATTCACACCTTAGAAGGCAATTTTAGAACCATTGTGTGAAATCACTGTTTGTTTCCTTCCTGTCTTCCTTTCTGCAAGCAGAAGCAGGAATGAGACATTGACTATTATGCTTAGACTAGGTCAAGAATTGTTTTTTTAAAAGAAGGAGGTGTGGACATGAATACCTATAGCACGCTGTGTATGCAAACAAAGCACATTTCAAAGTGCTTTTACAGATATTCACTCATTTAATCCTCATAACAACCCTATGGGGTGAGTACTCCTACCATCACCCCTGTTTTATAGATGAGGAAATTTTGACACAGAGGTTTTAGGTAAACCACCCAGTTAAATTCTGGTTTCACCACTCCATAAAGTGCAGAAACCAGGATGTAATCCCAGGCAGTCTATCTCCTACAATGGAAATGCTCTAAAACACCAGCCAGTACAGCCCTTAGACCCAGTCAAGGAGGGGTTCCCATTCTGTGCCCCATGCTCCAGGGGATCCCACACTCTGGCTTCCCATCTGGCTCCCATGGGGAGAGAAGTCTGTGGGCCAAGAAGCCATGACCAGCTGAATCCCATGCCAGGTACCCCTGCTCCCAGTATTCTCTATGCAAATAGCCCCAAACCTGCTTCTAGGGCCTCCACAGGCTCCTTTCTTAAGCCCATCCCCGGAGAGTGGCACTGCACCCCAGCTGTGCACTGCTGGAACCAAGAGGGGGTGCAGGGGTGACTGCAGGGAGTAGGAGGGAGCTCCAATGTGTGGCTACACTGCCCTCGCAGGCAAGTCAGAGCCAGAAGTGAAAAGGGAAGGGAGAAGGCTGCAGGCTGGGGCATAAGGAGCCAAAAGCCAGCTCTCCCCACAACCCATGTTGTTGTTTTTTTTTGAGACAGAGTCTCGCTGTCACCCAGGCTGGAGTGCAGTGGTGCAGTCTCAGCTCTCTGCAACTTCTGCCTCACCAGCTCAAGTGATTCTCGTGCCTCAGCCTCCCAAGTAGCTGTAATTACAGGTGTGTACCACCATGTCCAACTAATTTTTGTATTTCTAGTAGAGACAGGGTTTCACCATGTTGGCCAGGTTGGTCTTGAACTCCTGGCCTCAAGTGATCCACCTGCCGCAGACTCCCAAAGTGCTGGGATTAAAGGAGTGAGCCACCACGCCTGGCTGTGTGTGTTTTGACACACAACTCCAAGGGGTCCAATAATTCTCATTTTAAACTGGGCCTTCCAGGTCGTTATACAGATCTATGTGTTAAAGTAGAATAGGACATATTTAATGAGCAATTTGTTTTCCAATTCAGAACTTTAAATATTCAGAGGTAAGTGGGCTTTCAGATGTAGTCTTGCCTCAGGCCACGATGTTAGGGGTGGGCCTATTCCGTGTGAATCTGCTTCTCGTAGAGCTGACCCTCATGGAGTACTCCCTGGTCAGGCACTGCTATGAGCCCTGCTATGAGCACTTTACATATATTCTGACCTTGTCTTCATAACAGTGCAATAAGACAGAAATCTCCAGGTCCCACATGAAAGTTGTGATCAGAAGTTGTGTGAGAGTAGGATTTTTCTCGTGTCCCTTATCCTGCAAGAAGACTGGTCTATAAAAAAAGATAACTCTCTCTTGTGACTCTAAATATCCTTTAAAAATACCAAATAAACCCAAGAGTTTGAGACCAGCCTAGGCAACATAGGGGAGACCGCATCTCTACAAAAAAATTAAAAAATTAGGCCGGCATGGTGGCACACACCTGTGGTCCCAGCTACTCAGGAGGCTGAGATGGGAGGATCGCTTGAGCCTCAGAGGTCAAGGCTGCAGTGGGTTGTGATTGTGACACTGTACTCCAGCCCGGGCAACAGAGCGAGACCCTGTATCTAAAAAAAAAAAAAAAAAAAAAAAGCCAAATAAGGAGAATTGTAGTCATATCTAGATTTTTGGACAATCCCACTACATTATTTTCCTATCCTGCTCAAATGAAAACAGCCAGGACAACTATTAAGCCACCCTGATAGAAGGAACTGAGCCAGCCTGGATGCCACCTTTGAGAAGGAGGGCAGGAAGTCAGGTCTCCTCCCATGGATCTAAGGCGGGGGCCCTGCTGCCTGACACTACAGTGAAGCGCAGTGTGCCCTGTGTTTTCTATGGGACTATTCTTTACAAAACGATCTCATTTAATCTCGTATCATCTTGAGATCAGAAAGTTCAGAGACGCTTTGCTCATGCTACAGAAAAGAAAACGGACTCCAGGAGTACTCAAATGCATTGCCCAGGAAATTTGAATCTGTTGCTGATAAAACCAGGTCTGGCTTCCAGGTAATGCTCTTGTTCCCAAGTTATCACCCTCATCTAATAGAAAATCCTAGCCCATTGCCCACCTTAGGTGATAGATAATAATTTTGCCTTTGGGGAGGCCTTAATTTTTTCTAAATGCACTGAATTAAAATGCCTTTGTCCTTTTCCTCAGGTATGTATCAAAAAGGCAGGCCAGGCCCAGTGGCTCATTGCTGTAATCCCAGCACTTTGGGAGGCCAAGGAGGGAAGGTCATTTGAGCCTAGGGGTTTGAGACCAGCCTGGGCAACATAGCAAGATTCCAACTCTACTAAAATAAAAAATAAAAAATATTAGCTGGGTTTGGTGATGCACACTTGTAGTCCCAGCTACTTGGGAGGCCAAGGCGGGTAGATCGCTTGAGCCCAAGACTTCAAGACTGGCCTGGTCAACATAGTGAGATGCCCACCTGTACAAAAAAAGAAACGAAAATTAGCCTGGTGTCTTGTGCCTGTAATCCTAGCTACTCAGGAGGCTGAGGTGGGAAATTGCTTGAGCCCTAGGGGTCGAGGCTGCAGTGAGCTGTGATTGCACCACTGCACTCCTGCCTGGTCAACAGATCGAGACCCTATCTAAAAAGAAAAAGAAAAAAGAAAGAAAAGAAAAGGTAGTTGCCAGTGTCTAAAACAATTGCCACATCAATGCTGAAGGAGAGTGCACCAGGGGATTGGGAATCAAGATGAGGCAGCAGATCTAGTAGTTTCCTTCCACCAAGCTGAGTGAATAGGCTATCAAGAGGCACGGAGGATCAAACTACCACACAATTCTTAGCCCCATTGTTTTCTTCTGCCCATAACTGTAATGAGGCATAATAACCGTATACAACGAGAGCAATGTCTGTCCCTACAAGTGCCTCTCCAATTTCTCTGTAGTGACCCAGGTGTGGTCATTATGGAGATGGAGAGAGTGAGAGTCGCCAGAACTCATCACTAGCCATGTTCCAGCTCTCATATAATTGCCTTTTTTCAGATATAAAGTCATAAATGGTATGAAGGTAGGTGGGTGGTCTTTTCCCAGAGCTATTATCAATAACCTCTTGCCGAGGCTGGCCTGCTTTGTCCTCTTAGTTAAAAAATAGTAAGAGGAGGAGGAGGAGAGTTTGGGGGAGGGAGGATGAGCAGGAAATAGCTTGCCTTTTTTCCCCACTTAGGCTGGAATCTGGGAATTTGCCTCTGGTTTTCTCTTTCCAACTATGCAAAAAATTTTAAAACTGAAGTCCAAAGACAGCCCAATGACTTTAGTCAAGAATTTTCAATCTAGGCTGGGCACAGTGGCTCACACCTGTAATCCCAGCAGTTTTGGAGGCCGGGGTGGGAGGATTGCTTGAGTACAGGAATTTGAGACCAATCTGGGTGCCATAAGAAGACCTCCATCCCAACAAAAAATAAAAAATTAGCCTGGCGTGGTGGCATACACCTGTAGTCCAAACTACTATGGAGACTGAGATGGGAGAATCACCTGAGCCCAGGAGCTCAACGCTGCAATGAGCTGTGATCATGCCAGTGCACTCAGCCAAGGCAATAAAGACACTGTCTCCAAAAAAAAAAAAAAAAAATTCAATCTAAATACTTTGTAGAGGCTGGAAAGAGGCATAGTATTAGATTATAATTGGAGCAACAATATTTTTTGTTTTGTTTCTGGGCATGTGGCGTCTTGTCACCAAATTGTGCCCAGAGCTTCACCTGAGATTATCCAGAGTGCATCCACCTGGCCCTCTTGCATCCCATATTTGTATTTTCATGCTCACTGTGTTGCACAGTAATTTGGTTAACATCTTAGGTCAAGTTCCCCAAGAAACAAACTCTAGAGGGAGATTTGAATGCAGAAGGTTTATGGGGCACGTTCTGAGAAACACCTGTAAGGGAGTGAGGGAAGCAGAACTGGGCAAGGGAGAAGCTGAACTGCTGTGTTGCAATCGAAGCCACATGGAACCTGGAGCTGGGAAGGCTCTTCAGAGTTATCCCAAACTGGGATGGCAACTTGGGATTCTGCAGCTCCATATAGATGGGTCACTGGATGGGGGCTGTCTCCAGTGAGGAAGAGGTAACTTTGAGCCAGGCAGTCCCTTGAAGCCAAGAGCAATTCCTAGAGAAGGATGGAGACGTGAGCCAGAAATCAGAGGGAGTAAGTGCCTTGGTCCTGAACGGGGAATCTGGATAGCTTGCCACATTACTCACTATAGCCAGGTACTTCTTCCTCTTTGCCAGAAGAATGCCAGGATGATGAGGCAGGCACCTGGTATGTTTGTTTCCTAATTGTATCCTCAGTGCCTACAGCAGTACTTGGCACATAATAGGCACTCACTATATCATTGTGGAAGTCACAGTGAATGAATTAACACTTTTTAGTCTACATAACTTCTTTATTGTTTTAAACATGATGGATAATATATTCATATTACACATTTTCACCAGAAATATTTAAACAACTATCTCCTGAGACCCAAGTACAGTCTCCTATGCAACCGTATTAAAATGATCACCGTTAGAAGATTTACATTGATAAAATGCTATTATCCAACATAATCTGTATTCGAGTTTTCCAATTGTCCTAATAATGCAAGAAAGCTTGTTATCTTTCTTTCCTTTTAAATCCAGAATCCAGTCTAGATTCACACATTGTATTTAGTGGCCATGTCTCTTTAGTATTTCTTTCTTCTTTTTTTTTTTTTTTTGAGACAGAGTCTCGCTCTGTCACCCAGGCTGGAGTGCAATGACACGGTCTCGGCTCACTGCAACCTCCACCTCCTGGGTTCAAGCAATTCTCTTGCCTCAGCCTCCCAAGTAGCTGGGATTACAAGCACCCGTCATCATGCCCAGCTAATTTTTATATTTTTGTAGAGATGGGGTTTCGCCATGTTGTCCAGGATGGTCTTGAACTCCTGACCTCGTGATTCACCCTCCTCTCTTTAGTATTTCTTACTCTGGAAAGTTCTTCAGCCTTTTAAAAAATCTGTCATGGGCCGAGCATGGTGGCTCATGCCTGTAATCCCAGCACTTTGGGAGGCCAAGGTGGGTGGATCACTTGAGCCCAGGAGTTGGAAACCAGCCTGGTCAACACAGCAAAACCCCATCTCTATAAAAAAATACAAAAACTAGCAAAGCATGGTGGCTCAAGCCTGTGATCTCAGCTAGTTTGGAGGCTGAGGTGGGAGGATTGCTTGAGCCTGGGAAGTGGAGGTTGCAGTGAGCCAAGACCTCACTAATGCACTTCAGCCTGGGTGACAAAGTGAGACTTTGTCTCAAATAAATAAATAAATATAAAATAAGAATGACATGGTATTTTGTTATTGGTTTTTTATTTTTATTTTTTTTTTGAGACAGAGTCTCGCTCTGTCACCCAGGCTGCAGTGCAGAGGCATGATCTTGGCTTACTACAACCTCCACCTCCCGGTTCATGCGAATCTCCCACCTCAGCCTCAGGAGTAGCTGGGACCACAGGTGTGAACCACCAGACCTGGCTAATTTTTGTATTTTTAGTAGAGTCAGGGTTTTGCCATGCTGGCCAGGTCAGTCTCAAACCACTGACCTCAGGTCATCTGCCCACCTTGGCCTCCCAAAGTGCTGGAATTACAACGTGAGCCACTGCACCTGGCCGACACTGGTATTTTGGAAGGGCTTGAACTAGTTGTTTTGTGCACTGTCCGTCAATTTGGATTTGGCTAATTGTTTCCTTATGATGCATTCAAGTCATACTCTTTTTTTTTTTTGAAATGGGTCTTGCTGTCACTCAAGCCATAGTGCAGTGGTGCTACCATAGCTCACTGCAGCCTCAAACTTCTGGGCTCAAGTGATTCTCCTGCCTCAGCCTCCCCAGTAGCTGGGAATATAGGCATGCACCGCAATATCCAGCTAATTTTTTTAAAAATTATTTTTAGGGATGGGGGTCTTGTGATATTGCCCAGGCTGGTCTCAAACTTCTGGCCTCAAGCAATCTACCTGCCTCAGCCTCCCAAAGTGCTGGGATTACAAGCGTAAGCCACCACACCAACTGGTCATACATTTTTGACAGGAATACTATATATGTGGTAGTGTGTTCTTTTTGTGGATCACACCAGTTGGCAAAAGCTTATCCCGTTATTGATAAGGTTAAGTTGGCTCACTTGGTTAGGACAGTGTCTGCCGGACTTACCCATTTTATGTCTCTTTTTCTCTTTCTACTTAGTAAGTGATTTGTGATGTGCCACCACACCCGGCTTTTTTGTATTTTTAGTAGAGACAGGGTTTCACCATGTTGACCAGGCTGGTCTAGATCTCCTGACCACAGGTGATCCACCCACCACAGCCTCCCAAAGTACTGGGATTACAGGCGTCAGCCTCTTGTGTCCTTTTTCTCTCTGGGACAGTGAACATGAAGAAACTGGGAAGATATCCGAGATTGCTTGGGTCATCCGTTATCTCACATAGATAAAAAGGCTCTAGTGGCCGGGCGCGGTGGCTCAAGCCTGTAATCACAGCACTTTGGGAGGCCGAGGCGGGCCAATCACGAGGTCAGGAGATCGAGACCATCCTGGCTAACACGGTGAAAGCCCGTCTCTACTAAAACTACAAAAAATTAGCTGGGCATGGTGGCGGGCGCCTGTAGTCCCAGCTATTCAGGGGGCTGAGGCAGGAGAATGGCGTGAACCCAGGAGGCGGAGCTTGCAGTGGGCCGAGATTGTGCCACTGCACTCCAGCCTGGGCGACAGAGCAAGACTCCATCGCCACCTCAAAAAAAAAAAAAAAAAAAAAAAGCTCTAGTGAATGGGACTGTCAGTGAGGAGATGAGTGTTCTCATCTCAATTTTTTTTCTAATTTAAATTTATTTTTTTCCAATCACAAAAATAATTGTGGTATAAATTTCAAACAAAAGAAATGAATCCTGTGGAAAGTAAAGCATACTCCTATAGGCCTCGCCCATGAAGCTGTCGACCATTTATAGCACAGAGGTGTATGCAGCCTCATTTTTCTGATGCATTTCTAATCATCTGTCGATCTATTTATCCATCTCGCTACATACATATATATGTAAATATTCATGTTTACACATTTTAAAGGGCTTATTCTACATAGACTTATAGATTAATTGTAGATAACTGATATATAAAGTGATATATAAGTATACATAAAAGGACAGGTTGCCTTGATAATTAAATATTTTTATTTAATTATATTTTAAATTAACTTTCAAAAATTTGTATCAGGTATTTATAGCTTAAAAAGTCAAATCACTGTACAAGGTTTGTCATGGAAAAGAGCAGTTACCCATCCTACGACCCCCCACTCTCCAATTCCCCCTCCCAAAGCCATTCCCTTCATGCTCTTTTAGCTATTTGTTTCCACAGTTCTAGATGACCTGTTGACACTGTTTTTTCTGGGTTTTCAGTCTTAGAGGTTCTCTATTTGATGTTCTACTGCGGAAAACAAGTGTTTGGTTCTTTTATGGCTCCCCACACAACACATGCGTTTTCTCACACATGCCTCCTCCTGTTAGTGTTCTATAGCGAAAATACAATTATCATCTTAGACAGATTGCAATGAAATGTTCACATTGTAATGGCTATGTAATTATTGTTCAAGTAGCTATGTAGGGCACTATGATTTCATTTCATTTCATTTCTTTTTTTTTTTTTTGAGATGGAGTCTCACGCTGTCGTCTAGGCTGGAGTGCAGTGGTGTGATCTCGTTTCACTGCAACCTCCGCCCCTTGGGTTCAAGTGATTCTCCTGCCTCAGCCTCCCGAGTAGCTGGGACTACAGGTGCCCGCCACCACGCCCAGCTAATTTTTGTATTTTTAGTAGAGATGAGGTGTTGCCGTGTTAGCCAGGCTGGTCTCGAACTCCTGACCTCAGGTAATCTGCCCACCTTGGCCTCCCAAAGTGTTGGGATTACAGGCATGAACCACCACAACCAGCCTCATTTCTTTTCTTGAGCAATTTTTGTTTTGCTTGGTGTCAATAATGCTTCTATTTCTTCCTTTGCATAATTTTCTACCTACCTTTCATTAATTCATTGCCACGGAGCCAGGAGTATAAATCTCTTCTCATTCTAGGCATTTACATTAGAAACAGTAGATTTTTTTTAACTAACCTATGGGTCTAGAACATCTTTCCATATAAGCGTGGGGATAACTTATTTTTATTATTGGACTATAATTCATTTAATCGAGTCCCACTTTATGGACATTTGGATTATTTTCAACCCTTTTTGTTGTTAAAGGAATGACAAAAGAAACACCGTCCAGTGAACATTTCTGTGAACATTCATGGGCATTTCTGGACAGCAGATTTTAGAAGTGAAATTGCTGGATGCATTTTAAGTTTCACTGCTCTCTGAAATGTGCATGAGCAGCAGGTACCTGAGCTCTGTCAGATTCTGCCTGGGCAGACCTGGCCCCCTGCTCTCCCAGAAACCAGATGCTGGGAAGCAGCCGCCTCTTCATTCATGATGCAGATGGAGCTCTTGGGTCATGTTTAGAGCAGAGTATTGATCCCAAGATTCTGCTCAAAGCAGTCAGTGATGTACAGCTGAAGATGAGATGGGTCCACATGGCAGGAGTTTAAAATCCTTTGTGATGAGGGAAACAATGGCACTGAGGAGGAACCAGCTGTGCTTTCCTTTCCTCTGAAGTTAGAAACAAATAGGATGATCACGTGACATCTAATGTTTGCTGTGACCATCTTCACAGGCACCAGTGAACATCCCTCTTACACACCGAATAAATAGAAGAGAACAGAGACAGTAGCAACTATCAAGGCTTTGATGAAATCACGATTACATGTCTCAAGTTCGGTGACAGCACCGAGGGGACCACTCAGAAGTGACTGTCAGTCTCGCCTCCTTGTCTGCCCAGAAATCCAGTCCTCCCGTGGCGGGCTTACGGGCAACCCCTGCCTGGCCCGTGCACTCCCCTGTTCGCCTGGCAGCTGTCTGCTGATCCCTGATGCACCTACCGTTTGGAAAGGAAAGTAGATGAAGTTATATTATTAAAATCTCTGCTTCAAATAGGAGGGTGGGAAAGAAGCTCAAAGTCCTGGCTGAGGAAGGCATGAAGTAAAAAAAAAAAATTTTAGCATTACATTTATTTCACTTTCTGAGTGGTCCACATGCCAAGTTGGGTTAAAATACAAGGACAAAACAGAAACAAAACCACAAAGACAAAACACAGAACCCAGCACCTAACACTTTCTTAATGTTTTGTAAACTTCCTGTTGGATCTACTTAACTCCATTAAAGATAATTATACATTACTTGTCCTTTTTTTTTTTTTTTTTTTTTTTTTTGAGACAGAGTCTCACTCTGTTGCCCAGGCTAGAGTTCAGTGGTGTACTCAGGGCTCACTGCAGTCTCAACCTCCTGGGCTCAAGCAATCCTCCCGCCTCAGCCTCCCAAGTAGCTGGGACTATAGGCACACACCACCACACCCAGCTAATTTTTGTATTTTTAGTGGAGACAGGGTTTTGCTATATTGCCAAGGCTGGTCTTGAACTCCTAGGTTCAAACCATCCACTTACCTCAGCCTCCCAAAGTGCTGGGATTACAGGTGTGAGCGTCTGTGCCCGGTCTTCACGTATGCATTTTTTAAAGCAACAAGGTAATCTATCTATAACATATTTCAAACAGAAATTACCCATAATATGTGTCATTTATTGAACATTTTCAATAGACAAGAGTTTTATAGGTATTATCTTACTTGGATGCTCACAACTCCTTGAAGTTTAAAAATTGCACTAATGGCTGGGTGCAGTGGCTCACACATGTAATCCCAGCACTTTGGGAGGCCAAGGTGGGTGGATCACCTGAGGTCAGGAGTTCAAGACCAGCCTGGTCAACATGGTGAAGCCCCGTCCCTACTAAAAATACGAAAATTAGCCGAGCATGGTGGCGGGCACCTGTATTCCCAGCTGCTTGGGAGGCTGACGCAGGAAAATCACTTGAACCTGGGAGGCAGAGGTTGCAGGAGCTGAGATTGAGCCACTGCACTCCAGCCTGGGTGACAGAGTGAGACTCTGTCTCAAAAAAAAAAAAAAAAAATTGCACTCATTTTTTTAACCCCATTTTGTAGATAAGTAGCCGAAGCCAAGAGAAGCTGAAGACATCGCCCAAGGTCACAGGCTAGTAAACCACAGGATTGGAGCCCAGAATCCTGACTCCTGAGCCCATGTTGTGCACTACAATAACTACTTTAATTTCTTCAAATTCCTTTTCAGTCTTCATCCACATGCATGTGGGTTTTGACAGTTATATTAAAGTGTACAAAGCATTCTGTGCTCCACTACCCCGCGCCTGTTTATCACATCAAATTTGTTTCTGTGTTTCTCCCCAGTCAATATATTTGTAATTTGCATTTTAATAGGCTCATAGTATTTCATTGACTCATCATGGTATCATTTAGCAAACCATTTCCTTCTGTTGCAGTTTTATATCTTCACTATTTTTGTTAGCATAGATAATACTGTAATGAACTTCTTTGGGCTCTCAGTTTTGGCTTTAAAAATATATATTTCCTTAGGATAAATTCCTAGGAGTAGGATTTGCCACATACTATCATATTGCTTTCAAGAGTGTTGGACTCATTTACAGCACTACCAGAAGTAAATTAGTAGATAAATTTCACTGTATACTCACTAAAATTAGCCTAATGGAGCACTTTCAAACAGAAATATAAAATAAATGGGTTGTTATTATTACTGTTGTTGCAATGAAAATTACCACCAGAAATCAAATTGTCCGCAGAGCCTCTACTCCTTATTTCTTTGTGGTTTTCTTCCCTATGGCTTCAATATGCTCATCTGATGTCACAAGTGCTGTGTTTGGCTTTGTTACAGGATGCCAGCAACGAGGATGCAAATTGAAAAAGGCCATTATTCAGATACTAACAGCTGGCACTAACCTTGCTCCTTCTCCTGCCTTCCCAATTTCTATTCCCTCTTACATTAACAAAAGGCTTGGGAACATCTTGCCTCCTACCCTCACCCCAGTTCCCAAATCAGTTATCACAGCTTCCGCCATCTCCCTTCCAAAGCTTACCCATCCTCCCCATTTCCAGTGTTACTGTGCTGAATCTGATCCCTGTAATCACAGCCTGCACACAAATTTTACAACACGACACCCTTCTTGCTCTGAATCACCCTACACACAGCTCCCAGGTGAACCTTCCTAAATCGCAGCCTCTGGTCATGTCATTTCTCAGCCCCAAAGTCTGTACCGGTTATTGGGAGCCTCAGGAATGGCACCCAAACTGGCACCTACTGCGCTCCCAAATGTGCATCTCTGCTTCCCTGCCTCGCCTGCCAGCACTTTTCTCCATCGTAGTTTCCTGGAAGCCTCAATACTCCTTGAAACGTGGTCTTTACGGTCAGACACGGTATCTCTGCTGGGAGGGCCTACCACGCAGAATCTCAGGTACAGCCTTTCCCTCCACTCATCTGCTGTGGATCCCTTTGGCTGGGAGAGCCCAGGCAAGTCTCTCGTACATCTTTAAAGCCACCAAGGACACAGCCTCTCAGTAGCTTCTCTGCCTTGAACTTTGCCAGCACCCTTTCCAGATCCAGCCTCCACTCAGTTGCTAGAGCGAGCTGTCTACACTGCAGGCTGGGTCACAGTCCTCCCCAGCTCTGTAGCATGTCCTTCCCACTGTCTCTGTAGCATGTTATCCCAGCCTCTTCAGGAGCTGGTCCCTTTCTACCCCTGCAGGTTCAACATCCCAGAACTCCACCCCTACTGATGCTGTGTGTCCAGCCCTCTGTGCAGCCTTCATGCCTTCTTAGAGGTCCCTAAAGGAGATGCTCCTGTGCACCTGCCAGCCAACGTGTGCTGGCATCTGCCTCGGGGGCTTGCTCATTCCTTCACCCTCCTGGCAGGCTTCTACTTCATGGCTCAAGTCAAATGTCGCCTTCTCTGGGAAGTTGTCTGACACTATCAGAGAATTAGACATTAATGATTCCATGATGTCAGGCACTTATGTTTGTGCTCACACTATGTAGTATTGATTTATTGGAGTCTGTCTCTCCACTGGTTATGAACTCCCCTAGGGAAGGGACTACGCTTGGTTCATCTTGGCTTTCCCAATGCCTGGTATCATCTCTGGCGCAGGCTAGTTACTTCTGGGTGAAAGCATAATCAGAGCCCTTCCTCCTCTAAATGGAATGGGCCAAATCTCCAGCCTTATAATCTCCTGGAAGAGTCTAACCGTCTAGAATGGAAAGATCTAATGTGGAACAGAACTCCTACCCCTGTACCTCCCTCTCCCTGGCTCCATTAAGGAAAAGGCTGAAAAGTCCTCCAGGAGCCTCTTGGCTCTGGGTAGAAAAAAAAAAAATAGAGGAAAGGAAGCAGAGGCTGCCTCACAATCACTGTGGAGAGGTTTGCAGGTTTCCCCCAGGTCCACGTGTTTCCAGACTCAAGGGAGAAAGGAAGAGTAGATTGTGGGCAGGAAACAATCGAGACTGGCAGGTGTTAACTGACTGTCTACTTTTAACAGCCTGTTTTTCAGTTTTGAAAAAAGGTTTAGGGACATGAAGAAAAGCATATACCAATCAAGATTTATCCCTGGGTCTCGAGAGGGGTGCCTGTGTTCCCCTAATGCTTACGCCTGAACAGAACTGAGGTTCTGTAACTAATGAGGAAGGGAGTATGCTGGTTAACAAGCTGTTGTCTTTCCATTCCAAACCCACCATTGTACACTCTGCTCTGTGATGCCGAGCCTGGGGCTCATTCCTCCTTTGCTAGTCACTGCCATCAGGGACACTAATGGGAGACAGGAAAGCTAGAGGCAGGAGACGCACCGTCCGGCTCTTTTTGCTTGCTATTGCTGACAATATCGTTGCAACAATGGTTCTTCATCCGGCAGCAGCAATTTGTCCCAGTTTCGAGGGGCCTTCCACTTTCCTGAATCAGCCTCATGATGGTTGGAGGCTCAGGTCCCAGCCTTCAGGACCCTGCTTCAGGCTCCAGAGGTAGCAGCACCACCTGAGCAGCGACACCCTCCTCAGAGATCTGGGTCACACTCTAGGAAGCTCCTCCTCTGGGCTTCAGAGTTTAACAGCCTCAGTCCCTTCTCTCTGTTCCTCCAGCCCTAGCTAGGACTGGCAGCTGCTTCCTGCAGTAACTATTTCTGTATTACTGCATTAGCCCCCTTTGGCTTTTTCAGTTCCCCAATCCCTGTAACCGATGTCCCTTATTAAATTAACTTTTTTTTTTTTTTTTTTTTTTGAGACGGAGTTTCGCTCTTGTCACCCAGGCTGGAGTGGAATGGCTCAATCTCAACTCACTGCAACCTCCACCTCCCAGGTTCAAGCGATTTCCTGCCAAAGTCTCCCAAGTAGCTGGGATTACAGGCACCCACGACCAGGCCCAGCTAATTTTTTTGTATTTTCAGTAGAGATGGGGTTTCACCATGTTGGCCAGGCTGTTCTCGAACTCCTGACCTCAGGTGATCCACCTGCCTCTGTCTCCCAAAGTGCTGGGATTACAGGAGCGTTAAATTATCTCTTAAAATAACGGGCATGGTTTCTGTTTTCCTGATAGGACCCTGACTGATACAGGGGGAACAGCTGTCAGAGGGTTTCCACTAAGGTCTGGCTCAATTGCAATCTTACAGTCACCTCTGATCACAGAAAATTATAATAATGATTACCACTTACTGAATATCTGTGCATGTCATGCACTGTGTGACAAGCTTTGAATGCGTTAAGAGAGACTGGCTATACTAACGGACAATGGCCAGGCCATATGTGACAATAAAACTCCAACCCGCTGCCCCTGCAGCAACCAGCCTGGAAAACAAACTGCAGCCTCTCCAACAACAATCAGCCCAGAATGGCCAGGACATGGTCAATGACTGGCGGCTTCCCTTGTTTTTGCCCTTGCTTCCACCTGAGCATCAGAGAACACCAAATATGCTCCCCAAACCAATCACAGAAGAAGCCCTGCTTCCAGATGCTGGGCCCTCTTCAGCTTCCAAATGCCAACAGCCTCCAATCAGAGCAGACCTGAAGCCTTTCCCTTTCTTCACTATGAAGCTTTTCCATTCCCCTGCCTGCCTCTGAGTCTCTGGCAAGCCAAGCAATGGTGGCTAACTCCCTTGCTATAGCAAGCTCTGTTTGTTCTCATTAGGCTGCTCTTCATTTATTTCCACAATTGAGTCTATTTCTTACTACAATCCAGCAAGGCAGACATTATTATGTCCATTTTACAGATAAGGAAACCGACACTCAGAGAAGTCAAATAATTCCTCCAAGTCCTGTATACAAGTTAGTGACAGAGCCAGGATTCAAACTCAGGTGAATCTGATTCCAAACCCTGACCTGGCCCTATTATACCTCTCTCCTGGCTCTCCCCACCTACCGTTTATTGTCTCCTACTGTGATTACATCTTAACAAGGCTGTCTCCCTAATCAACTGTGCCTTTCGCAAATTTAGAAAATGTGACTTACAAACGTCGTATTTTCAGCTTTTACACAAGGCGTGACACACAGCTGATGCTCCTACATCTTTTTTTTTTTTTTTTTTTTTTTTTTTTTTTTTTTTGAGACGGAGTCTGGCTCTGTCACCCAGGCTGGAGTGCAGTGGCGCTATCTCGGCTCACTGCAAGCTCTGCCTCCCGGGTTCACGCTATTCTCCTGCCTCAGCCTCTCCAGCAGCTGGGACTACAGGCGCCCGCCGCCACACCAGGCTAATTTTTTTTTTCTTTTTGTATTTTTAGTAGATACGGGGTTTCACCGTGTTAGCCAGGATGGTCTCGAACTTCTGACCTTGTGATCCGCCCGCCTCGGCCTCCCAAAGTGCTGGAATTACAGGCGTGAGCCATTGCGCCCAGCCTGATGCTCCTACATCTTACTCAGGAATAGTGCTCAGGAAATGCCTGGTTGTCCTCTGCCAGGCAGGTGACTGAGAAACATCTTGAGAAGGAGATAGGATCAGTTGAGTGAATGGTCTGAGACAGTCCTGAACTTTCTCATTTTCCTCCTGGGCTGTGGTGTCGATGGAGGATGCCTCGGAGAAACGTGGAAGAAGAGACCCCTGAGCATGTGTGGATGGGGGCAGTTATCAGTGGGCCTAGAGATCCGAAAGAGGCGGTAGTCAGGGTTTTCTTATCCTGTACCTGCATGAGGCCACAACAAACAAAACTGTCAAGCCCAAAAATTCGTCATCACAGTTGTTTGGAATTTTGCAGTTACATGAACTAGGTGATTGCCTCGCTCCTCTTCTCCTCACACTAATGGTGAAAAAACCTGCTTGAGGACCTGAAGAAGGCAGAGCTCCGAAGCCCCACCCTACCTGGAAGGAGTCAGTGCCCGGGGACCGGCAGACGCCGGGACAGCCACTAGGTGGCACTAGCACTGAGCTAACGTGAGCTCCGGCCTTCCCGCCCACCCTTCCGCAGGCCACCGCGTTTCTTCACAGACGTAAAATAGAGACTGGAGCTGGGAAGAGTGCTGCTTTTATAATCAATCCCACAGCGAGCCTTTTATGTGACTGCGACTTTTATCATTAATAGCGCATTTGTTCTGCACCAGGGACCTGAATTAGCAGTGGTTTAAGAACTGAAAACGGCCTAATGTTTAGACCAAGCTAAGCAAGGTCGCCAGGGTGTTCAGAGGAATGACCTGAGTATTCTCCCAGCCCGATGCATGTAAATGAAGCTTGCCTTTCATTAGCTTCGTTCTGCTGCCCTGGGCTTTCAAAATTACAGGTTTTCTGAGGATCACAGTTTAATTACATAATCATACAAAATAATATTTAATGAAACACCAAGCAAACAAAAAGGACAGCAACATTTTCCAAGCTCTTACTGGCTACTGGAGGCAGCTTGGAGAGTGGGTCTTGGAACTGAACCTGGGTTTGAATCAGAGCTTTGTCTCTTCCTAATTCCTTATCTTTGGGCAAATTCTTTAACTCTCAGAGCCTTATTTTCTTTATTTATTAAAGTAGGGACTAAGTGTGGTGGTTCATGCCTGTAATCCCACTGTCAGAGGTATTTGAACCAGAGCGACTCCATCTTGAATAGGGGCTGGGTGAAACAAGGCTGAGACCTACTAGGCTGCATTCCCAGGAGGTTAGGCATTCTTAGTCACAGGATGAGATAGGAGGTTGGTACAAAACATAGGTCATAAAGACCTTGCTGATATTAAGAAAACAGGTTGCAGTAAAGAAGCCATCCAAAACCCACCAAAACCAAGATGGCCATGAGAGTGACCTCTGCTCATCCTCACTGCTCATTATATGCTAATTATCATTCACTAGCATGCTAAAAGTCACTCCCACCAATGCCATGACAGTTTACAGATGCCATGGCAACGTCAGGAAGTTACCCTATGGAGTCTAAAAAGAGGAGGAACACTCAGTTCCGGGAATTGCCCACCCCTTTCCCAGAAAACTTATGAATAATCCACCCCTTGTTTAGCATACAATCAAGAAGTAACAATAAGTCCAAGCAGCTCAACAAACCCAGCCGTTGCTCTGCCTGTGGAGTAGCCACTGTTTATTCCTTTACTTCCCTAATAAACTTGCTTTCACTTTATGGATTCGCCTGGAATTCCTTCTTGTGCAAAATCCAAGAACCCTCTCTTGGGGTCTGGATTGTGACCCCTTTGCAGTAACACCAGCACTTTGGGAAGCAAAGGTGGGCAGATTGCTTGATCCCAGGAGTTTGAGACCAGCCTGGCCAACATGGTGAAAAATACAAAAATTAGCCAGGCGTGGTGGTGCGCACCTGTGGTCCCAGCTACTCAGGAGGCTGAGGTGGGAGGATCACCTAACCCCAGGAGGTGGAGGCTGCAGTGAACTGGGATTTTGCCACTGTGCTATAGCCTGGGTGACAGAGTGAGACCCTGTCTCAAAAATAAAAAAATAAAAAGTAGGATAGTAGGGCATACTTCATGAAATTGTGAGGGCTCAGTGCACTGTGGTAGGCATTTAGATGCTACATACCCTTTCCTGCTCACCGCTGCAAGACCTCGCATCAGTAATTAAAGTGGATATACTCTCCTTTTGTAGCCTGCATGCCCAGGATTTTATTCCTTTATTCCTTTAAAATCATTCCTCATCAACCGCTCAATTTTGCTTTGCAAGTTTTGGGACATGGCTTCCTAGGGCAGAGGGATGTGTGGGATGGAGGGTTTTTGTTTAAAATGCAGATTAAAGCTGAATGCAGACTGCTGAGACCACCTCGGTCGGGGAGACCATAACCCAGCGGTGCTAGAGGAATTAAAGACACACACACAGAAATACAGAGGTGTGAAGTAGGAAATCAGGGGTCTCACAGCCTTCAGAGCTGAGAGCCCCGAACAGATATTTACCCACGTATTTATTAACAGCAAACCAGTCATTAGCATTGTTTCTATAGATATTAAATTAACTAAAAGTATCCCTTAAGGGAAATGAAGGGATGGGCCGAATTAATTGAGTAGGTTGGGCTAGTTAACTGCAGCAGGAACACGCCCTTAAGACACAGATCGTCAGGCTTTTGTTTGTGGCTTAAGAATGCCTTTAAGCGGTTTTCTGCCCTGGGTGGGCCAGGTGTTCCTTGCCCTCATTCCCCTAAACCCACAACCTTCCAGCTTGGGCGTTAGGGCCATTATAGACATGTTACAGTGCTGCAGAGATTTTATTCATGGCCAGTTTTGGGGCCAGTTTATGGCCAGATTTTGGGGGGCTTGCTCCCAACAGCAGACCTCTCCAATCAAGGTCTGCGCTAGCACCTCTCACGTGGCTTGCTTTCAGAAGCCCTGGGCTGTCCTGATGACAAGCTCTTTGCTAAGGTGGAAGAAGAACAGCACATTTTCTTCCAGCATCCTTCCTGCTTTAGGCTTCTTACCTTAGAAATGTGGAAATAGGGCTGTGGGTTTTGTCTGGTTTTGAGGTGGGCAAAACAGAAGGACAGGATGTGGTTTTGAACTATCTGACACCTCTCTCCAAGACTTCCAGAGGTCCGAATACATCACAATTTCTCACTTTCTCCTAAACTCATAGTCAGAAAGCCAGGTGGGAGCCAGGTGTTTGGGGTACATTTTTGGGCACAGGGGAAGTCACTTTGCTGGATTCTGCAGACACAGACTTGCCTGGCTCTGCGACTATTGTATGACAAAGAATTTGTCTAGTCTTTAACCCAGGTTTAGAGCTGAACTTCAAAAACCCCTGAACTTTCCCAAGTGATAGAAGTGGCTTTGTTATTCATGAGCTCCTTGAATCACACCTGAGTTTATGATGAGATTGCTCAGGCCAGGTGCTGTGGCTGGCATCTGTAATCCCAGCTGCTCCAGAGGCTGAGGTGGGAGGATTGCCTGAGGCCAGGAGTGTGAGATAACGAAATGGCTCAGGATGGAGGCTGGTTATCAGAAAGACCAACCATGAAATTAGAGGGTTGGGGCTTTGAGCCCAGAAAAGGGAGGGGGCTGGAGATTGAGTTATCAGTTATGTCTACAAAGTGAAACTCCAATAAAAACCCTAGACATTGAAGCTCATTGAGCTTCTTGGTTGGTGAACACACCAATATGCCAAGAGGGTGATGCACCCTGATCCACAGAGAAAGGACACAGAAGCTCTTCATTCGAGGCCCACCCGGACCTCTCCCTGTGCATCTCTTCATTTAGTTGGTCCTGATTTGTATACTTTAGAATAAAAGTATAATCATAAGAATAGCACTTTCCCGAGTTCTGTGAGTCATTCTAGCAAATTATCAAACCTGAAGGGCATTGTAGGGACCCCCAGATTTGAAGCCAATTGGTCAGAAATGTGAGTGCCTGGGGACCCCTTTTGCAGCTGACATCTAAGTGGGGACAATCTTGTTGAGAACGACACCTTCACCTTGTGGGGTCTACACTAACTTCAGGTGGTTAATGCCCACATGGAACTGCAGTACAAACATTGGTGTCACCACAGCCATTTACTGCTACCTGGTCTCCAGCAAGTTACTCATCCCTGAGGTTTAGTTTCTTCATCTATGAAATGAAGCTAGCTGGAATGATCATTATAGCCATTCACAACGAGACAGTATCAGTGAAAGTGCTTTGTACACTGCCTGGTGCTACATAAAATGCTTGTTTCTGTTCCTATTGATCCACCTGGGGACCTCAGGCAAGCCCAGCCTTCCTGAGCCTTAGTTTCCACATCAGGAAAAGAGGCCCATCTGTTGCCATACCTCATAGAGTTTTTATGAAGACAAACTGAGATCCACATGTGGGAAAGCTTTGGAAATTACTTCGTATTATTTTCAAAGTATTTTCTAGCTTTTTTCTAATTAAATGGATCACACAAAGATAGCAGAATTCATTTTTGCTAAATTCGGAGAGCGTTTGGGACAGTCAGGTTTAAAATATAGGTCACAAGGTAATAAATAACATTCACTCCAGAAAGCACAGGGGACCTCTCAAAGAACTAAATAACTCTCCTCCTGAGCAACAGAAGCTGAAAAACAATGAGCGGTCATAGCAACTGCTATACCCAGGGTGTCGTAGACACAAATATGCCACACAGAGAGAAAACAAGCAGGGGTTTTAATATGGGCACCAAGAGGAGAAGAGAAAAGAATTACAAGTGTTGATCTGCAATGAATTAATGAATTTAATGAATTTAGTTTTCACGTGATGGTTAATGTTTCTTTTTTTTCTTTCTTTTTTTTTTTTTTTGAGACAGAGTTTTGCTCTTGTTGCCCAGGCTGGAGTGCAGTGGCACGATCTCGGCTCACCGCAAGCTCCACCTTGGTCAAGCGATTCTCCTGCCTCAGCCTCCCCAGTAGCTGGGATTACAGGCATGTGCCACCACACCTGGCTAATTTTGTATTTTTAGTAGAGATGGGGTTTCTCCATGTTGGTCAGGCTGGTCTCGAACCCCTGACCTCAGATGATCCACCCACCTCGGCCTCCCAAAGTATTGGGATTGCAGGCGTGAGCCACCGTGCCCAGCCAATGGTTAATGTTTCTTTCCAGCACCTCTGGGCAGGCCAGCTCACAGGGATGAATTTAACCCTGCTATGGATTTGGATGGATAGGCCTCGTGATCGGACTAGAGATTTTTCAACATTATGAGACTCTGATGAATAAAATCCTTTCCCCCTTCATTTCAGTTTGATTCCTCTCATGAGCCAGGATGGGGACTAGGAGGGTGACTCTCTTCAGTTCAACATGAAAAAGCAGAGTTGAAAGGGGTGCTTTGTGCCCAGGTTTTGCACTGAGACCTCAGCCTGTGCAAAGTGGAAATCCTCTTCCATCCCCCTGAGCCTGCTTCTCTCCTGTGGGAATGCGGATCAGTTCCCAATCTTGGTGGGAACTTCACGGAGGCCACGATGCATGCCGCTGTCCTAATGAGAAATCTGGGCACTCTCGCCTTACCCCATACTTCCAATCCATTAACAAGTTCAGAAGCTCCTTCTACCTCGTAAAGATATTTCTCACATCCAATTTCTGCTCTCCTGCCCTTAGTTTTTTTGTTTTGTTTTGTTTTGTTTTTTTGAGACAGAGTCTGGCTCTCTGTTGCCCAGGCTGGAGTGCAGTGGCACGATCTCAGCTCACTGCAACCTCTGCCTCCCGGCTAGCTGGGATGACGAGCATGCACCACCATGCCCTGCTCATTTGTGTGCGTGTGTATCTTTAGTAGAGACGGGGTTTTGTCATGTTGGCCAGGCTGGTCTCGAACTCTTGACCTGAAGTGATCCCTTTTATCATTTTGTACTCTCCAAAGGCACTCCCACCCCCAGTCTTTCTATCCTCTCACTCAAATCCACTAGATAATGCATCTTCTGAGAAGATGTCTCAGGCCTAAGTTCCTCTGAGACCTCATTTTGATTCCCTACCTACTTGCTCAGATAATCACTGCAATTGCGCAGATGTTAGGTGAAACCCTTCAATTAACTGCCTTTCATTCCAAGAGTCAGGACATTTCAAATGGGTGGAGCAAGAGTTCCTGCAGTTGTCATGGCAACGACAGCCAGCCGGAGGCCCCGCGTTCTCCTCTGCCAACCCCCACACACAACGTTCACACCCTTCACCCAATAGGTCCTAATCCGTGATGGTTTCTTTGACAGTTTTCAGCCAAAAGTCCGGTGGTAGTGACAGACTTGGAAGTGAATAATACCAGGATAAAGAGCAGAGGTTATATAACTCTGGGTAAAACAGGCCCCTCTCATTAGTACAAAGTTTGAGACTCAAGCAAGAATTCACTGCTTTACTGAGAGTTATCTGGCAAAGAGACAGGGACATTGGTGGTTTTTGCTCTCCTTAACCCCTTTAAGCTAAACTCACTGATGCCCCATCTCCCACCAGCTGTTTTCTCCACCTTCCATTTCCCTGAATAAATCTGTGTCTAGCTGGAGGTTTACCCACAGACTCAGGCCTGCCTGGGCCAGGACAAGGGTCAAAGTCAAAGTGCAGGAGAGGCCAGGTGCAGTGGCTCACACCTGTAATCCCAGCACTTTGGGAGGCCGAGGCGGGCAGATCACTTGAGGTCAGGTGTTCGAGACCAGCCTGGCCAACATGGTGAAACCCCGTCTCTTCTAAAAATACAAAAATTAGCTGGGCATAGTGGCAGGCTTCTGTAATCCTACCTACTTGGGGGGCTGAGGCAGAAGAATTGCTTGAACCTGGGAGGCAGAGGTTGCAGTGAGCCAAGATCGTACCACTGCATTCTAGCTTGGGTGACAGAGTGAGCCTTCGTCTCAAAAAAAAAAAAAAAACCATCCTAGCTAACACAGTGAAACCCCGTCTCTACTAAAAATACAAAAAAATTAGCCGGGCATGGTGGTGGGCGCCTGTAGTCCCAGCTACTCGGGCGGCTGAGGCAGGAGAATGGCGTGAACCCAGGAGGCAGAGCTTGCAGTGAGCCAAGATTGTGCCACTGCACTCCAGCCTGGGTGACAGAGCAAGACTCCGTCTCAAAAAAAAAAAAAAGTATTGTTTAGAGGAAAAGACAGATATGAAAAGAGGTTGAGGATCTAGCTGGAAGGGGCAGGAACCATCAGAGTGAAGTTTCCACATTTGGGACCATCACTACTTGATACTTTTCCTATATGCAGACTTGTTTAATCTTCATAACAACGTAGTCAAATAGTTATATCTCCATTTAACAGAAGAAATAACCGAGGAAGAGAGGTTAAATCACTTGCCAAGCCACATAGCTATTAAGTGGCAGACCTGGGTCTCAAACAAGAGTCTTCATTTCCAAATCCTTGGGTTGCCTTCATCAACCACACCATTCTGCCTGCAACACATTCATAGGCACCCACTCAGCTTAACTCCATCTGTCCAGAAATCTGTGCCCATGCCCTTGGTCTGCATTTCCACCCTCATGTTCCCAGACACACCTCACCAATGATCATCATTTTCCCTTGCCACACATAGGCAATGCAGATTTGTTAGGCAGAAACAGACCAAAGCCAGCCCAGCATGGTGGCTCATACCTGTAATCCCAGTGCCTTGAGAGGCCGAAGTGGGACGGTTGCTTGAGGCCAAAAGTTTGAGACCAGCCTGGGCAACACAGCAAGACCCCATCTCAACAGAAAAATTTAAAACTTAGCCAGGTGTGGTGGTGCATTCCTATAGACCCAGCTACTCCTGAGTCTGGGATGGGAAAATTGAGCCTGGAAGTTCCAGGTTACAGTGAGCTACGATCATGCTACTGCACTCCAGCCTGGACAACAGAGTGAGACCCTGTCTCTAAAAATAAATAAATAAGTAGATGTTGATATTTTCAAATCTAAAAAATAAAATAAAGAAAGAGACCAAAGCGTTCTCCAAGGGTTTTGTTTTGTTTTATGTTTTTAACCACCAAAGTCTAGAATGAAGAAAAGACACCCACAATAAGCATGATATTATAAACAATTTGGCCAACGAATAAACCAGCCTCCTTCTGACGGGTGAGCCCTCTGCTCAGAAGGAAAGCTGGCTTACCATCTGTCCTGTGCTTGTGAAACCTGAGCTGCTTGCCATGACCCAAATAGAAGCCTCTGGAAACCCTGTAGTTCTTTCTGCCCACAAGAAATGAAGTCAGAAAAGAGATTGCAACTGGGGGGAGAGAGAAGGAGAGACAGAGGAAGACAGAGAGAAAAAAAGGAGGAAAGAAGAAATAAGGAAGAAAGGGAGGGAGGGAGGGAGAAAGGGAGTGTCTTAGTCCATTCATACTGCTATCACAAAATATCAGACACTGAGCGGCTTATACACAACAGGTATTTATTTCTCACAGTCCTGGAGTCTGGGAAGTCCAAGAGCAAGGCAAGGTGCTGGCAATTCAATTCCTAGAGAGAGAGCTCTCTTCCTGACTTGCAGACAGCAGCCTTCTTGCTGTGTCCTTACATGGCGGAGAGAAAGAGAGCTCTGGTCTCCTCCTTCCTTTTATAAAAACATGAATTCCATCATGGGGCTCCACCCTCATGACTGCCTCTAAACCTCCTGAAGGTCCTTCTTCCAAATACCAACACGTTAGAGGTTGGGGCTTTCAACATATGAATTCTAGGGGATGCGGGGCACAGATATCCAGTTCATAACAAGGAGGTGGGGAACAGGGAGGGAAGGAAGGAGGGCGGTGGTATTATGTTAAAACCCAAAGTAAGAATCTGAGTACTTACCTTCTACTGTTCAGTACCATCAACTTCCGCTAGAGGTTTGTAAGGAGAAGGTAATGGCACAGTGTCAGATGAATATTCAAATTAACTGTTTAGGGACAATGGGATTCGATGCCCTTCTCAAAGAATTCACTGACAGTACCACTCGGCAAACTATCTCTGCCTTGATTTTTTTTTTACTTTTAAGAAAGCACATGGGCCGGGCACAGTGGCTCACGCCTATAATCCCAGCACTTTGGGAGGCCAAGGCAGGTGGATCACCTAAGGTCAGGAGTTCGAGACCAGCCTGGGCAACATGGTGAAACCCCATCTCTACTAAAAATACAAAATTAGCTGGGCGTGGTGGTGCATGCCCGTAATCTCAGCTTCTTGGGAGGCTGAGGCAGGAGAACCCCTTAGAACCTGGGAGGCAGAAGTTGCAGTGAGCTGAGATCATGCCACTGCACTCCAGCCTGGGTGACAGAGTGAGACACTGTCTCAAAAAAAAAAAAAAAAAAAGAAAAGAAAAAAAGAAGAAAGCACATGTTCTACTGCACCGTCCCTATCTTCAGTCTTTTAAAATATTCCCAGAAAATCTATGTCGTTTAAACAACTGAATATTTGTGGTGTCCCTAGATAGCCTTATTTCAAGACAAACCAAAAACTAAGTGTTGCTTTCCCATGGGGGCAAAAGCAGGAGAGGGGCCATCTGTCCACTCAAGTAAGTTTCCACTGTGGGCACCACCTGTCCTGGGAACCAGAGGGGAGCCCGGGGAAAGAGCAGGCTCAGGTCCAGCCCTCCAGGAGCTTCCAGGACCCGCAGTTGTGGCTCAGGCAGTCAAGTGGGTAGAGGTGCCCTTTGCTGAGACAGGGTTAACAGAGGAGTGAGCAAGTCTTGGGGGTGGGGGTAAATAATGAGTTCCATTTTAGCCAAGTTGAGCTTAGGTGATCACTGACTGGAATGGAGTAGGTGGGCACATAAGTAGATCTGGAGCTCCAGAGAGAAATTTGGGTGGAGATGAAAACTGAAGGCACAGGAATGAATCATCTGTGGAATGAAAAAAGAAGGCAGCCAGGGCCACAGTTTATCTTTGTTTGAATGAATGATTGAATATATATATATATGGAAATGTTATGAGTTAAAGCTACAAAAATAAGGGAGCTTGGCTTCAGATTGCAAAAGTCTAGGTGACAATGTGGCAGGGTTCCAGGCTCCTCTCCCACTCTGGGTATTTTCTGAACAATCTCTAGCTTGTTCATGTCCTGCCAAATATACTTCTCAGGAGTGAATGCAATTGTCTGCTTGCACTATAAACATCCCGGGGTGGAAGACAACCCTCTCCTCCCTCATTTTAGATGCTATACTCCTATTAATGCAGCTCAAACTCATATTAAGCTTTCTAACTGTGGCATCACACTAATGATGTACTTCGTCTACTATCTGCCTGCCTTTGTTTTCCGTGGCTGCTGTAACAGAGTACCACAAACTGGGCGGCTTGAAATTATGGGAGGATGGAGTCCAAAATCAAGTTTCTAGCAGGGCCAGGCTCCCTGTGAACCCTGTAGGGGAGGATCCTTCCTTGCCTCGCCTCTTCCCGGCTTTGGGTGGCAGCCAGCAGCCCAGGGCCTTCACTGGCTTGCAGCTGCAATGTTCCAATCTCTGCCTCTGTCGTCACTTGGTGCTCTCCCTCTGTCCCAATTTCCCCCTCCTTATAAGGATCCCAGTCATATAGGATGAGGGCTCACACTAATGACCATGTTAACTTGATAGCATCTGCAAAGATCTGATTTCTAAACAAGATCTCATTCCCAGGTATGCAGGGTTAGAACCTGACCATATTTTTTTGGAGGACACAATTCAACACATATCCCTGCCAAATAAAAACTCCAAGTCTTTCATCCCCTTTGCTGCTGCAGCCTTCCCAAGCCTCATCTAGTTTCTCAACCACAAGCTTCAGTTTCTCTTGAGTGCAGATATAGTAGGAGGACTCAGCCACACACAAGACAGACACTGCTGAAAATGACTGTGAGTCCCCCAGCATCTCTTCTCAGCAGGTTTTACAGCCTCAGAGTGAGGAATCTGAGAAAACATCACCCATCCACTCTCACTTGTTGGGTTTCTAGCTTTCCACCCTGTCTCTGCCTCGGACTCTGTCTCCACCCCTGCCTGTCTTGCTGTTTCCTTCTGTAGGCTTTCCTATCTGCCTCTCCTCTCTGTCATCTTTCTCTCCTTCACACATGTGCTCATACATACACATGCTTGCTCACACACAGGCGTGCAAACACACACATGCACACCCGCACTCCCCTAGTCCATCCTGCCTGAGCGATCACAAATCCAAACGAGACAGCATGAGGAAGTCCAACAAAGGGAGCCCTGATGAGCAGACGGACGGCCATTGAGTTTGCATTTCTTATTCATAGAAGGCGCTGGAAATGTGACGGAGAAGAGCTGCTGCCAGATGTCTCATGCCATGGCTTCATTGATCGCTCTTTCTCAGCATCAAATGAGTAACAGCACGACCAGGAGAAAAATGCTCCTAAAAACTGGAACAGACTGTCAACTGGTTCCAATAAAGGATCCGATTCATTATTTTTCAAAACCCAGACTCGGGCCTGAACATAAAGTAGATTTCTTTTTTTTTTTTTTTTTTTTTTTTGAGACGGAGTCTTGCTCTGTCACCCAGGCTGCAGTGCAGCGGCTTGATCTCGGCTCAATGCAAGCTCCACCTCCCGGGTTCACGCCATTCTCCTCCTCAGCCTCCCGAGTAGCTGGGACTACAGGCACCTGCCACCACGCCTGGCTAATTTTTTGTATTTTTAGTAGAGACGGGGTTTCACCATGTTAGCCAGGATGGTCTCAATCTCCTGACCTCATGATCCACCAGCCTCGGCCTCCCAAAGTGCTGGGATTACAGGCGTGAGCCACCGCGCCTGGCTGATTTCTTTTTTTTTTTTTTAATTTATTATTATTATTATTCTTTTCTATAGTGCTGAAGTAGGTTTCTTAAGTCAAAATATCATCCTATCTTCTAGCTCTTGTCCTCTGTCTTGAAGAAATGAGGACGTGAGGAAGGCGAATTGTTTGGTTGATGAGATGTTTGCAGCCATTTGGGCTGTTAAACAAACAAAGCCCACGTGAAACATCCCCCAAATTATTCAGAGCACAAGTTCTTGCTACGAAAAATAGTAATATTTGCTACAAATAAATACATTTACAATGTAGTATTTTAGTAAGGCTAAACACACACACACACACACACACACCGAAAAACCATAAACAAC
The DNA here is from genome assembly GCF_000001405.40 of Homo sapiens. NCBI lineage: Eukaryota > Metazoa > Chordata > Mammalia > Primates > Hominidae > Homo > Homo sapiens. The sequence continues at coordinate 123,250,185 of NC_000011.10, read as the reverse complement.
ACTGAAAGGCAAATATTTCTGATTCTTCCTTTCTGCCCTAAATCCAGTTCAGCTGCAAGTCCCATGAGCTCTTCCCTCAAGGAGTGTCTAGGGCTCATTGACTTCTCCCCTCTCCAGTGGCTGCCACCCATAGCTAAGCCATCATCACATCTTATCTGGACCGACACACAGTCTTCCTCACTGTCTGTCTGTGGTGCCCCCTCTGCCTCCCTCACTGTCCTTTTGCCAGAGAACCGCCTGCACGCCCTTTGAATAAGGTAAATGAGACCATCTCTTATGCCCATAAAATCCTTCATTTCCAACCTCATCTAAGATAAGAACTGAATTCACCGCAGCCTTGCTACCTCTCTAACCCCATAGCCTCCTGCTGTCCCTCTTCTTGTTTTTCTTTTTTCTTTTCTTTTTTTTTTTTTGAGACAGAGTCTCACTCTGTCACCCAGACTGGAGTGCAGTGGCGCGATCTCAGCTCACTGCACCCTCAACCTCCCAGGTCCAAGCAATTCTCATGCCTCAGCCACCTGAGCAGCTGGGGCTGCAGACACAGCTGGGCCACCGTGCCCAGCTAATTATGTCTCTCTTGTTCTCTATGCCGTGGTATCAACAGCCTTCATTTGGACACTGGTGCAGCAGGCTTACTCGCCTGTGGGGTATTTGCCCTTTCTCTGACTTCTGTCTGAAGGTTCTTCCTGGGTTGAAATGTTGCTGACTCCTTGTCCTCATGTGGATCCCACCTACTCAGAGCAGCCCTTCCCAACAGCCTCAACTAAAGGAACAAACTCCCCCATCACCTTACCTTGCTTCAAAGCACTCACATGCAGGGTGCAGTGACTCACACCTGTCATCCCAGCACTTTGGGAGGCTGAGGCGGGAGGATCACTTGAGCCCAAGAGTTTGAGAACAGCCAGGCCAACATAGTGAGACCCACTCTCAGCAAAAAAAAAAAAAAAAAAAAAAAACACCCACTACTTTTTTAATGAGCCAGGCATGGTGGTGCATGCCTGTAGTCCCAGCTACTCAGGAGGCTGAGATGGGAGGACCTCTTGAGCCCAGGAGGTCTAGGCTACAGTGAGACACTGCACCCCAGCCTGGGCGACAGAGTGAGACTCTGACTCAAAACAAACAACAACAACAACAAAGCACTCACCAAAATCTAAAACTATTTACTTGCTTTTACATTTCTCTTCCCTCTTCACTTAAACTCCACAAAAGCAGAAACCCCATCTATCCTTTTGTAAATCACTGAATCTCCAGAATCTAGAACAGCACCTGATAACACACCCTAAGTGCTGATTGATTGTTGAATGAATTCATGAAGGTGTTGAATAAGGTGTTGATGAATAAGTTAAATTTTTTTAACTTTAATGACAGACCTAGGGTTAATAACTCTAATATGTAAGAGCCTTTATTATTCAGCAAGAAAAATATGAATAAGCCCAAGAAAGGCTGGGCCAGAAGTTCCCAGCCAAGATCCAGGAAAATATATTCTCAGCCCAGACAATAATACTGAGACACCATCTTTTCCTGTCTCTTCTGTTGAAAATAAAAAGGATGTTAAAGGCAAAAGGGAAGGAGGTATTTGACCCTGTAGAAGGGACCGAAAATAGACAAGCCAGGCGTGGTGGGTCATGCCTGTAATCCCAGCACTTTGGGAGGCTGAGGCGGGTAGATCACCTGAGGTCAGGAGTTCAAGACCAGCCTGGCCAACATGGTGAAACCCCGTCTCTACTAAAAATACAAAAATTAACCAGGTGTGGTGTTGGGTGCCTGTAATCCCAGCTCCTAGGGAGGCTGAGGCAGGAGAATCGCTTGAACCTGGGACGGGTGGAGGTTGCAGTGAGCCAAGATGGTATCATTGCACTCCAGCCTGGGCAACAAGAGCAAAACTCCATCTCAAAAAAAAAAAAAGAAAGAGAGAAAGACAGAGAGAGGAAAGAGAAAGAAAGAAAGAGAGAGAGAGAAGGAAAGAAGGAAGGAAGGGAGGAAGGAAGGAAGGAAGGAAGGAAAGAAGGAAGAAAGGAAGGAGAGAAAGAAGAAAGAGAAAGAAAGAAAGAAAAGAAAGAAAGAAAGGAAGGAAAGAAAGAGAAAATAGATAAAAAGAAGAGGTCAAGGAAGGAAGAGGACGAGGGGCCATGTGGTACACGTGTCACTTTAAGTTACCAGGTCAAGCAATCAAGGAGGGTGCTGTCTCATTTCAGGATAACTGCAGCCAGCCCCAGTGAGGCAAGGCCAAGAAATAAAGCATTGTTCACTTTCTATCACTGCCTGGTCTCCGTTCCCCTCCTCTCTTCTCTGTTTTCTTGTTCCTGGAATAGACGAATAGAATTAAAGTGGAACCGGAGAGAGAAAAGTGGTCAGTAGGAATATTGAGGGGAGAGGTATATATTAATAGAATAATATAACATAACAAAATATCTGTTTGGTAAGTGATAGGCTTGTGGCTGTAATTTTTTAATTTTTCTACAATAAACATATTACTTGCATAATTTTGAACTTTAAAAAAATAATAATTCATCATGGGGTGGGGCATATGTATTTACAGAATCCCATCGGTGGTACCAGACCCCATAGCTCCCCGATCCACACAGCTGCAACTGGGTAGTTATAACATTTGTATCTCCCCAAATCAGCGTAGAGTTGATGGAAATTCAAATGGTGATAGAAGACCAGGGCAGGAGAAAGAATAGAAAGACAAGGCACGGACATTTAATCAATGACCCTGAGGAAATTTGAGCTGATCAAGCTGCAGGCGCCCCTGCTCCCGACAGGAGCCAGTGACACCCGCTGCCCACAAGGGGGCGGTATCTAACCAACTGCAAACCCAGCTTGAGCGGCCGCGGCACCTGAATGCAGCTATTTGGAATACACTCGAAAACTGAGTTTCTTTAGCCATTGATTAGTTTATGTGTCTGTCTTGCTATCGTTTTGACCCCAGAGTGCACCAAAATACTGAAAGCTCAGAACTGGACGCCAATTTTCAGGAGTAGCTTCTCATAAAAGATCAACAACATTTAGTGCCAATCCTTTGATGACCTTCCTCCCTGCTCATCTCACACAAAACCCAAAGCCTTGTTAGCCCTTGAAGTCACAAATTACATTAAAAGGAAAAAAGGGAAGAAAAATTCAAAGTCTGGTTTCAGAGCCAAAAATGGAAGGTGCTGGCCGGGCATGGTGCCTCATGCCTGTAATCCCAGCACTTTGGGAGGCCAAGGCAGGCAGATCACTTCAGGCAGGAGTTCAAGACCAGCCTGGGCAGCATAGCAAGACCCAGTCTCTACAAAAAATACAGAAAGTAGCTGGGCATGGTGGCGCACTCCTGTGGTCCCAGCTGCTCAGGGAGGCCTCAGCCTCCTGAGGCTTGCTTGAGTCCAAGAGGTCAAGGTTGCAGTGAGCTGTGATCAAACCACACACTCCAGCCTGGGTGACAGAATGAGACCCTGTCTCAAAAAAAAAAAAAAAGAAAAAGAAAAAAGAAAAAAGAAAAATCCAAAAATGGAAGGTGGAGGGATGTCTCTAAATAAGAAAAACATCTGGGCAGGCACGGTGGCTCACACCTGTAATCCCAGCACCTTGGGAGGCCGAGGCAGGTGGGTCACCTGAGGTCAGGAGTTTGAGACCAGCCTCAACATGGAGAAACCCCGTCTCTACTAAAAATACAAAATTAGCCGACTGTGGTGGTACATGCCTGTAATCCCAGCTACTCGGGAGGCTGAGGCAGGAGAATTGCTTGAACCTGGGAGGTGGAGGTTGCAGTGAGCCAAGATTGCACCATTGCACTCCAGCCTGGGCAACAAGAGCAAAACTCCATCTCAAAAAAAAAAAGAAAGAAAGAAAGAAAGAAAAACATCTGAATAGAGGTTACCATCCGGTCCTGGTGTCATCTTAGCCCTCCCATCCCACTCCCAAAGCCAGAGGGGCCCCCAAGACAAAGAGGCCTATATAAAAATGCAGAGCTGGCCGGGCACGGTGACTCACGCCTGTAATCCCAGCATTTTGGGAGGCTGAGGCGGGCGAATCATGAGGTCAGGAGATCGAGACCCTCCTGGTTAACACAGTGAAACTCCTTTTCTACTAAAAATACAAAAAAATTAGCCAGGTGTGGCAGTGTGTGCCTGTAGTCCCAGCTACTTGGGAGGCTGAGGCAGGAGAATGGTGTGAACCTGGGAGGCGGAGCTTGCAGTGAGCCGAGATCGCACCACTGCACTCCAGCCTGGGCGATACAGCGAGACTCCCTCTCAAAAAAAATAAAAAATAAAAATAAAATAAATGAAAACACCAGAGCTATGCTATTTGAGCCTGGGATTCAGGACCACTTCAAATCCTCAGATCTCAACAGATCACAGAAATCAAACTCTATTTACTTCCGCATCCCTGGTCCCAAAGACTTAGCTTGACAAGGAAAGAGAGCAAACAATAGACCCGGAAACCAAAGACCAAATCTAAATAATGTAATTACTCTCCAGTTGCACCTCACTGGTTTATTTCCTTTGGATGAACACCCCACCACACCCACAAACACAGTGTGCTAACCTTTATCTAGAATCAGGGGTTCTCAAACTTCAGTGCGCATCAGAACCCTCTGAAGGGTTGATAAACCACAACCGGCCGGGCCCCTCCCCTGGAGTTTTTCATTCAGCAGGAATAGGGTGGGCCTGATAATTTGCATTTCCAACAAGTTCCCACTGACGCTGATGCTGCTGGTTGAGGGACCACACTTTGAGAACCACTGTTTATTAATAACACAGTACAGAGGGATTGGCCCATATATTGACTTAAGCATGAGAATGCTCAGAAAAAAAATCCATCAAATAAGAAACTAATGTTTATTAACACTACCATATGCTGGATGCTTTACATTCGTTATCTCCTCTTATTTCATCTTCACTAATTTCTGAAATTCAGTATCATTATTCCCATTTTCAAATGAGAAAACGAAGGCTACAGGAGGTTGGTTGACTGAGGTCATTCAGCTAGTAAAGTGTTAGAAACGGATTTGATCCAGCTTCAAAGTCCATGCTGAATATTCATTCTATCTCCCATATGAAAAGCAGATGAATTGAAATGAACAAAGAAGAATAAAAATAAGCAGTTTTTTTGTTGTTATTGTTGTTGTTGTTTGAGATGGAGTCTGGCTCTGTCTCCCAGGCTGGAGTGCAGTGGCGCGATCTCAGCTCACTGCAACCTCTGACTCCCGGGTTCAAGCGATTCTCCTACCTCAGCCTCCCAAGTAGCTGGGATTACAGGCACCCACCGCCACTCCTGGCTAATTTTTGTATTTTTGGTAGAGGTGGGGTTTCACCGTGTTGGTCAGGCTGGTCTCGAACTCTTAACCTCCGGTGATGTGCCCACCTCGGCCTCCCAAAGTGCTGGGATGACAGGTGTGAGCCACCACGCCCAGCCAAAAATAAGTAGCTTTTAAATGAAAGTGGAAAAGCAAGCAGTGTAGGGAAGCTTTATAGCCACAATTGGTATCAGAGGTGGCTATGAGGTCGCCCTCGTGCCCCATGAAACGTGTAGCTCTTGGAAGAGGCCGGACTCAGAAAGCCCAGCCAGTGTTTAAGCTGAAGTAGCAACGAGAGGTCCTGCCTCAAAGAGAACACTATACATTATTTAGAATAGCAAGTGATTTCTATTTTTGCACTCTGAGGAGAAGAGGTATTTGCCAAAAAGAGTGTTAGGGATGTTTGTTAAAAGGTTTTTTTTTAACAGATCAGAAATCCCCAAGTTGGAGGCTTTTTAAAATGATGAATCAAAAAAGTGGAAAAAACAAATGTGACGAATGCTTAAATGGCCAAGAAACTGATTAACACCCCTCACAGCTTTCAGGTTTCTAACTCAAAAAGCAAGTGTTTGCTTCCTTAAGCATTCCCTTTCTGTTTTATTAGTCAAACAGGAAGCATTTTGATTCTGAGGGTTTTTGTGTGTGTGTGTGTTTGGTTTTGTGTGTGTGTTTGTTTATGTGTGGGTAGGGGAAGTTTCTATTCAAAGTAATGCATTGTCAGGAAATACACCTTTTGCATAAAATAATCTCAATATCCAACAAAGACTCAAATAGTTGGTATGTCTTGGCGAACAATTAAACAGATTTACATCATTAGCAATAGCGTGGAAATAAATCTAATTTCACCGTATTAGGTTACACACAATTTAATTCAACCAACAGAGCCTCCTCTGTGCAAACAAGGTGTTACCTACAAGAAACTTGTAATTTAATCAGAGTAGTAAGATGGACATACTAATAATTATGGTAACCATGATCCAGCGGGAAGGAAGCCTGTCATGAAGAATCACTGCTTTCTTCACAGTCCCTCTCACGGGTCTCTTTCTGCTCCTGTCCTGGTGTATTGTCCGCCAGCTGCCGTCTAAATGGTTCTAACCCTTCTGATGGCTTTGTTGCCCCTGACTCTGACTCGCCCAACATGCTGCTACCAGACTTATCTTCCTAAATCAGAGGGAAATTTGATGCCCCAGCTCAAAGTCTTCCTGGGGGTTTTAGTTACCTGCAGAGCTAAAGTCATACTGGTTATCAATGTCCTCCACAATTCAACTGCAAACCACCTCACCAACATTATCCCCTTTCACCCGTCTAGGAAAGGCCTCAACTCCAGGCAAATTGATATCCTCGCTATGCCTGAGACACTACAGACCCTCCTACTTAGAACCCAATGACACTGACTGTACCACTCGTTTATTGCCATGGTGCCGCAATGAACACGTGCTGCCTCGAGACAGTATTTACTTCGGTGTGTCTATCTCATGGCTCACCACGATTCCTTAAGAGGAGGAATTGTGCATTATTTGCCTTCAGTACTCAGCGCAGGCTGGATGCACAATGACCTTTAATAAATCCAACTGGCTGAGACTGTGGCTTTAATGAAAGATAACAAGTCATATCAAGTCTTGTTTTCATATCTTGCTTACAATGATCCACATTTAAGTCCATCCAAAATAAATCTGAATGTACAGAGTCATCTCAGAATCTCTTGGAGTGACACAAAGTATATTGAAGAGTTAAGATGCCGATACGCTTCAGGTGGATATATCTGTTATTCTTTGATAGGAACATTTCCCTGGTCTTTTCAAAGTATGTTAAGTGTCACAGAAAAATATCACAAGGGGGTATAGGCATCTGTTCAGTTTCATTTATTCCTAGGTTAAGAAGACGTGGCCTTCTACAAAGGGGACCAAGCTGGGAATCACAGGAGCTTCTTGGCAGTACAATCATCTGAGACAGCTGAACCAACTGGGTGTGAAAAGTCTTCTGATGACCCTGCTAGATTCTTCAGGCTAATAAGCAGTTTTTCAACAGAGACTTCAACTCAGACGCACCTTTTGATGATACGGTATATTTCTTCTATTTTTTGCCTGGTGTTCTTTCATGCTGTTTGGGCCAGTTGGTTACTTTTTTTCTGACTTGAACAAAGATAAAGTAAGATAGTTATTTTCCTCTGATCTATAAACATAGTTTTGAGATATTGTTTAGGATTGATGATAATAAATTAAAATAGTAGAATGCATACGATTTGTGAAATGCTTTTCTCTTTCCTCTTTCTCACCACCACCCACCTCACCTTCCTTCACCAAAATGGCTTATTATCCATTCAATTCCGTGCAGGAAAATGATGACAATTATTAAGTGTAACTCCGAGAATAAGAACAGAGCACCACCGGCGTGTCCCTCCACAAACACCCCTCCCCAGCCACCCTGAAGAACAGCTGCATATAGAAAATGCATTATTTACTTAAGAGCTGATGAGCCAGACAAAACTTCAGCGGTTAATCAGTGCTTTTGCCCATAATTGATTTCCAACTTGGCAAAATTGCAGAATCACTATCACGTGGGGTTTCTGGAATACAAAATAGTTGAATGGTTCGGGGCAGAGAAATTGCTCAGAATTGCTGACTCTGAACAGTGCGGGGAAGGAGGAGGCAGTGTCCTCATGAATTTTCAGTATTTTAAATTTTGTATTCCTGATTTAGATCCTTTTGGATTTATATTTCAGTATTTTAGTATTTCGAGATTTTCTTATTTTAGAAGTCTTTCTTTTACATAAGTATTTCCTAAATTGTTGAAGACAAAAACCTCACCACATGAGTATAATGAGTGGAGACTTGGTCCTCTCCTGCCACCCACTCCTTCCGGTGCCTCAGCGTGTATACTTTCCAAATTAGAAACTTCCAAAATTTGCAAGAACATCATCAGTGCTGCCCTCTGCATCCCAGTCTATTGCTTGAAGCACAAATCCTTATCTAGATATTTAATCCTTGCAAGTCCAGGACTAATCCACGCACAGTTTCAGGTGAGTGGAACCTGCCACTCCTACCACATGTCCCATCACTCCCTCTAAGTCCCCATTAGACTGCCCTATCCCTGTGTTTTGTCCACTTTTGACAGTTTCTATAAAACAAACAAGCGACTATTTATCACCTGTTGTGCACCAGACATTTCCATAGATTGTCCATGGACATAACAGTAAGTGTCAGATTACCTGTGACCTTGAGGCTTCAAGTCTTCCCCCTCCAGATTGTCCCCCTGCTCTGGTGCCTCTTTCCTGCTCCATTTCACCTCTACCAATTCCACTCATGCTCCAGGCCCAGAATAGCTCTGTCTCCTCCTTAAATCTTCCCCCACTCTTTAGAGACATCTCCCTTCTTGGAATTTGTAGCACTTACTGACATTTAAGTACTGTTCATAGTGTCTTGATTTATGTATGTATTTTGCATGTGTGTGTAGGATTTCTTCAACTGGCCTGAAAGCTCCTTAGAACAGAACAGGAGTCATAAATTGCCAGTGGTGTTACTCAGAGCAATGCACAGAATAGGTGCTGAATACTTATCTGTTAAGTTAAGAAACGTGACACTACTAGATGTGTCTAATACTGTTCTTGCTGCAGTCTGTCTCCTGAAATTGAATTCAGGAAAACAGTTAGCTAAGGAAAAAATGCAGACAGACGCTCAACAAACAAACAAAGTCTTTTGGAGACGATACAGGGAAAGAGTCAAGGTTTGGAGGCTTGCACTATCTTTAATGATGATAAAGAATACGAGGATAAAGACTAAAAAGAGATCTGTGGCTGTAATCAATGGTAAATGGAGATCTGGGCAAGAGCAATGTGGCCAAAAGATTGGCCTAGTCCTTTCAGGAAAGTGCCATGATAAATGACTGCCTCTCGGAGGATCAATCTTACCTGCCTACAAATGCATATTTAACACCTACTCTGTACAGGTCGCCAGGAGGCTACAAAGCCACATTAACTCAGAGCCTGCTTGAAAAGGATCTACAACTTAATCGGCCAGGAGGACAAATGCCTACAGAACAAAAACACTGAGTGTAGGTACTAGCTGCCAAATAAAGCACACTGAGGGGAGATGCTGGATGTGCTCAGGAGAGGGGAGACTCTTATAAGAGCCACGTCAGGAAGATTTCATAGGGAAGATGGAATTAGAATTGCACCTTGAAGTAAGGGCAGGACTTAGGGAATGGGTAATGGAAAGAAAACTCCAAGCAAATGAGCTTTGAGCACTGGGGGAAACCCAAATTGCTTGGGAAGACCACGTAAACATACAGAGGCACCATCCCATGTTAGGCTGCTTTTATTATGACCCAGGGTAATATCTATCTGATTATATTCCCTGTTATCACTTTGCACTGATACAAAATAAAAAAAAAATAGCCAAACTAAACAAGTTTGTGAGCTCCCTGTTTGTGACAACTGACAGGTAGGAATCAAGTGATACGTTTCCAGCTTGGTGCTAGGGATTGTGGAGAAAACAATATAAACACAAGACATGGCCTTTTACTCAAAAATCTAAATCCTTATTTTGAAAGCAAAACTAACTCACATGGAAATGTTCAAATATACTTTCAAAGCCAGTATAACCAATGCTAAATTATACTCTTCTGATTGTGTAATACAAAAGTATTTTAGAGACTAAAAAATATTAGTATGGACACAGGTATTTGGCAGCAATAACACTACAGTAAATTCCCTAAGATGGGCCATCAAAATGCAAATCCACTTTAGGCTGAATTTTTCCAAATTTCTACTTGTGCAATCCAGCTTACACCAGACACCTAGAATCTCCTGCAAATGTTTCAGAAGTATTCAATTCTAACCTGAAACCTCTAAGAAAGAGAACAATTTCAAGGCCAAGCAAGAGTCATCTGACTTGGCAACTTGGAACCTGGAAGAAGCTGGTGATGCCATCCTCCTGCCAGATTCCATTTCTGCTGAGACCTGCTAAGTGAGAGACACCCGGTCAATTTGCAGGATATTAAAAGCGGTAGACACAGTCACACTGTGAGGGGCACTGCGACTCCCAGAATTGAGTCAGTGTATTATTCATGAGCCATCTTCTAATTTTTTCTGGTTATAAAACCCACAAAAACCAGTCTGCGGCAGAAGCAGCTATTTTATGCTGCCATTTAAAAATCTGTCTGAAATCGTACATGTGTCTTATTTTAAAAGTTCCCAAAATGTTACAGCAACACACCGAATTCAGCTCTTGAGCTTGCTAAAATCTCCTTCCTACACAGTTCTCCTCATTGTCTCCGTGATCTATAGGAATTCAACAGCCCAGGCAACGTCTCCCTGATGAGTCAGGCCTGGAAGGAAAGGATGCATAGGACTCCTCTCCCTGGGAGCATGGTGACTCCCTGGCTGTGTCACCTCTACAGAAGGAAACATTCATCTCTTCTAATGACTGAATGGAAGGCAAAACCAGCCATAGATGAAAATGAATTCAAACGCTGAGGAGTCAATTGCCGGGTGACATGTGCGGTTCTCTTACTGTGTGAGGAGAAGCAAGGAGTGCTGTGTCTAGCGAGTGAGGGCTCTACAGATACTTGTTAAATGCATGAATTAGTGAATGAAGTCACAGGTCTCTACAAACCAGGTGCCAAATTGAAATGGAGAAAGAGGCGTTCATAATAACAGACGCTACCATGACTGAGGATTCCTATGTGCCAATCACTCCCCTGCGCCTCTGGAGTATGGACTATTATTCTCCCCATTGTACAGAGGAAGAGAGAAATCATTTATTCACTTGCTTGGCTTGACCTAGTAAGAGGCAAAAGTTGGATCTGAATGGAGGCATTCTCACTCTAGAACCCAAGCTCCTTATGCTCTACAGCCAGATTTACAAAACATTAAGGACATATATTCACTCATTCATGCATCCTGCCCTCAGGATGGCTTGGAGTCGAGTGGGGGCAGGCCAATGGTTGTGCCCATGATTGTGGCACAATGTGAGGAGTGCTATGAGAGACGTCAGCCTGGCAGTCAGTAGGAGGACAGAGGAGGTTAGACCAAGCTTCCTGGAGGAGTAGTGGTCTAGTGAATTTTGAAGCATAAATGTAAGTTAGGATTGGAGAAGAAGGGTGTGGTAGATTTTCTGCAAACATTTCCACAATTCTTCACTCCTTCCCGTATCCTTGCCCATTGCAATTGACTTTGCAGCTCTTCTCATGAAAAGATACAGTCAGTTCCTCCAGGCCTTGAATCTTGCAACTTCCTTTGACCAGTAGAGTACAGTGGAAGTGATAACATGCCAGTTCCAAGCCCAGGCCTCCAGAGGCCTCTCATGTTTCTACTTTCTTTCTCTTGAACTTTGCCACAGACATGTGAAAAACCTGGGTGAGCCTGTTGGGTGATGACAGACCATGTGATCCAGTTACCCTTGCCATGTCAGCCAACAGCCCACCCACCGCTGAGTGAAGTCATATTACAGCAGCCAGCTCCCAGGCCAAACCACCATATGACTGCAGAGACCTAAGTGAGCTCCATCAGAGTTAGCCAAGCCTGGCCCAGTTTAGCAGAACTGCCCAACTGACTCTGGACTCATGAGCAAAAGTTTATTGTTGTATGTTGCCTAGGTTCTGTGGTTGGTGGTTATATAGCAGTATTATCATAATAGAGTTTGGCAGATCCTCTTTTATAAGGCTAAAAGCAGTGTGGTACAAGCTTCACTATAATCCTACTATACTTCACTTGCTTTAGAAAAGAATTGGGCCAGATGCAGTAGTTCATGTCTGTGATCCCAGCACTGTGGGAGGCCAAGGAGGGAGGATTGTCTGTGGCCAGGAGTTCAAGACCAGCCTGGGAAACATAGCAAGACCTTGTCTCTACAAATTTTAAAAAAAGAAAATTGAATTGGTCCAGAACAGAGTTTCTCAAACATGGCACTATTGACATTTTGGGCCAGATTATTATTGTTGAGGGAGGCTGTTCTTTGCAAGGTAAGATGTTTAGCAGCATCCATGACCCCTACTCACTAGATACACCAGTAGGTGCCAATAGCACCCCTAATTGTAACACCAAAAAAGTCTCCAGACATTGCCAGGTGTCCTCTAGGGAGCCAGATTGCCCTCAGTTGGTCCAGAAACCAATGCAAAGACGTTAGTTAACAAATACCCAAAGCCCAGCAATCTTTCCTACAAGATAGTTCCATTGGTGGACCAAGCTCAGGCCCTGTGCAAGTACAATGCCTTTTGTGGGAACGTGAAGTTGGATTGGCCAGAGCCAGGTGGGGTTCACCAGGGAGGCTTCTCTGAGTCATTCTAGCTCATGCTAAAGCTTGCTGTGAGTGTGGCAGGTGCTGACTGAGCACACTGTGTGCTGTGTCCATACAACAAAGTTCAAATGAAAAGAGTAAAGTAAAATGCAGAACCTGGCTGAGTGCAGTGGCTCATGCCTGTAATCCCAGCACTTTGGGAGGCCAAGGCGGGCAGATCACCTGAGGTCAGGAGTTCGAGACCAGCCTGCCCAACATGGCGAAACCCCATCTCTACTAAAAATACAAAAAATTAGCTGGGCGTGGTGGCGAGCACCGGTAATCCCAGCTACTTGAGAGGCTGAGGCAGGAGAATCACTTGAACCCAGGAGGCGGAGGTTGTGTGAGCTGAGATTGCACCATTGCACTCCAGCCTGGAGTGCAACAAGAGCGAAACTCCATCTCAAAAAAAAAAAAAAAAAAAAGAAAGAAAAAGGAAAAGAAAAGAAATGCAGAAATGATGCAGATCTTTTCAGGTGGCAGAAGTTACAGGCCACCAAGCAGATCAAACCACTTGTTTCAAGGGTTTCTCCCAGTTTCCGTCTGACTTAACTCTTTTTCCCACTTCACTGCTTTCCATATCAAGACTCTTGTGAAAAAGAGCAATTTCGTCATCACTTTCCCATACACACCTGAATATTCTACATGAGGATTCCAATTGCAACTCTTCTATTTTATGAGAGTTTCTTTTGGAACTAAGAAAGATGGTTAATATTTCTTCTATTGCAAAACTGAAGTTTAAATCAACATCTCTAATCATACTTGCACATCCCAGGAGCTAATTCCACCTCATGAGAGAATGTCGGATCTGGGTCTTAGAATAAGTTGCCTTTTCTTGTTTGTTTAAGATAGGATCTCACTCTGTAGCCCAAGCTGGAGCACAGTGGTGCAAACATGGCTCACTGTAGCCTCGACCTTCTGGGCTCAAGCAATCCTCCAGCCTCAGCCTCTGGAACAACTGGGATTACAGGGATGCACCATCACACCTGGCTAATTTTTATTTATTTATTTATTTATTTATTTATTTATTTATTTATTTATTTATTGAGACAGAGTTTCATTCTTATTGCCCAGGCTGGAGTAAAATGGCGCAATCTCGGCTCACTGCAACCTCTGCCTCCTGGGTTCAAGCAATTCTCCAGCCTCAGCCTCCTAAGTAGCTGGGATTATAGGCATGCGCCACCATGTGCAGCTGATTTTGTATTTTTAGTAGAGATGGGATTTCTTCATGTTGGTCAGGCTGGTCTCGAACTCCTGACCTCAGGTGATCTGCCCGCCTCAGCCTCCCGGTATGCTGGGATTACAGGCGTGAGCCATCGCACCCAGCCTACTTTTTTATTTTTTATAAAGACAGTCTTGCCATGTTGCCCAGGCTGGTCTTGAACTCCTGGGTTCAAGCAATCCTCCTGCTTCAACCTCCCGAAGTGCTGGGATTACAGGCATGGTCCACTGCGCCCTGCCCATTTGTTTTTTCTTAACACTAGACGGCATCATCAGCCCATTCACTGGTTCCGGCAGATGGAAAGCAGTGAAAGAAAGTTCAGCATTTGCTGACTTCTAACTCACCCACTGACCCACACGTTTTATTGATAAGCATATTTGAGACGTGTCCTTTGGGACTTTAAGCAAATTGCTTAACATCTCCAGGCTTTCGTTTTCTTCTGAGTAAAAACAAAACTTACTTTTCCTGCTGTACAGAAAAAACTGATGGGTTAAACCACAAATATGTGTTTCACAAATTCATAGAAACTAAAGAGAACATCCATTAGAAAAAAGGACAAATCAAAGTTGAAGCTATCTTGAATTCTAAATTCTCAGCATCTCACAGGCCACTGTGTTTTCCTGATTTATTTAGCTTCCCAGTGGAACTGTGCCCAGTGGTGCATTTTGGAGGAGTGCTTCAGGAGAAAAAGCTGAAGTCATAGATTCTTAGCGTCTCAGTGCCGGACGCAGCCCGACTTTACGAAAATGGACTATTAATTCACTTTCTGTAATTGAATTGCTATTTTTCCTGCAGAAATTTGTGGTGATGGTTCGGCCTTGTGAATACATAGGCAGATTATGGTGGAGAACAGAGAAAAAGTTTTGAGAATTCAGGTGAGTTTGCCAGAAGGTTATTTTGGGAATTCACATCAAATCTGGATGTTGGGTATGACAAATTAGTCATAGGTTTCAACAAGTGTGAATCTTTTTGGCAGAACAAGAAATGCAAAGGTAGTCTCCACCGACTGGTGGGAAGGGAACGCTCCGAAATGCACACTTAGAGATCGTCAAGTATCAGCTGAAGGCTGGGGGAGGCAGTCCCTGTGTGCCCTGACCCCACGGCTCCATCCACGACCAGCAGGAGTCACTCAAGAGCACTTGGCACGCTGCCAGGCCCAGATCGCACAGAAGGCTACCCATGTTCAATTTGGAAAGAAAAGATAAAGCTCATATCCTTACCCCTCGGATGCTCACAGTCCAAAACCTTGCCTCCTTGTTTCAGCAAACCTAACAAATACGTTGAGAAAAGAAACGACAATTTCCATCTATATTGCGTCTCACAGAATTCACAGTACTTTTTCAGAAATCATCTTGTGCGATCCTCAAAGCCATCTAACATATATAGGAAAGTAATTGTAACCCACATTTTTAGAATGAGGAGACCTCAGGAGTAAAAGGCCTGGCCCATGATCGCAGGAATTGGGGATGGAACTCAGTTTTTCTGTCCCCAGATCTTTCTGTCCCCAAAGTTTGAGAAAAGACCTCAAACTTTTCTCCTACCCACGTTTGCTTCTCCAGGCAGACCTGAACATTGGGAAATATGGCATCTGGGTGATAGTTCCCTGACCTCAGCCACTTGTATCAGTGCCACTTTCTCCTGCCCTCACTCTTATCGCTAGACCAGATTTAAGGAACTTAGCATCTGTGGCCAGGATCCTCTCAGAAACTGAGGCAACAATGTCCCTTCATTGATAATGATACAAAGCCTTAATTCCTTTTAATGTCTCTATTTATTCAGGGCTTGGTGGACATACAGTAAGTAATACTAATAACAGTTAATAAATCCTAACTGATTGAAACGTGCCTAGCATTAGATAGGTTTGCTGTGTGTGGTTATGGGGGATGGACTTTGTGGTTATGGGGGCACCTGACCCAGGGGCTGAATGGAGCTGAAGTCCAGCCTACTGCTTCACTCAAGAGTCTTGCCTTTTGCACAGGGCTGTGCTCACCTGCGGATGGGGCACCTTTTATCTATGTATTATATATATGTATTTTATATATATACCTATATATTTTATATGTATACACATATATATTTTATATATACACACATATATGTTTTATATATATATATATATTTGATATATCAAATACATATATTTGAAAGGAGGGTTTCACTCTGTCACCAGGCTGCAGTGCAGTGGTGTAACCATGGCTCACTGCAGCCTCGAACTCCCAGGCTCAGAGAAAAAACAGAACTGTTTAAACCCTTTATGCTTGCAGATCTGAGTCAAGTTCCTCAGGCACGAGTTTCAAAGGTGATAGTTCACGCTTTATCACTCCTATTGCCCAAGAGAACCAGAGAACAAAACTGGTGCAGATTTTAAATGCAATAAGGAATTTTGACTTACATTTTATTTTAAAAATCAAAAGGATATGAAGAGACAGAACAAAGATCAGTTTCTTAATCCTGAGGAGTTGATAAGGCCAGGAACAACCAAGTTTTCCCCTCAGACCCGTTGGTCCCCTTCCTCCCGTCTCCATAATTAAATACTCTTCCTCCACAGCTGCTGTCGCAGTAACAGCTTGGGTCACGTGGCTGTCACCTTACAATCTGCTTGTGGAACTGCTTGTAATTCTCACACCAAGGCATAGTGACAGCTCATTTAGAATCAATCAAACATTTATTAATAGAGAGAAAACCAAGAGACACAGTCTCCTAATTGAAATTCCCTGGTTCCATGGCAAGGGCAAGAGCAGAGTGGGAAATAACTCACAGTTAGGGGGTTGGGAGACAAACTGTGTGGGGGAAAGAGACCACTTTGCAGAATTTGGACAGACCGAAGGGTCAAAGCCTGACTCTGCTACTTTCTAGCCATGTATTCCAAGCAAGTAATGAAACCTAGCTGAGTTTCAATTTCCTGTAAGAGGTTGTTGTGAGGCTTACAGATAATGAAAGTAAAAGGCCTGACCCCTAGGAAGGACTGGATAACTAGCTAGCATTGTAAGAGAGTTGTAAAGATGGTGTCTTAGCTCAGCTGTTATAACACGATACCATAGACTTGGGGGCTTAACAATAGAAATGTATTCCTCACTGTTCTGGAGGCTGGGAAGTCCAAGATCAAGGCCCTGGCAGGTTTGGTGTCTGATCAGGTCACTCTTCTTAGCTAGTAGACAGCTGTCTTCTCTTTATATCTTCACAAGGCAGAGGGACTGATGTCTCTTCTTTTAAAGGTGCTAATCCCATCCTAAGGACTCCACCTCATTAGACCTAATATGACCTAATTATGACCCATAGGTCATAGTAATATGACCTAATTACTACCCTAATATGAACCAATTACTACCCATAGGTCCCATCTCCTAATACCATCACATTGGGGATTAGAATTTCAACATATGA